>NC_000007.14:69173445-69476475 GCF_000001405.40 Homo sapiens
GACTTTAAAATCCCAAGTCAGAACAGCAGGTAATGAGGCCCTGTCAGCTTGGGCTATATGGTTCAGTGACTTGGCATTGATGACATTTATTTTGGAACCTGCATGATGGCCTGACCTATTTTAGGATCTCTTCTTTCACCATACCTCCCTCCTCCGTTTTTCCAATTAGAAGCGAAGATAAAGGGAAATTGGGGGAGGCTGGAGAGGGAGAGAGAGAAGAACCTGGAAAGTGATTCTCCAGGAATAACATGAGAAGCTGCCCACGTTGCCCATAACATTGGAACCACTGTCATAAAGACAATTTCAAGCCCTACTGGAAAGGCAAGAACTCAAGGCTGTGTCTGCAAAATGGGAAGAAACTCCAGAGGCAATTATCTGCCTAGTTGCCCTGTGCAGCCACAGGAAATACACAAACCAAAGCCCACATTTGGTACTGTTCAGCATTTTCCTCTGTGGGAAGACCTGTTCGGGAGAGAAGTGATCCCATTCTTCCTAAGAGAAAAGCTATCTAGAGGAGAGAAAGGAAGGGGAGGGGGCAGGGAGAGGCAAGTGCAGGCAAGTGGCCAACAATGTACATTTACAGGGAATAGAAATGGAAAACAGATGCTATGCAGGAGTATAAAGCATTGCCCTAGGAGCACCATCATCAGCCTCTGGAGAATAGAGTTTCTCAGATCCAGGCAAATCACACAGTAAGTCATTGGGAGCTGCAGACTTATTGTAAGCAGCTCTAAGCAATGGCCCTCCTGGGCTGCCTGGTACCCTGTCTCAACATCTTTCTCATGGCTGGGCAGTAGCCAGCATTCCTCTGAAAACCACTGAGGTTTTCTTGAATTGTGCACAGTGCAGCTGCCCTGGGTCATGGACCACTGACCTTGACTTCCTTCTTTCCTCCAGGAGTGCTACAACTCCTTCGTCAGACTCCCCAAATAGTGGCCTTGGTCCTTTCGCGTCCTTATAACTCCCACTCGCTTGGAATGAATTCCACTGGGGCCACTAGGAAACGGCTTACAGAGCTACCATCTCCCTCTTGGAGGTCCAGGTCTTGCTGCTCCTGTCAGGTAAGAAGCTCTGCTATAGATGAGAACACCTCATTGCTAGTTAAAGAGACAGGAACATCTATTCAGAGAAATGCTGGCTACACAGAAGACTCAGAGAAGGCAAGGAAGAGTGATAGAAAAAGGATGGCTTCCGATTTTGTCAATCTATTTTGCAGCTCATAGAAATTGTTGATTTAAATAATCTATTATAAGACTTCGTGGCTGGGCATAGTGGCTCATGCCTGTAATCCCAGCACTGTGGGAGGCCGAGGCAGGTGGATCACTTGAGATCAAGAGTTTGGGACCAACGTGGCCAACATGGTGAAACCGCATCTCTACTAACAATACAAAAATTAGCCAGGTGTGGTGGCATGCACCTGTAATCCCAGCTACTCAGGAGGCTGAGGCAGAAGAACCACTTGAACCCAAGAGGCAGAGGTTGCAGTGAGACTCCATCTCAAAAAAAAAAAAAAGGACTTTGTGAGCTCTGTCTTCAGGAAACAATTTGCTAGCTGGACTTATCACTACATTCCATTTTAATTTTTTTTTATTTTGGTAGAAAGAGGGTCAAGCAATTCTACTGCCTTGGTCTTCCAAAGCACTGGGATTGTAGGCATGAGCCACTGCACCCGGCCACTATGTTCAATTTTGGTGACTTGCCAGAGTGGACACTTATTTCTTACTTGTATTTCTGTGCTTATGACTTGCCTGGGCCCTTTATGTTCTTGGGAGCCGTCAGTAGTACTGTGCTCTGTCTGCTAATGGACTTGCTTCCTGGGCCACAACCTGGTCAGAGAAGAAAGTTATACCTCTGGCTTTCTACCTCCCAGAATGCTGGGACCCCACACCTCTTACATTCCTTATTCTGTCTCTTTAACTGGAAATGAGGTGTTCTCACATACCCCAGAGCTTCTTACCTTGCAGGAGCAGCAAGACCCGGACCTCCAAGAGGGAGATGGTGGCTCTGCGAGCCTTTTTCTAGCAGCCCTGATGGAATTTGTTCCAGGAGAGTAGGAGTTACAAGGAAGCAAAAGGACCAGGGCCTCTATTCGGAGAGTCTAACAAAGGAGTTGTAGCACTACTGGAGCAAAGAAGGAAGTCAAGGTCAGTGGTCCATGACCCAGGGCAGCTGTGCCGTGGACAACTCAAGAAAACCTCAATGACTATCAAGAATTGTCTATGCTTGAACCACCTGGGACCGGCCAAGGGGAAGAAAGGAATGTAAAAGGTGTGGGGTCCCAGCATTCTGGGAGGTAGAAAGCCAGAGGTATAACTGTCTTCTCTGATCAGGTTGTGGCCTCAGAAGCAAGCCCATTAGAGCAGGGGTCCCCAACCCTTGAATCACAGACCGGCACCAGTACTGGTACCGGTCTGTGGCCTGTTAGCAACCAGGCTGCACAGCAGGAGGTGAGCCACAGGCAGGCGAGCAAAGCTTCATCTGTACACACAGCCGCTCCCCATGACTCGCATCCCCACCTGAGCTCTGCCTCCTGTCAGATCAGTGGTGGCATTAGATTCTCATAGGAGCAGGAGCCCTGTTGTGAACTGTGCATGCCCGGGAACTAGGTTGCGAGCTCCTTATGAGAATCTAATGCCTGATGATCTGGCACTGTCTCCCATCACTTCCAGATGGGACCATCTACTTGCAGGAAAACAAGTTCAGGGCTCCCACTGATTCTACATGACAGCAAATTGTATAATTATTTTGTTATATATTACAATGTGATAATAATAGAAATAAAGTGCACAATAAATATAATGCCCTTGAATCATCCTGAAACCATCCCCCCCACCTCCGCTGTCTGTGGAAAAATTGTTTTCCACCAAACTAGTCCCTGGTGCCAAAAAGGTTGGGGACTGTTGTATTAGAACAGACAGAGGACAGCTCTGTTGAGGGGTCTCAAGAACATAAAGGGCCCAGGCAAGTCATAAGCAGATAAATAAAAGTAAGAAATTAAGGTCTACTATGACAAGTCACTAAAATTGAACATAGAGGCTAGGTGCAGTGGTTCACACCTATAATTCCAGCACCTTTGGAGGCTGAGGCAGGAGAATTGCTTGAGGCCAGGAATTTGAGACCAGCCTGGGCAACATAGCAAGACCCTGTCTCTACAAAAAAAAAAATTAAATTGAATCTAGTGATAAATCCAGCTAGCAAATTGTTCTCTGCAAACTGAGCCCGTGAAGTCTTGTCATAGATTATTTAAATCTACAACTTGTATGAGCTGCAAAATAGATTGACAAAATCAGAAGCTGTCCTTTTTCTAGTCACTCTTCTTTGCCTTCTCTGAGTCTGCTTTTAGAATTTCACATGGCAGGTAGGCACTGCAATATTCTGGGCCCAAAAATATTTTTCAGGAAACCAAGGTCGAAATATCAACCTGTCAGACGTTGTCTTAGGTTATTAGCCTGTCTGGTGGCTGCCTTGCAGAAGCTGGCTGGAAATCTGACCAGGTATGTGTTTCCCCCCTCTTTCCCTATATATTTCCTTTCTTTACCCAGCATATTTTCCTAGGATTATGATTCACATATTTAAAATTAGAGCAGAAAAAGTGGGGGAAAGAGGTGATTTATGTTCTTTCCCCATTCCTAGCAATGTTTAGCCTCTGGAATCTAGATTAACAATGTGATGTGCTGAGATCCTGAAGGAAAATGAAAGAGAGAGGAGGAAGAAAAGGAGGAGGATGAATTGAAGAAGATGGAGCTCACTGCAAATTATATTTCCAGTTCCCAGACTTAGAAGGACATTGCAACTGAAATTGCTTGTGCTTGTAAAATTCTATCATGCTCAAAGAACCTCTTTTTATAGATGAAATCAGGTTTAACAGACGAATGTTGTGCCTCAAATTAATTAGAATAAATTCGTTCCCTAATGAAATATACCATCAACCATGAAAAAAAAAACCTAAAGGGTAAGAAGTATTAATGTGTCGATTAAGAGGAATGATGATAAGGATGTCAGTTTATGGAAAGTAACGCTGTGTCTATATACACAGATGGCTTTGAAAGACATAGACTCTTCCAACACTTGGATCACAACCAACCAGTTACAAACTGCTTGGTTGCTTGACTGAATTCAGCTGGTTTGTTTTGAAAATAACCCACACTCTGCCTAACATCATCACTTTCCAAACCACTTTGCTGGGTGCTAGCTTCACGTGTCTGCCTAAGCTCAAACTGTTGATGGATGACACTTGGGAATTGGCTGAAGAAGAGAGTTAACAGAACGTCCTGAAATCAGGAGAGAACTAAACAAGAGCTGTGGCAGAAAGCCAGCTTCAGTCGAAGAGAGATACCAAACCGAGACAGTGGAAGTGTCAGAAAGAAAAATGGGTGATTCTAGAAAATTCCATCCTAAAACATGTCAAGGGAGCTGGGTTTTTCCTAGGCACCAGTGCTCAGGGGGCAATCCTTGAAAACAGGAAGAAGGAACCAGCTTGGTGATCTGGTCTTTCCATACGGGAATTTAGCGAGATGGGATAGTCAATGACACCTTGGCACTCTCCCCGACGTGGAATGTCATTCTTATTTTCATAATCCAGAAGTTTTTAAGAACAGAACTGTTGATGTACTGCTCAACTGACTTTTAGTTAGTTCCAAGAGAAAGATGGAGAAGTCCACAGAGAGCCGGCTCTTATTCTAAACAGCTGGGATGGAGTTGGAATGACATGAATGTAGACATTCACTTCTAGCATCTCACAGTATTCACACAGCTCCAGAGAAAGGCAGGGGGACTAATTCCTTTCTAATTAGTCACAGAAGCTTTTGATAAGAGCCCCAAGAGGTCCATGGCCCCAAATATCACTTGACACATGAGCACGTGAGTCGCTAAATGCATCCTGGATGAGATGGATAGGTGGTGCCAAGTCCTAAATCTCCTATGGGGTTTCCTTTGACAGCCCACTCTTATGATTTAGGGCACCATCGGTGGCCCTGGTTTGATTCATCACTTGGTAATTCATCTTCCCCAACAAGCTATGGTTCCTGTTTTGTAACGCCCTTCCATTCTTCTCCTTTGAAGAGAGACAGAAACAGTGATAAAAGGCAGGCTTTGGAACAGAATTCTAGATTTTTCCTTCCAGAATTAGCCCTCGATAAAAAGAAGAAACAAACAGACAACGAAATCAACTTAAAGAAAGACTGTACCTATAGACAAAACAATGACCATTTACATCAAATATGCCACCTGCATTATTTCACGTGTTTGTATAAGTCCCCTGACCAGCCATAGCAACATATGAACAAGTGAGTGGATTTTTCCATCTGAACATTCTGACTACTTAAAAGTTAAAAACACATATGGGTTTTTGTTTTTTTGTTTGTTTGTTTTGTTCTATTTTGTTTTTGAGATGGAGTCTTGCTGTCTCCCAGGCTGGAGTGCAGTGGCGCCACCTCGGCTCACTGCAACATCCGCCTCCCAGGTTCAAGCAATTCTCCTACCTCAGCCTCCCGAGTAGCTGGGACTACAGGCTTGCACCACCATGTCTGGCTAAATTTTTTGTATTTTAGTAGAGACACGGTTTTTCCATGTTTCCCAGGGTGGTCTCATACTCCTGAGCTCAGGCAATCCACCTGACTCAGCCTCCCAACATAAGGGTTTTTAAAGGAAAATTATATTTTGACTCTTATGTATATAAAGTCGTTAATATATTATGTCTCACAATTCTGTCCTACAAGTTATTACTGCCATTTTTTTTTTTTTTTGAGACAGGGTCTGCCTCCGTTGCCCTGGCTGGGGTGAAGTGGCATGATCTCAGCTCACTCCAGCTTTGGCCTCCTGGGCTCAAGTGGTCCTCCCACCTCAGCCTCCCCAGTAGCTAGGACTATAGGCATGCACCACCACACCTGACTAATTTTAGTACTTTTTGTAGAGATGGGATTCCACCATGTTGCTCAGGCTGGTCTCAAACTCCTGAGTTCAAGCGATCCTCCTACCTTGGCCTCCCAAAGTGCTGGGATTACAGGCGTTAGCCACCACGCCCAGCCGTTACTGCCATTTTGAATTTTGTTATGTATTATCTGCTTTGGCATTTGTAAGTCCCTATACTTCTTGCTTTTACAACATTTGTAAGCAATACTTACCGTGCTTTTATTATAGAAGCAATGTATATGCATTATAGTGAGCTTGGAAAAATAACATTTCAGGCTAATATAAAGAAAAAATGCTTAGTATACTACTATTACTGTATAATAGAAATAATCATCATTTACAACTTGTTAAATTTTGTATATTTACATATAACATACATATTAGATAAAATGTTTAAATATTAGGGTCATCTAATCTAAGGGTAACATAGTAACATGTTGCTTTTCTCTGTAAACTACCCTCATACTCTAGTCAGCCCTAATCAGCCTGTAATAAACTCTATCAGTCTGAAGGGAGTTTATTAGCGAAATAAAGCATAAAGGACACTGAAGTAAAATTCAGCTTTTGAAATTCAAAAATGGGATTCTGCATCAGACAGTACCTTGCAACCCGAGGCATGTTCTGAAGAAAGGTTTGTCTAAATCTCATAATCTCCCCTACCCTAACACAACCCAAGCCAACTATTTTTATCATTTAGATTGCAGGTTTTTATTTAAGAGACATACAGATGGAAAGAGGAAAGGGGAAATCTCACCCTCTAATATAGATGTGCCAATTTTCCCCTCTCCAGCCTGAGAAGGGCAGCTATACAGATGAATGAAGGTGTTACAGGAGGCAGATATATGGATAAATGAAGGTATTACAGAGTGCAAAGGAGACCCCAGACTACATTTGCCATCTACGACTCTACTTCTGAGTTTTGCCTCTCATGTTTCCCCAGCACCATCTTGGGGTGCAGTCACATGAATCTCGCTGCAGAGTATCAGTCAGACAGGGAGACACCCTGAGATTTGGCTCTCCGGAGCTGTCCTGGGTTCCCAGGTAGCAAGGATATGCAGTAGAGAGCCAGATGGGCTGCCCAGGGGTATGAAAGAGCAGGGTGGGTATATTAGTCTGTTCTCATGCTGCTATAAGGACATACCTGAGACTGGGTAATTTATAAAGAAAAGAAGTTTAATTGACTCATAGTCCCGCATGGCTAGGGAGGCCTAAGATGTTTAGATCCACAGATTTTAAACTTGGCTAAGTTTTTATTCATGTTTGAAGGTAGAAGCAAAATATTATAGAAAATGTAAGGATCTAGGAAATTTACCAACTACTTGCTCTTTGTGGGAAAAAATGGTTTTGGAAGACATTGTCTAACTGACCTAGAGCTAAATCAATATTATGAACTCATAAAAGTCAGTGCTCTGACATGCTTTGTATATAAAAATGAAACTTAACAATCATAGTCAAAGGCACCTCTTCACAGGGTGGCAGGAGAGAGAATGGATGCTGAGCAAAGGGGGAAGTCCCTTATAAAACCATCAGCTCTCATGGGAACTCACTCACTATCACAAGACCAGCATCAGGAAAACTGCCTCCGTGATTCAATTATCTCCACCTGGTCTTGCCCTTGACACATGGGGATTACTACAATTCAAGGTGAGATTTGGGTGGAGACACAGAGCCAAACCATATCAGTGGGCCTTCTGCAGAGCTGAGATGGGCCCCCAGGTCAGCAGCCTGGATGAAGGATGAGGCAGAAGTTCCAGGATCATTTTTTTCTTGAGACAGGGTCTCCCTGTGTTGCCCAGGCTGGAGTGCAGTAGTGTGATCATAGCTCACTACGGCCTCAAAGTCCTAGGCTGAAGCAATCCTCCTACCTCAGCCTCCCAAGTAGCTGGGACTACAGGCACACACCATCATGCTGAGCTAATTTTTATTTTTTTGGAGTGACAGGGGTCTTGCTATGTTTCCCCAGCTGATCTGTAACTCCTGGCCTCAAGCAATCCTCTCACTTCGGCCTCCCAAAGCTCTGAGATTACAGGAATGAGCCACTGTGCCTGGCTAGGGGTCATTTTTTATACAAAGGGTGTCAGAACACTGATTTTTTTTTTTTTTTGAGATGGAGTCTCACTCTGTTGCCCAGGCTGGTGTGCAGTGGCCCTATCTCAGCTCACTGCAACCTCCACCTCCCAGGTTCAAGCGATTCTCCTGCCTCAGCCTCCCCAGTAGCTGGGACTACAGGTGTGTGCCACCACACTCAGCTAATTTTTAGTATTTTTTAGTAGAGACGGGGTTTCACCGTGTTAGCCAGGATGGTCTCGATCTCCTCACCTCATGATCCACCTGCCTCGGCCTCCCAAAGTGCTGGGATTGCAGGCGTGAGCCACTGTGCCCAGCCAGAGCACTGACATTTATGAGTTCATAATATTGATTTAGCTCTAGGTCAATCAGACAATGTCTTCCAAAACAATTTTTGTTCCCACAAAGAGCAAGTAGTTGGTAAATTTCCTAGATCCTTACATTTTCTAGAATATTTTGCTTCTACCTTCAACCACAAATAAAAATTCAGGCAAGTTTAAAATTCAAGGATCTAAACATCTTTCCTGTAAAACCTGGGGTGAAAGTGATTATTTTCCTGCCTAGATATTCCTAGATATTTGCAAACTCTTGTATGGCTTGTTTTTTTGTTTTGTTTTTGTTTTTGTTTTTTTGATACAGGGCGTCACTCTGTCACCCTGGCTGGAGTACAGTGGCACAGACATTGCTCATTTCAACCTCCAAATCCTGAGCTTAAATGTTCCTCTGCCTCAACCTCCTGAGTAGCTGGGACTACCAGGCATGTGCTACCATGTCTGGTTAACTTTCTTATTTTTTGTAGAGATGGGAGTCTCACCATGTTACCCAGGCTGGTCTCCACCTCCTGGGCTCAAGCTATCCTCCCTCCTCAGCCTCCCAAAGTGCTGGGATTACAGGCATAAGCCACTGCACCAGGCCTGTGTGGCTTATTTTAATTCTTATAATTTTTTTTTAATTGCTAGAATATGAGTGTGTGTGTGTGTGTGTGTGTGTGTGTGTGTGTGTGTGTTACCTGTAATATAACAAACCATTTCGATCTTTAAATTCAGATATTTTTCCAGATTCATATAGATTAATCCTTAAACATACTTTTTTACATTTTCTTCCATTTGTCCTGTTTCTTTCCTCAGAAATCTCTATCATTCTTAAGGTTTCTGTATGTATGATCCATATCTGCCTAATTCTTCTGGCTTTTATCTCTTAGTTTTTTTTCTCCTGAACTCTGAGAGCTTCTCAAGTTTGTCTTCTATGTCATTGTGTTTTTTTATCTTAATACCGTATATCAGTTTCCTTGATTTCTTCTGCTAATTTCTCTTTCTTCCTGTTTGTCTCAGCTTGCTAAATCTGAATCTCATCCTGTTAAACCCTTCACCTCTTCCACTTCCTTCTTATGATTTTGCTTCCTCTTTGATCAAGGCAGTCTTCCTGCAACTATTGTGGTCACCAAACTGTTTTCGAAAAGGTTGTCTTTGTTCTTTCAGTAAATATTTCCAGAACTATATTTTTCTACTTAGTATACCAAGAGCTTCTGCCCTTTCCTTATTCTTCAGCATTTTTTTCACCTAGCCTATGTGAATTATTCTTTAATGTTCTCATCTTGAAAATAGGAAAGCATACCTATATTTGGAGTTCTCAAGAGATTTCATGTGAACGTCTTTGGGCTCTACTCACAAGTCCCATAAGTGCCAGGATGTCCCCTTTTCTTTAGATCAGAATGACTTGAATGAGGTTCCCTCAATCAGTGGCTACTTTTACATCGTTTAGCCTACTGATTTAATATATTGAGTCCCTGCGTGATGCAAAACGTTGGAAGCTACTTTGAGGTTATAGTTCTTAAGAATAATTATAACAGTAGTAGTAAGAAGACTCTCCCTTAGAAAGCCCCTTGACATCATCTTAGGTGATCTTTACCTAGGTTTAGATCAGAGAAGGGGATGTCCTGGCCCTTATGGGGCTTGTGAATGCCTAAATGATCCCAGTTCATTCTTAAGGATCTTACATACATTCATCTAGTCCTAATTTTCTGTTTTCTCCCATCCCCAAAGCTTGGTCTTCTACCCTTAAGAAATAATGGAGGCCCGGTGCAGTGACTCATGCCTGTAATCCCAGCACTTTGGGAGGCCGAGGCAGGTGGATCGCTTGAGGCCAGGAGTTTGAGACTAGCCTGGCCAACATGGCAAAACCCCATCTCTACTAAAAATACAAAAATTATCCAGGCATGATGGTACACACTTGTAATCCCAGCTACTTGGGAGGCTGAGTTGGGAGAATTGCTTGAACCCGGGAGGTGGAAGTTGCAGTAAGCAGAGATCATGCCACTGCACTCCAGACTGGGTGACAGAGTGAGACTCCATCTAAAAAAAAGAAAGAAAGAAAAAAGAAAAAGCAAGAAAGAATGGAATATAGACTTATTGGATAGCATTTGTATGTAGTAAAAATTAGACCTAAAAGTTTATAATGGATCAAATACAGCAGACATATATTTCTAGCTCATGTAAGAGTTCAAGAGCTCCTGAACAAGAAGCAGCTCTCCTCCATGCAGTGATTCTGGGACTCAAGTTCCTTGAGTCTCCATCCAGAAGACGGAGGAAAGGAAAGAGAACAAGGAGGAGACACACTCTCCTCTCAAAAGTCTTGGTCTAGGATGAGCACAAATCACTTCCACTCACATTTCATTGGAAATAACTAAATCATGACCATATTCAGCTTTGAGAGAAGTCTAGCTACGTGTTTAGAAAAAGGAAAAGGAGACTGATGTGGGTGAACAAGTCTGCCACAACATTAGAAACTATCACCACCAGTACATACTGCTATGCATATTTTTCCTGCCTTCTCCCCTGGTCACCATTATTTTTCTTGGTTGTAAAAAATATAACTCTCAAATTCATCTACTATGGCTCCTGTGGCTCCTTCTCTTCCTGGCTATTTTGAGTAAGATGGCCCATCCATCCCAACCTCAGCCCCTGGGGTGCAAATTCTAAAACCAGCCCAGGGAGCCTCAGATCATACTAGAAATTAATCAGAGAAAATGACAAGGAGAGGAGGAAGTGGCCAACGTAAGCTAATTCCTCTTCTCTGCTTGTTTCAGAAGACTCATATTTTCTCTGGCAACAGACGCAAAACAAAGCAAGTCAACACACCCCCAACTCAACAGTTCTCAACGTGTGGTCCTCGGGTCAGAGCCTTAGCCTCATCTGTGTACTTATTAGAAATGCAAATTTTCAGGCTCCACTCCTGACCTGTTGAATTAGAAACTCGGGAATAAGGCTCAGCAATCTGTTTGAACAAGCCCTTCAGGTGATTCTGTTATACACTAAAGTTGGAGAACCACTACTCTAAATAAAGCATGGCTGTGACCCGGGCCCTAGCAAGGAACCCTATGTGAACTAGCAGCAGTTTATTTTCATTGTAAGCACAACATGTAAGAGGAATGAAATTCTAATCTTATGAAACTGAAAGTACAGAATGATGATAGTAAAACTCAAAGCTCTATTCCGACTTATGAGGGAAACTTTTAAAATTAAAGTCTTCATTAAATAGGAAGATTTCATCACTCACAAATGGTTGCTTGTTTTCCTTAAGGCTAGTTATCCCATGCCCTGTGCTAAATCAACATGACCATTGGTGATAAACACAGAGACATAAAATATCTGATGTGAAAGGAATTTCGGTGACCATCAAGTCAATCCCCTTTATTTTATTTTATTTATTTATTTATTTTGAGATGGAGTCTCGCTCACTCTCCCAGACTGGAGTGCTGTGGTGCGATCTCAGCTCATGGCAACCTCCACCTCCTGTGTTCAAACATTCCCCTGCCTCAGCCTTCCAAGAAACTGGGATTACAGGTGTGCACCACCACCATGCCCAGCTACTTTTTGAATTTTCAGTAGACACAGGGTTTCACCATGTTGGCCAGTCTGGTCTCGAACTCCTCACGTGATCCACCTGCCTCGGCCTCCCAAAATGCTGAGATTACAGGCCTAAGCCACCACGCCTGGCCAGATCCTCTTTATTTCAGAAACTGGAAAACTGAGGTCCAGGAAGAGTAAGTGGATTTTCCAAGGTCCCTCCCTCTGGGTGCAGGGAGAGCCAGAACTAGTGCCCAAAACTCCTGATTCTGAACCCAAGCACTCATTCTGCCTACATCATCTCATGCAATCATGTTTGTGAAATCCTCTGAAACATACAAAGTGCAAAGTGGTTGCATTCTATTAATATCAAATTGGGTTGGGATAATTTGAATTCCAAATCTTAAAGAGCCAAAGTTAAACGTGTGTGCAAATTTGTTCTCTAAGCCCTGTCCAAACGCAAATAAAAAATGAATGAACAGTATCGTCATAGAATTATAGAGCACTTTGGAGCATTAATGTTGATATTAAGAAATGTAGTGGAAAAGCATCAGGCAGTACGCTCTGATATCTCCTTTTCACGTTTTCCTCTAAAATGCCTGTGGTATCATAGAGATTTCAGATACATTTCCACCAACTGTAAGACCAATGGGCCTGAATAGGGAACAGGAATCTGTGGGTTCTATAGACCTCATTTCACAAAGAAACGCATTGTAAAAGAAAGCGGGAAACGTGATTTTTCTCTCACTGTCCCAAGAAACTAGAACAAAAGCAACAAGAAATCTGGATCGCACAGATGGTACATAAAACACTCTTACCTGCCACTTTCCCCTGCCTCAGTCTTCCCACATCATTTCAACAACCCTTCAGAGACAGCGCCTCCTAGGAACCCACTGGCTGACCTGATCAGAGACGTTCAGTTTCCGAATGCAGTAAGAGCCAGAGTCATGCGCTGTGGCAGAGCTAGAACATGTCAGAGATGGAGAGCAAGCGAGGCAGTAATGGGCTTGTGTCCCAGGTCACTGATAAATGGAGTTGGGTGACCCTGAGTTGGTTTTATAGGTGGTCTTGCTGCCTAGTACCCCGTTGGCTCAGACAGGGCTGTAATAGCCTCGGGAACCCTGTTTACCTTGCAGTTGCCTTTCCCCAGGAGCGGTGTTCCATCCCGTTTATTTTTTAGGGTGTGAGCTAAAATAGTCATCTCCCTGCTCTGACTTGGGAATCTTTTCCTTTTTTTTTTTTTTTTTTTTTTTTTTTTTTTGAGACAGAGTCTCGCTCTGTCGCCCAGGCTGGAGTGCAGTGGCGCCATCTCTCCGCTTACTGCAAGCTCCGCCTCCCAGGTTCACGCCATTCTCCTGCCTCAGCCTCCTGAGTAGCTGGAACTACAGGCGCCCGCCACCACGCCCAGCTAATTTTTTGTATTTTTAGTAGAGACGGGGTTTCACCATGTTAGTCAGGATGGTCTGGATCTCCTGACCTCATGATCCACCCGCCTCGGCCTCCCAAAGTGCTGGGATTACAGGCGTGAGCCATCACGCCCGGCCGGGAATCATTTTTTAATAGCTTTATTTATATATAATTCACATACCATACAATTCATCCATTGAAATTGTACATTTCAATGGTGTTTAGTATATTCACAGATCTGTGCAACCATAGCCACAATTTTAGAACTATTTCATCACCTTTAAAAGAAACCCTATGCTCTTTCACTATCACCTTTCTATTCCCACATCCTTCCCAGCTTTAAGCAACCACTAATTTACTTTATCCATAGATTTCCTTGTTATGAACATAATATGAATGGAGTCATATAGCATGTGGTCTTTTTTGATTGGCTTCTTTCACTCGGCATAGCGTTTGTATGAGTCATTCATGTCGTAATAGGTACCAGTGCGTCATTCCTTTTCATTGCTGAATACTATTCCACTGTATGAATTTAACTGCATTTTATGTATCCATTCTTCAGCTGATGAACATTTGGGTGGTTTCCGCCTTTTTTCCATTATGAATCATAGAACTGGAATCTTAGAATTGTCATCCAGTCTAAGGGAAAAAAAATTTTTGAATTAGGTAATTTCCTTAATAACTGGCTACTTTTACATTATTTAGCCTATTGATTTAATGTATTGAGCCCCTGCAAAATGTAAAACACATTGGAAGCTACTTTGAGGTTATAATTCTTAAGAATATTTATAACAGTAGTAGTAATGTCTCTCTTACAAAGCCCCTTGACATTATTTTAGATAATCTCTATAACACTACAAATCTGATATTACCAGTCCCCTTTCATAGAAGACATAAACTCTGATAATTCAGGATCACTAGAAGACAGTTTGGAAGACTTCTAGTCCAGTCTCTTGGAACGATATATTTTCATATCATTTTCATAGGAAAGAAATCCTTTTAGAACCATTTTCCATAACAAGGCTTTTACAGTCCTAGGTTCTGAAGACAAGCCTATTTCCCCTACTCTAAATTCCATATCTCTTTTTCTACCTTGTAAAACATCACCTTTTGCCTTTTATCATCACATCTGGGTTTAGGGTTATTCTCTTTGCCGGTAGTCCATAGGAGAAAGATTGCATCAGAAGTCCTCTGAGACGGCTGCTAGCCCTAAAGGTTCTGTAGCATTTTATTCACAGATGTGGAATGATTCCACCATTAAAACAGTGCCCGTGGCCTTCCTATCAGTGGTTCCTTTCTGTGAGTCTGCGTAAACTCAATAGAAATGCTGGCCATGTGGACTCCTGCTGGGTGGACCTGGAATCACAGGAAGCCAGAGTCTTGGGTGGGTCAATGCCAGGGAGGGTCATGTGTTTGCTACAGGAATAATATCATGAGGAAGGGAGACTCCCACCAGAGCAGGGAATGAGTGAGAACTCAGAAGGCAAAGAGATGAGTCAGAGGCTGGAAATGGAAAGAAACATAAGATGAGTTAGGCCTGTAGATGAATCAAGGTAACTGAAGTCTTAGTTATGTTGTATCTTCGTGTCTTTCTGGAAAGCAGAGTTGTCTAACAACCTAAATGTCCATCAGTTGTGACAAATTAAACTATGGTAAATCCACACTCTCAGTTCTTTAAACAGTGGTAGAAAGCTACACATTTTTCTGGGAAGATATTCGTGGTATAGTATTGAGTAAAAACAGGTTATGAAACACCATGAATATTATGTCATTCATGTAAAAATGTGTGTGTATGAATATATGTGTATATGATTATGTGTGTGTATATGTGTATGTAATTATGTGTGTGTATCTGTGCACTTGTGTATATAATTTTATGTCTCTAAGTAGAAATGCACATAAAGAGATCGCTGGCAGCTTAAATGAATATTTACCAAAATTAAAATTGCTCTCAGAATAAGAGGATTTTCTGGTGATTTTTTTACTTTTCATTTAGCACTTTCTATATTATTTTGCTACTATCTTCTCCTTAAAACTTACTAAATGCTCAAAATCTACAGTCTACTTTAAGATAATACTATTGACCAGATATTCACTATTTGCTAGTTACATGCATTATCTTGGCAGGACTTCACAGCAATTCTCAGAAGTAAAATATTATTATTTTTTGAATGAGGCAAGCAGGACTTTAGAATGTTGAGAAATTGATCCACAGTCACATAGCAAGCAAATGACAGAGCTGGAACAGTAATGTCAGACTAACTCCACAGTAGACGCCCTCAATCACTGTACCATACTACGATAAAGAATACAAGAAATACAGGCCTTCTCTAGTAAGGACCATGACAATCCATGAGCATCATTTCCCATGTTACTTCTTCTCCAGGGACACAGTGAGAAGATTATTAAGAACTCGAATCAGCCTTGACAAGGAAGGTTCAGCACTCACAAACCTATTCAAAATTGAGTGATTTAATCCTCTTCATATACCAATGTGATGATTACTTTTATGTGTCAACTTGACTGGGCTAAGGGATGCCCAGATGGCTAGTAAAACATTATTTCCGGGTTCATCTATGAAGATGTTTCTGGAAGAGATTAGGATTTGAGTCAGTATCAGACCGAGTAAAGAAGATTGGCCCTCACCAATGTGGAAGGACACCATCTAATCCATTGAGGGCCTGAATGGTACAAAAAGGTAGAGAAAGGGCAAATTAACACTTTCTTTTTGAGCTGAGACATCAATCTTCTGCTTTCAGACATCAGAGCTCTGGGTTCTTGGGCCTTTGAACTCTAGGACTTACAGCAGCGGCACCCCCAGTTCTCAGGCCTTCAGATTTAAACCAGGAGTTAACATCATCAGCTCCCCTGATTCTCAGGTCTTCAGGCTTAGACTGAATTACGCCACGGGCTTTCCTGGGTCTCCAGGTTGCAGGTGGCAGATGGTGGAACTTCTCAGGCTCCATAATCCTGTGAGCCAATTCCCAAGATAAATCTCCTCTCATACATAAATATACACACATTACATAGACATTATATATTACATATTATATATGCAGTATAGATTATATATACATTATATATTACATAGAATATATACACTACATATCATATAATACAATATATACATTGCATACTATATATGTGTTATATATCCTATATATGTATTATATATACATTATTGCTTTTATTATGCTATATGTATTATATCTATATAACATATATAGAATATATAATACATATATAGAATATATAATTATTATATTTTCTACATTTATATTATATATAATTATATATTATGTTATATATAATTATATAGCTATTATATAATTATATTTTCTAGTACATTATTATATCTATATAATATATATTATATATACAAGGTATATATTATATCCACATTATATACGTTATATATAATATTATATATAATCTAGCTAACATAGATATATCTATAGATATACTGTATTAGGTTGGTGCAAAAGTAATTGCAGTTTTTAACATTGAAAGTAATGGCAAAAACCGCAATAACTTTTGCACCAACTTAATAAATATATATACATATATATATATGTACATATCCTGGAGTCCAAAGTCCTTGAGTCCTGGAGCCCCAAAACACCTAGGGCCACCCCGATTGAGGATGCTCAGGCCATGTGGAGATTCCCTCACTGAAAGTCAGAGTAACCGCCACACTTGAGCGAAGACATCTCTGTGTGAATTTAGCCTCCAGATGACAAACCAACCCCAGCTACTGAGTCTCTCCATCTGAGGCCCAGACTCCACCTGTCAAAGTCCAGCTATCCTTGTCTAATTCCTAGCCCATGGAATCCATGAGCATAATAAAATGGTTGTTTTATGTCACCAAGTTTTGGAGGGTCCACTGTGCAGCAACAGTAAACCAGAACAGATACGCATGCCTCCAGCCCCAACTCCATCTCCTTCCTTCAATAGCTGGTCCATTTCACTGAATTCTTAATAGTTGGATTTCAGCCTTGGGGGTTATTTGGACAGGAGTTATTGACTGCAATCTCTTTCTCCATAAAGCTCAGACAAGTTGCAAGCTCCCTGAAGGCAGGAATGAGTTTGTCATTTTAACAATTATAGCTCAACACCAGCCACAGTGCCTGGAGCATAGGAACAGGCCGTTTCAGTTATCTATCACATTCTTGAAGCCATCCCAAAGCTTAGTGACTTAACACAGGGGTCAGCAAATTATTGTCCACAGGCAAGTCCAGCCTGCCAGCTCTGTTTCTAAATAAAGTCTGATGGGAACACAGCCAGACTCATTCATTTACATATTGTCTATAGCTGCCTTCACTCTACAGTGGCAGAAGTGAGTAGTTACAACAGGAACCATAAAGCCCTCCTGCGTAGCCTAAAATATTTACTATCTGGCCCTTTACAGAAAATGTTTATTGGTCCCTGGCTCAACACAACAATAATTTATTATTTTTACAACTTCTGTGGTTGGCTGGGATCAGCTGAGCAGGCTTTTCCCCTCTGCACGGTGACTAATGAGATTGCATTTATCTGAGAGCTTGGCTGGTGCTAAGACATTAAGGGTGGTCTCCCTCACATGACTGGGGCCTTGGTGCTGTTGGCTGGGACATCTTGCTGGTGCATCTCAAATCTCTTCCACTTAGCCTTCCATTCTCTGTCTCTCTTCTCTCTCTCTGTCACTCACTTCTCATCATTCATTAACTCATCTCAAGTTTTCCTAGTAAAGCCTCCAAGAAAGAAAGCAAAAGCAGAAGCTACCAACCCTCTTTAGATCACGCCCAGGATTGCTTGAGGATAACTTGAGCCCAGGAGCTCAAGACCAGCCTGGGCAATATAGCAAGACTCCAGTGCTATGAAAAATAGTTAAAAAAAAAATTAGCCAGGCATAGTGGTGTACGCCTGTAGTCCCAGCTACTTGGGAGGCTGAGGTGGGAGGATCACTTGAACCCAACAGTTGGACAACCTACACAGCATCATTTCCACTGCATTCTATCAGTCACAGCAAGTTGCAAGTCAGCCAAGATTGAAGGGGAGGAGACTGCCCACTCCTGGCTGGGTGGAGCCACATGGGTACACAGAGAAGGCAGGAACTGTTGGGTTTTTTTGCATCTTTGGATGCAATCTACCATAAAGAGCACATGGTCACTATTTGCTGAGTGAATGCAGGAGAGTTCACAAAGGCATAAAAGTAGAAAGAAAACTGAGCAAGAGAAAGGCAATGCCCTGAAGGATACTTCCTAGCTTATCACATGGAAGGCAAGGTCTGTGCGAGTTGTCTGCAGTAGGAAGGGCCCAGTGAAGCCACAGAAGAGAACAGGTTCCCACTGAGTATGGAAAGAACATGAAACAAATAAGAAATACGGTCAATGAAACTATCTGGGGAGGGAGGAGCTGCAGGGGTGAGGTGGAGGGGAAATTAGACTGGATCTATACAGCAAGAAACTCCAACTCTCTCTGAAAAAGTGCAAAAACCACATTTCAGGTGTACCAGCTTTTTTTAGAAGTTGTCTAGAAGGTTTTCCAGCTTTCACCCAAACGCACCTCCCACACACACACAAAAATAGACTTCATAAGTTAATGGCAGACAAGAGCTAGCAAGGATTGATGGGGAGGCAAAGCAATGAACTGTTATGAGTATCTGCAGCATCTGACTGAGTGTATTGAATGGCCTTCTACGGTACTAGTCATGTGTCAGACCAGACACCTGATCTCAGTGGATATGCCTCCTCAGGCTGTGAGTTCTGTTATGACAGCATCTGACCCAGGCTGGTTAGTTTATATGCTTGGAAGTACTTGTTACAATCCAAGGCAGAAATACGATAGTCTTCAACAACAAACAACAGAGCATTATCTTCCAATGGTACATGTAGGTTGCAATGAACAAAGCCAGCAACTCAGTAAGTGAAATGACTAGAAGAAAATAGTTCCTATTTATTATTTCATTGAATCCTCTGAAGAAGTTGAAATTTACCCATTTCATAGAAGAGAAAACTGACCCTTCATGGTGGCTCACGCCTGTAATCTCAGTGCTTTGGGAAGCCAAGATGGGAGGACTGCTTGAGGCCAGGAGTTCAAGACCAGCCTGGGCAACATAGTGAGACCCCAGATCCACAAAAAAATTAGAAATAAGCCAGCTACTTGGGAGGCTGAGGCAGGAGGATGGCTTGGGCCCAGGAGTTGAAGGCTGCAGTGAGCTATGATTGCACCACTGCACTCCAACCTGGGTGTCAGAGTGAGACCCTGTCTCTAAAAAGCAGAATAGGAAACTGAGGCTTCAAGATAAAGAATTCCCCCACATTCATGCAGCTAACATGTGGAGAAGGTAGGATTTATACCCAGCTTTGCTATAGCCTGTAACATGTCATGCTGCTTCCTGGTAGGATACAGAAATTTCTATATAAAGAAAAAATCAATTAAAAAAAAGAAAGAAATTTCATTTATCTGGAAAAATTTGTCTGAAAATATGGCCGGGCACAGTGGCTCACGCCTGTAATCCTAGCACTTTGGGAGCTGACTTTGCCCTGTCACTCTATCCTGCTGTGTTTACATCATCCTAATGGCTCAGAATTTAGGTGGCAGTTACTTGTGCAACACTGGTGGGAATGTAAAATGGCACAGCCACTACAGAAACCAGCATGGCAGTTCCTCAAAAAATTAGAAAAAAATTACCATGTGATCCATCAATTCCACTTCTGGGTATATACCCAAAAGAATTGAAAGCAATGTCTGAAAGAGATATTCGTACCCCCATGTTCACACCAGCATTATTCGCAGCAGCCAAAGCATGGAAGCAACTCAAGTGGATCCAACCAATGGATGAATGGATAAACAGAGGGTTGTTGGAATGCAGTATAGACATTTATGTGTATACTCTGATTATAAGTATATAAAATAACTGCATAGAGACCAACTGGAAGAGAATTTAAAACCGAAAATTGTTACCATAGAAGGGTGGTAGAATTATCAGTGACTTTTTTTCTTTTTGAAAATATTTTATTTAAATCATAGATTAAACATTATTATCAGAATGATTTAAGATCCAGGAAGCATCTCGAAATGTATTATTACTTTCCATCATAAACCCAGTTTTCAGAGATTTATAACTCAGACCTTTCTATATGTATGAGTCATAAACAGAGAGAGAAGAAGAGAGAGAAAGAGAGAGGAAGGGTGGGAAAGAGAGAATGGTCAAGCAAATGTATGCCTTAAAAGATTGATTGGTTGATTGATTAATATTTCAAATACCCTGCCCTAGACTGAGTTAGGAAATGCATAGAAGCACAAAAATGTAATAACAGGGAAAATAGTTTGAGGGTTCTGCAAGAAGTTTAAACACACAATTACCATAAAACCCAGTGATTTCACTCCTAAGCATATTCCCAGAAGCATTTTAAACACGTAGCCAAGCAAAAACTTGTACACGTGTGTTCATAGCAGCACCATTACCAAAAGGTGGAAACAACCCAAATGTCAATTAACCGATGAATGGATAAACCAAACATGGTATAACCATACAATGGAATATTATTCAGCCATAAAAAGGAATGAAGTTCTGATACGTGGAACAACATGAATGAACCTTGAAAACACCATGCTAAGTGCATGAAGCTAGACACAAAAGGCCACGTATTGTACGATTCCACTTAAAGGAAATATCAAAAATAGGCAAATCAATAGATAGATGAAAAGTAAATTAATGGTTACCAGGCACCAGAAGAAGAAATAAAGGGGGCGTGACCGCTTAATAGATAGGCAGGAGGTCTCCCTTAGAGGGGATGAAAATGTTTGGTGATAGACAGTGATAGTGATAGTGATAGACAGTTTTGTAACAGATAGTGACAGGGATAGTGACAGTTTGGTGATGGTGGTGATAGACAGCGGTGATAGTTGCACAACGTTATGAATGTACTAAATGTCACTGCATCTACACTTTTAAATGGCTAAAATGGTGAAATTTATATGATGTATACTTTACTACTTTTTTTTTTAAGTGCAACACTAGGTTCATGACCTCAAGTTCATGGCCTCATAGCCAGGAAGTAGGCACCCATGCTGAAAGACAAGAGTAGTGGCCATGTTCATGTCCACAATGCCCAGCATAATTCTTGGAATATTATAGGGACTGGAAAGATGGGACAAAGGGAAGAACTATGGGAGGGGAGGGAGAGGGGAATGGGATAGGGGAGCCTGGCATACCTGAATTGAATTAAGTACCTTATACAAAATGTACCCTAGAGCCACATATTCCTTCTGAATAGTTTCAAGATTGTGTTCACATCTCCTGCTTAAAAAGAATGCCCTCGTTAAAGTCATAATGAGCTGCAGCCATACTCCACTCCTGAAAGTGCTGGTCACTTGATTTGAATAGATAAATTGCTTTTCCCCAGAAGCACGCAGGACAACATATAAAATGTAATTGTCAATACTAGTCCATGAGGAGTTTAAGGGACACATCCTGGAGGGGCATGTAAGCTTTTTAGACAGTCTCTAATAAAGTAGAAAGAGTGCAGGTGTAGGCCAGGCATGGTGGTTCACACCTGTAATCCCAACATTTTGGGAGGCCGTGGTGGGCAGATCATGAGGTCAGGAGATTGAGACCATCCTGGCCAACAGGGTGAAACCCCATCTCTACCAAAATACAAAAAATTAGCCAGGTATGATGGCATGTGCCTGTAGTCCCAGATTCTCGGGAGGCTGAGGCAGGAGAATCGCTTGAACCTGGGAGGCGGGGGTTGCAGTGAGTCGATATCGTGCCACTGCACTCCAGCCTGGCGACAGAGCAAGACTCTGTCTCAAAAAATAAAAATAAAAATAAAAATAAAAAATAAAAAAGAGTGCAAGTGTAGATAAAATAACTTAAATGAAGACACTTGGCAGAGAGTCTGGCTTATAGTAGATCCTGAGTAACTGTACACTGAACCTTCACTAATAGGAAAATCAAGAAATCAAGCTTTTGGTTCTAGGTAGGCTGAAGTGCATGACATTAAGGAAATCACTCAACCACTCCCAACTCAGTTTTGTCCAACCATGACTAGAGGCAGCTGCATGAGATGATCTTTAACATTCCTCTTAGCCTTTGTACGTATCATAGCATATAGATTAAGAACACCGTTTCTGGAGTGGACTCAGCGACATTGGAGACATCAAAAGGTGGGAGGGTGGGAAGAGGGTGAGAGACAAAATACCACCTATTGGGTAAAATGGACACTATGGGGTGATGGGTGCACTAAAAGCCTAGACTTCACTATACAATATGTCCTTGTAACACAACTGCATTTGTGTCCCTAAATCCACAAAAATAAAAAAATTAAATAATTTTTTTAAAGAACACTTTCTTTGGAATGTCTAGCTCCAGCCCTAACTTCTTCCAGAAACTCCAAGCCTTCATTTGGTAGCCACGCATACATCTCAAAATGAACAGGGTTGAACAAAAGTTTTGACTCCCCCACGAGTTTGCTCTTCCCACTTTGCCCATCTTGGTAAATGGCACTGCTATCCACTCAGCCACTCAAATCTCATATTCCTGTGAATCCTCAATTTCACCTCACCCTTTCTATCCAGCAGCCCAAGAGCCATGCACATCTTACCTACCTGCAATCCATTCACATACTGACATCAGAATATTCTTTTTAAAATTAAACCTGATTGGGTTTCTCAACTGCTTCAACAGTTTCCCATTGAGTTACCAATAAAATCCAAACTCCCAACAATGCTACAGGCCCTACGACCCTTCCTCTGCCTTCTCTTGGACTTCATTACCCCCCTCCCTCCAGCCTCCACTATTCAAACACACTGGTTTGGCCCCTTCCCTCATCTAGGCCTTTGCACTGGCCATACCCTTCCCATAAATGATATCTGCTTTCCTGGCTTGCCCACAACTTTCTGATTCCAACATAAATATTACCACCTCAGTGAGTATCTCCATCACCCACCCAAATTAAATGACTTCATCAACTCACTTTATTTTACTATCTGCATAAAACTTAGATTTTTTTCTTGCTTATTCATTGAATTATTATCCTTTTCCTTCAGAGAACTTTTTAAGTCCCATGAGAGCAAGAACCTGTCTGTCCTATTGACTGCTATATCTCTAGCACCAAGGACAGTGACTGGAACATACTAAACGTAACAGTTATCTATTGCTGTGTAACAAACTATCCCAGAGCTTAGCAGAATAAAACAACAAAAAATGCATTATCTCACACAGTTTCTGGGAGTCAGAAATCAGGGCTACTCAGCTGGGTGGTTCTGGTTTGTCTCTCATTAGATTGCAGTTAAGATGTCATCAGGCTACAGTCATCTGAAGGTTCAATTGGGGCCTTCCAAGATGGCCCCCTCCCATGGCTGGTGGCAAGATGCCTAATTCAAGTGAGGCCAAGAAAGAAGCCACAGGGTCTTTTATGATGTAGACTTGAAAGTCTTCTACAATATCCTACTAGTTGCATAGGTCAGCCCTATTCACTGAGGAAGAGGACTGCCTCCTTGTGAATATCAGGAGGCAGGGATTGTTGGGGGCCTGCGTGGAAGCTGGCTACCACACTAAGTATTCAATTAATATGCATTCATGAATAAACTCATGATCAAACACTACAAAGGGCCAGGTGTGGTGGCTCACACCTGTAATCCCAGAACTTTGGGATGCCAAGGGAGGAGAATCACTTGAGCCCAGGAGTTTCAGACCAGCCTAGGAAACATAGAGTGAGACCCATCTCCACACACACACACAAAAAAATACCTGGGCGTGGTGGCTTGCACCTGTGGTTCCAGCTACTCTGAAGGGTGAGGTAAGAGGATCACTTGCCCCTGGGAGGCTGAGGCTGCAGTGAGCCACGATCACATCACTATACTCCAACCTGGGCAACAGAGTAAGACCCTATCTCAAAAAAAAAAAAAACAGCAAAAAGGAATCTGACTACTTACACTTAAATTCTAGCTCTTGCACTTGCTAGCTGAGTGGTTTTGGCAAACAAGCCAACTTCTCTAAGCCTTAGTTTCCTCATCTGTAAAATAAGATCATTGTAAGAATTAAATTATGTATTCAATGCAAAAGCACTTAACATGATGTGGAGCATATAATAAAGGCTTAATAAATGTTGGCTATTTTTTGTTGTAGTTACTATTAATTCTTGGCCATAGGCTCCTCATGAATACTCCTTGTAAGGGTGTATCTTTCAAGGACAGGAAAATTCACTCACCTAGAAAGAAATGTTTAAAGCCTTTTGCCTGAGCCAGAAAAATCCAAAACATTTTCAAGACTGCCATGAAAACAAGGTAATTGGCAGTAGACTACCTGAAGATTTATTGAATCCACCAAGGCCACTGAAGAAAACTGAAATCTGAAAAAATTGGATCGAGATGCCAGCTGAGCACTTGCTTTGGTCACTCCTCATGCCCAGGAAAAAACAGAAAATCAATACTATTGCTAGAATATAAAAAAATGTACCATCAGCAGACCAGAAACTTTTAGGAATTCATAAAAAAGAGAGAGCAGATGTGCATAATCATACTTAGCTGATAATAATGTCAAATGGTAAAGCATTTTTGGGGGGCATTGGCTGCATGTATCAAAAATATTTAATACGCATGTTATTTATACTGTTTCCATAATAGAAATGTATCTTAAAGATGTATACTCAAACATGTACCCAAGAATTGTCTGTGTATATTTGTGTATAAGCATATTCACTAAAATATTTTTCTGTAATTGCAAAAAAAATAGAAACAATCAAAAGTTCTAGGAGTGGTCATCATTAAACAAATTATGAAATACTATGCAGCCATGAAAAATGATAAGGAAGCTTCATTTGTACTGACATGGAAAGTCATTTTTGAATATGTTCTCATTTTTTATTATTTCTTATTTCTTATTTATATTTAAAATTAGGTGATAAAAAGAAAGTTGCAGAAGATTGTGCAAACAATATGATGCCACTTCTGTAAAAATAAAGTCATATAGTCATAAGTAAACACAGATTATGTGTGTGTCCCTAAATGCATACAAAAAATCAGAATCTTACAAACCAACCTGTTAAAAGTGTTGTATCAGCCACATCCAGTAAGGAATTGGAAATCACAAAAGTTATTTGCATAGAAAGAATTTAATAAAAAGAAGTTATTAACTGGGTATAGAGTTGTTGACTAAGTAACTGGAAGTTACCATAGTGGTAGCAACTACACAAAGCAGTAAACACTCCCAGGACTCCCAAGGCTGGGGGAACAAAGAGAAGAGGCTGGAATCATTAAAACCTTGAAGCTTCGAAAAGGAGCTACTGTGGGGTTGGGACTCTAACCTCTAAGGAGAGGAGAATGATCAATGCTGGTGTCTCAGAGTGGGACATAATGAAGTTTGTCTGCAAACACCAGAGAAACTACAAACTGAATTCAGTCACTACTACCGAAAGGATTGGCCACCGCCGGAGTAAAACAGTGCTTCTTGGGTGGCACTTGGCAAGAACGGGAAGCAGAAGTCCAACAGAAGCAGACAGAAAGTTCACAAGAAGCACACAGGAAGTTCACAGAAAGCACACAGGAAATCCACAGCAAGATGACAGGAGGTCTACTAGAAGCAGACAGGACGTCCACAGGAAGCAGACAGGAAGTCCACCAGAAGCACACAGAAAGTCCACAGCAAAGAAACAGGAAATACATGAGAAGCACACAGAAAGTCCACAAGAGGAAGACAGGAAGTCCACAGCAAGCCAACAGGAGGTCCACAAGAAGCACACAGGAAGTCCACAAGAAGTACACAGGAAGTCCATAGGAACTCCACAGCAAGACAACAGGAGATCCACAAGACACACACTGGAAATCCACAGGAAGCAGACAGAAAGTCCACAAGAAGCACACAGGAACTCCACAGGAAGCAGAAAGGCAGTCCACAACAAGCCACAATGAGGTCCATCGGAAGTAGACACAAAAAATCCACAGGAAGAAGATAGGAAATCCACCATGGGCCAACAGGAGGTCCACAGGAGGCAGACAGGAAGTTCACAGGAAGCACACAGGAAATCCACAGCAAGTCAATAGGATAAGAAGCACACAGGAAGTCCACAGGAAGCACACAGGAAGTCCACAGGAAGCACACAGAAAAGAGTAATTACTTCCTCCTCTCCCCGTGCAGTCTCCCTCTAGCCCACCCTTGGCAGAGCCCTACAAAGCCAAATATGGTCTGCAGAGTCAGATCCCTACTCCAGGATTACAAAGAAGACTAAATACTAGAGTCAGTGACTCCATTCAGAGTCCCAGTGGTGAGGAGACTTCCTGAGGTCATGTTGACAAGACTTTGTTTGAGACTCCAGGCAGATGTATTTGCAAACTCTCAGAGAAGTGATGAGCAATTGCCTCAGATGCAATCCATGAAGCATTCTTCAGAAGCAAGCTAGGGCTGGAAGACAGTAACTCAATTACTAGAGGTGGCACTTCTCAAAACAGCATATATTTCCATTTTTGTGAAGCCGGAAGAGTCTTTTATGTTTAATTTTTATCAAGCTGTGAAATGAGGTTTTAGCTGTGGGTGTCTCATTGATGCCAGCCGTGCTCAGGAGGCTCTGTCTCTGGAGTGTCTTTAAAATCGTGCCCCTGCAGTGTCCCCCATAGGCAAGAGCACACAGCCCAGTTGAGATGGGAACTTTTTCCTTAAAAGTTTCCTCAGAAGGTTTTATCTTTCCTTACTATTTTTTTTTCTATTTCATTCATCCTATTATCTTAGGAAGCCCCATTCAGCAGCAGTGTCAGTGGCTCACCAAAAGCATGTCAAAATTAATAAAAGCTTCAGGGCAGCAAAATTGCCTTTTTGGCACTGAGGGCTGGTGGACACGTGTGTGTGTGTGTGTGCGCGCACATATGTGCATGTATGCATGTGAGTGTGTGCATGCGCGTGTGTCTGAAAGAGACAGAATATAAAAATAAGACTTACAGTTTTGCTTTTACAAGACACCTGAAAAATCCAACTAGGGTTTAAAAGAAAAAACAGCTCTTAAATTTACCTTAAAGAAATGCAGCTGATATACATCAAAATAATAATATTCTGTGAGTCTGCACCTTAAGCTTGAATCCAGTGTTGGGTTCATTTGCTTTTTTGGAAAGGAGGATAGTAGAAAACCCAGTGTTATCCACACCACAAAGCATAAAACCAATGAAGAACTAAGAATTGTGGGAGTGGAAAGAGTTATGTTGGTCCTTCGAGAAACACCCTCTTAGTCTAAGCTTTGTAAACTGACATCCAGAGAAGATAAATAATCTATCCAGGGCCATGCAGCTGCTAAGAGGAAGAGCCAGAAATAGAACCCAGGTCTCCCTGGTCAGTGCTGTGTCCATTGCCCCACAGTGCTTTTCCATATCAGTAAATACATATGTAACTAGATGGAGAACATGAAATGTTCACCAGGAATCCTCTTGGGGTCAGCAGGCCATGCGTTAGGAAGAAACAGCCAATGACACATTTAGAGTCATTTAAAACTCAAAAGGTAAGTTCAAGGAATTAAAGATGGTTTCCCAACTATCTTCAAATAATAGATCCTGTTAAATGGAGATTTTCCAAGTTTCTTCTCGAATATGAGAACACAGTTCAGGGTCAGAAGCTGGTACAGCTCTACTTAAGTTGGTGAGTATGGGGAGAAATGGGAATATTTGTACACTGTTGTGGGAATGTAATAAATTAGAACAACCTCTGTGGAAAACAGTGTGGCAAGTTCTCAAAAAGCTAAAAATAGAACTACTATTCAATCCAGCAATCCCACTACTGGGTATCTACCCAAAGGAAAGTAAATCATTATATAAAAAAGACACCTGCACTCACTTGTTTATCACAGCATTATTCACAAAAACAAAGTCACGGAATAAACCTAAGTGTCTACCAATAATGATTAGATAAAGAAAATGTGGTACATATATACCATGGAATACTACTCAGCCATAAAAAAGAATGAAATCATGTGTTTTGCAGCAACACAGATGAAACTGGAGGCCATTATCCTAAGTAAAATAACTCAGAAACAGAAAGTCAACTGCCACATGTTCTCACTATACCAAGTAAAATGGAAATAAATTCATATACCTTTATTTGGGGGATCAAGAAACAAGTAAAATAACCATCTTTGAACAGGATAGTGTGACCAGAACACCACCACTGATAGTTGAAGTCATTGCTATAGCTGCCATTAAACGCCTCCACAGATGCTTCCAAGCATAAATTCTACTTGGTTCTTATCTCTGTTTCACTTGTTTTTAGAAGCAAAGACCCAGGAGGGGGCATCCAATTGGTTGAGCAGAGGTCATATGCCACAACATGGCCACCAAGGGGCCAAAATAGAAGGTCTCCATTTTCTATAGGTAGGTGCACATTAATTCCCCAACATTTCACTCAGTGAGAGAGTTCTCCAAGACAGGAAATGGGACTGGATGTCAGAACTCAAAAATAAAGATGACAAAGCCCTCTACAAAAGGATAACATAGATTTGCTTTGACCTCGACCCTGTCCCTCTCTCATCCACAGTCTGCTTTTTCACAGTTGGAATTCTCAGACTTGGATTCTTTACCACAGGGTTTTTCTTCAATGGCCTTTGTGGTCAATGGGAGAATTCTGTATTCATAATCTACTAAGGCAGCAACACAGAAAATCTCTTGACCAACAGTTTCATGACCTGCCTTAAGGAAGCATTGGAGATACTCATATAGTCACAACTACACCAACAGATACATGCCTTCTTGCTATGAAAGCAACGCCCAGGGAATCAGTACATACTCAATCCCCCCAACTGCAGGCCAAGTGACTTTCAGAAAGTCAACTTTCTAAGCCCTGGATTTTTGCACCTATAAAGTAAGGTTAACAATCTCTGTCTTATAGGATTGTTATGAGAGGTAAATGCAATAACATTCAAAAGGGTCTGGCAAACTGCCTGTTACAGAGGAAGGTCTCAGATGTAAGAGTTAGTTTATCATCTTTAAAAGTTTATGAGATAGTTAGAAAGACCAGATGTATCCTTTCTGTGAGCTGAAAAGTTTTGCAACCATGCTATCCAAGAGTTTTCAAAATGGATTCAGCTGCCCAATTCCCCTTTGCAAATTCATGGAGCCCCCAAATATAAAACAAATAAAGCTGAGCTGTTTCGGCTGAAGCTTTCAGGAGCTTGGAACCTGGCCCACTCAAGTGACCCCCCATCCCTTCATGCTCTTCTTCCTGCCTCCACACAGGAGTTGCATCTATCAGAAACTCTCAGACCTCTCTGCAGAACTGGAGCGCTCCATGAAACACAACAGAAAACCACCATCTACTCCAATCACTTATTCTACAGAGGGGGAAAATTTGAGGTTCAGAGAGAAGTAATTTTCTCAAAGGCTTTGTAAGAAGTTCCTTCTCTATTGAAAGTTAGTCATTCCTTATACTTAAAACTCATCTTCAGGATGGATAGATAAGTAATAAAGCAAGCAGAACAAAATGTTAATGGTAGAATCCAGGTGGCAGGTGTATGCGTGTTCACTGTAACATTCTTCTAAATTGGCTAAATATTTGAAAATTTACATAATGAAATATTGAGGAAAATTTGGAAGAGAAAGCTAAACTTTGTGGTCAGAGGCCAATGAGGTTTCTAAAAAAATAAAACGGTCTCAGTTTTACAGTTTATCAACTTCAAGCTATTGAAATAAGTATTCCCCTGAATTGTGTCATCATGTCAAGAGGTAAGTTTAAGATTCTTTTTCTTCTCAGGATATCCAAGACCACAAGAAAACATGTGCTGGCTGGGGATTTCTCTTGGAGAATAAAATTACCAAAAGAAACATGCAAACACTTTTATTTTATGTTATTTATTTATTTATTTATTTTCCTTTTTTCTTTTTCTTTCTTTTTTTTTTTTTTTTTTTTTTTGAGACAGAGTCTTGCTCTGTCACCAGGCTGGAGTGCAGTGGCACAGTCTTGGATCACTGCAACCTCCGCCTCCTGGGTTCAAGCGATTCCCCTGCCTCAGCCACCCAAGTGGCTGGGACTATAGGCACCTGCCACCACACCTGGCTAATTTTTGTATTTTTAGTACAGACGGGGTTTCACCATGTTGGCCAGGATGGTCTCTATCTCCTGACCTCGTGATCCACCCGCCTCGGCCTCCCAAAGTGCTGGGGTTACAGGCGTGAGCCACTGTGCCCGGCCTATTTATTCTTTATTTTTTAGAGACAGGTTCTCGCTCTGTTGCCTAGGCTGGAGTGCAGTGGCCTGATCATAGTTCACTATAGCCTTGACCTCCTGAGCTCTAAGTGACTCTTTCACCTCAGTCTCCCAGGTGGCTGGAAATATAGGCACATGCCACCATGTCTGACTAATTTTTAATTTTTTTTGTAGAGAAGAGCTCTCACTATGTTGCCCAGGCTGGTTTCCAACTCCTGGCCTCAAGTGATCCTCCCAGCTAGGCCTTCCAAAGTGCTAAGATTACAGGCATGAGCTATCACATCCAGCTGGAAACCCTTTTAAAAGAGCGAATCTACAGAAGATATCATGAGTAATTTAGAAAAGCTACAATTCCTGGACGAAAGAACCAACTATACCACTACCAAACTGTTGTAATTACTGTAGCTTTGTATTGGATCACACAATATATACATATATCAAAACATCACGTAGCACACCATAAATATATATAATTTTTGTCAATTAAAAATATTTTAAACCCAACTATAGAATCTAGAAATAAAACTTTTATTTGAAAAAAAAGGAAAATTGTTCATAGATTTGTGTTGATAATTTTATCTGAAGTGTAATCATTCTACACACTCACACACAGAGTACACACAGGTAAACACCCCCAGGAGGTGGTCAGGAGCAACTGAGGGCAGAGGTCCAGGTTCTCAGGCCATGTTGTGGGTGGAAAAGAGAATAATGAACACAGAGAAGAAAGAATCCAGTAATGCTTAAAAAAAAACAAATAATAGTTTCCATGTCAAAAGAACAGCTTTCAACAAACAGCTCTCCATTTTTCAAGGAGGAAAGGAAAGTGATGGCCCTAAAAATAGAGCAAGATTATCCAAACTGAATAACATGGGTCCCAGGAGGAATAGAAAAGGTAAGTAACTTTGAAATCATAATTAAGGAAATAATTGGGGAAACATTTCCCAGATCTATAAAGAGAGCTCAGCAGACAAATGGAAGAAATGCTCAGAATTCTGGCCAGAAATGTCCCTAAAAGAAAAGTCCCAACGCCACGTAATTACAAACAGTAAAAATGGAAAGAAAGATACAGAAAGAAAACAGAATGCCAAGAATAAAGGATAATTAATTGGGAAGAGAGTTAAGGGAGCCAGCAAGTTGTACAGAGGGGAGAGACCTGCCTTTGGAGTTAGTAGATTCAAATAGGCATCTGGCTCTCTCACTTTGTGGACATGAGGCTTATTCACCATGTTGTCTTGGCCAGCTGACACCATCTTGTTAGTTACCTCATCTATGAATGGGGGTGGTTATAACTGCTTTGTATGGTAGTCATAGGGATTGGCTGAGATAACCTACATTTGTGGTTTCCAAACATACCCAGGCTGCCCCAGGAGGTGAAGAGCTGAAAGGAGCTCTGCGGGGAGAGGGGCAGCTCCCTTCCCTGGCTCCCACCTGTCATGACATCACGTTACTCCAAATACATCTGGTTTGTATTATTAGTCTTCTTTGTGAGACTTTGTTCGCAGAGAATGTTCTATAGCAGAAAAATAGTTTGAAAACTACTAACCAGAGTGAGGGTCTTTAATAACCTGGGAAGAATGAAACTAATGTATTATGATCCATTCATTCATATATTCAGCAAATATGGACTGTACCTGGAGCTGTTCTAAGCACTAAAGATTACAGTCATACAGCCAGGTGCAGTGTCTCATGCCTACAATCCCATCACTTTAGGAGGCTAAGGCAGGAGGATTACTTGAGCCCAGGAGTTGGAGGCTACAGTGAGCTATGACTGCACCACTGCACTCCAGCCCTAGTGACAGAGCAAGATCCTGTCTTTAAAAAATAAAATAAACAGATACAGCAGTGAGCACAATTGTGGGAAAGACAGATGGTCAACACACTAATAAATATATAACTTGTCAAGTGCCATGAAGAAACATAAAGTGAGGTCAAAGGAGTGGATGACTGATGGTGTTTTTTAGCAGGGTGGTTAGGAAAAAGACTTTGCTGATGAAATGGTATTTGAACACACATAAAAGAAAGAGGGGCCAAACCATGCAGACATATGGTGGAAGAACATTCCAACAAGCATAGGGAACAGAGGAGGGCAGAGAGGGAGAAAAGAGGAGATACATGGGCAAGATCTCATGAGACCTTGCTAGTACAGATTTCTTTCTGAATGCACTTTTTGTTTCTTCGATGAGGCCAATGAGATGAGGATCTACTAGAGGGTTTGGAACACAGGAAGTACATGATCTTCTTTGTATTTTAGATGGATCATTCTGAATGCTGTGGGGAGACTAGACTCCAAGGAGTCAAGAGTGTAAATAAGAAACCCATTTAGGAGGTGAGGATAGAGAGAGAAGTAGAGAAGCAGGGGAGGAGGTGGTGAGCAGGGCACAGATTCAGGATGAACTCGGAAATCAGAGCTGCAGCATTTGTTGATGGGTTGAATATGATGTGAGAGAGAAGCATCTAGGGTGGCTCTCAAGTTCTGAGCTAGACAACTGGTAGAATGGGGCTGCTGAGACAAGAAGATGGGTGGTGTAAATCTGGAGGAATTTTGGTGGGAAAAGAAGAAGAATCAAGATTTCTGTTTTGGTACCTTTAAATGTGAGATGCCTCTTTGCAAGAAGAGATAACCAGACACTTGTAAATGCAAGCCTGGGGGTAGGGAAGAGACTGAGTTAGAGCTCAACCCATAGCCTTGTCTCAGTCTATTTTGTGTTGTTATAAAGGAATATCTGAGGCTGGGTAATTTGTAAAGAAAAGAGGCTTATTTGGCTCACGGTTCTGCAGACTTTATGAGAAGCATGGCACCACCTGGGCGCGGTGGCTCACCCCTGTAATCCCAGCACTTTGGGAGGCCCAGGCAGGTGGATCACTTGAGGTCAGGAGTTTGAGACCAGCCTGGTCAACAGGGCGAAACCCTGTCTCTACTAAAAAATACCAAAATTAGCCAAGCATGGTGGTGCACACCTGTAGTCCCAGCTACTTGGGAGGCTGAGGTGGGAGGATCATTTGAACCTGGGAGGCAGAGGTTGCAATGAGCTGAGAGCACGCCACTGTACTCCAGCCTGGGCAACGGAGTAAGACTCCATCTCAAAAAAAAGAAGAAGAAGCGTGGCTCCAACATCTGCTTGGCTTCTGGTGAGGCCTTTTGTGCTGTATCATATACAGCTGAGAAGGTCAAAGGGGAAGACAGACCAAACCCAAGGGGGTACTAGCTTTATAACAACACACTCTCTCAGGAAGGAATCCATGCCCCCAAGAACCATCCCAGTCTCGCAAGAGCAAGAACTCACTCACTAGGGCAAGAACAGCACCAAGACATTCACGAAGGATCCGCCCCCATGAGCCAAACACTCCCCTCTAGACTTCACCTCCCAATACCACCAGCTGTGGAATTAAATTTCAACATGAGATGTGGTGGTGACACACAACCTGTACCCAAACCATAGCAGGACTTACCATGCATGAAGGGTCCTGAGTACAGGGAGCCTGGGGAAGCCTCTAGAAATGGGGACAAATGGAGAAGAGGTTGTTAACATCACTTATCAAGGACCACTTTTTTTTTGAGATGGAGTCTGGCCCTGACACCCACGCTTGAGTGGAGTGTTGTGATCTCAGCTCTCTCCAACCTCCTCCTCCTTGAACCTCCGGGTTCAAGTGATTCTCATGCCTCAGCTGCCCCAGTAGCTGGGACTACAGGCCCACACCACCACACCCAGCTAAGTTTTGTATTTTTAGTAGAGGCGGAGTTTCCCCATGTTGGCCAGGCTGGTCTCGAACTCCTGACCTCAAGTGATCCACCAGCCTCAGCCTCCCAAAGTGCTGGGGTTACAGGTGTGAGTCATCGTGCCTGGCCTCAAGGACCACTTTAGAAGTATAATCTTTAACCTATTGTATCTGCTACCACAGTAAAAGAATGAAAGTTATCCAAAATAAGTAATTAAAATATTTTACTGTGTCATTTTATAATACCATGAAATCTCAAAGGGAAATAAGAAAAAAAATTATGTTTCCAAGGCACAAAAATATATCAAAAAGTAGAGATTAGGAAGAATACAAGTCCAATGGAACATCTCCAGTCCACTCTAAAATTAGAGTTTAAAACAGAGTTGTAGGTTCAAATATATCTGTTTTATTTTGTTAAATAGGTTTAATTACAAAACAATACCTGGCTGATAGAAAAAGTTTCCTTCCGGTTGCATTTAAATAGAAATAGAAAAGCTCAAAGTATTGAATAGAAAGAATATTTGTGATTGGAGAAAACAAAGAACTTCATTAAGCGGTAAAGAAGACACGTTGAAGAAGCAAAGGATAAATGTAACGATTATAAAATTAAGCAGTAATGGGCTGTATTCAGCTCCTACTTTTCAATATCATCTACTTAGCAGCCCTGAAGCAGCCTTTCCCAATTTTTAATTAAAATGCCTTTAAAAACACAGAAAAATAATAAAATCCATAACTCCATGGAAAACCAGGACCAACAGTCAATCTATTTCTAGATAGAATTGGGAGATTTTCCCCTACGGGGTCAATGGAACAAATAGCTCACTTGGGCTGAAAGTAGACAGATATTATTCTTCCTCTCCAGTGTTTTGTCTCCAGTTCAAAGTATGTATCACCAGAAACTTGAGCAGTTAGCCCATCTCCTGCAAAAACGTTCCTTTTTTTTTTTTTTTGAGACAGAGTTTCGCTCTTGTTGCCCAGGCTGGATTGCAACAGTGTGATCTTGGCTCACTACAACCTCCACCTCCCAGGTTCAAGCAATTCTCCTGCCTCAGCCTTCCAAGTAGCTGGGACTACAGGCCTGCACCCCCACACACGGCTAATTTCGTGTTTTTAGCAGAGACGGGGTTTCTCCATGTTGGTCAGGCTAGTCTCAAACTCCTGACCTCAGGTGATCTGCCTGCCTTGGCCTCCCAAAGGGCTAATGTTCCTTTTTAAAGGCCATCAGAGTGCAATTTCCCTTGCCCCAAACTCCACCTCTCCTCACCCAAATCAGGGGCTCTTTTTCCAACATTCAATCGGAACCTGCCATTCTCAAAAAATATCGAACCCAAGTAGATGGACTGGACGGTCTGGAGTCCGGGAGTAGGATGCACCTTGAAAGGTGAAACCCTAAGGAAGGGTTATTATTTTATTCATTTACTTATGAGTAATGAGTAAAGATGAGCTTTTGTAGTGCTCTATTCTGGGAGCTGTGGGTATGGTTTCACTTCCTACACTTGTTAGAACCTCAGGCTTTGGGAGTGAAAGACATCATCTCTTGTAGCAGAACCTCCCTAGAGTAAACTCACCACACACTGAGAATCAGTCTTTTTTTTTTTTTTTTTTTTTTTGAGATGGAGTTTCGCTCTTGTCTCCCAGGCTGGAGTGCAATGTCGTGATCTTGGCTCACTGCAACCTCTGCCTCCCAGGTTCAAGCAATTTTCCTGCCTCAGCCTCCTGAGTAGCTGGGATTATAGGCACACGCCACCATGCCCAGCAAATTTTTGTAATTTTAGTAGAGATGGGGTTTCACCATGTGGGCCAGGCTTGTCTCAAACTCCTGACCTCAGGAAATCCACCCACCTTAGCCTCCCAAAGTGCTGGGATTATAGGAGTGAGCCACCGTGCCCGGCCGAGAATCAGTCTTAAAAGCTGCATTCACTGAAGCTCTAAGAAGGGTGTTTGACCCAGTACGTAAGTTAACACCATAGGCAATGCACATATTCAACCATTAGTACGTACCATGACTAAACATATCTCCCTCCTGTCAAGGACAAGGAAAGAGACCCCCCGCAGTGACCACCACGTGCAAAATGCGTAAATAACAGGTCAGGTATGGTGGCTTATGTCTGTAATACCCATGCTTTGGGAGGCTGAGGTGGGAGGATCACTTGAGGCCAGGAGTTCAAGACTAGCCTGGGAAACATAGAGATCCTGTCTCTACAAAAAAGTTTAAAAATCAGCTTGGCATGGTGGTGCATGCCTGTAGTTCCAGCTACTCAGGAGGCTGAGGAGGGAAGTTGAGCCTGGGAGTTTAAGACTGCAGTGAACTTTGATTGCACCACTGCACCCCATCCTGGGCAACAGAGTACAACTCTGTCTCTAAAATAAATAAATAAATTTGTAAAATCATAATAGAAGACCTGATGAAACAAAAACGCATAATAAGTGGGAAAGGATTTCACTACCTAGACTAAAAGGAGGAGCAATAAAAGAGGAAATTTTATTTATTTTATTTTATTTTATTTTTTGGGACAGAGTTTCACTCTGTCGCCCAGGCTGGAATGCAGTGGTGCAATTTTGGCTCACTGCAACCTCCCCCTCCCAGGCTCAACCATCCTCCCATCTCAGCCTCCTGAGTAGCTGGGACTCCAGACATGGATCACCTCGCCAGGCTAATTTTTATATGTTTTTTTGTAGAGACAGGGTCTTGCCATGTTGCCCAGGCTGGTCTTGATCTCCTGGGCTCAAGAGATCCACCTACCTCAGCATCCCAAAGTGTTGGGATAACAGGCGTGAGCCACCATGCCTGGCCTAGAAAACTTCTTCTTGATAGGCAACATCTACCTCTGTGATCCGGGAATGCAAAGCCAAAAGAGAAAAGGCTGAGATGGAAACACAACAAAATAAGAAGGAAACTAAGCAAGATAAGAAAAATGTACTGAGAGATTTAAAACATTATTGGGCAAAGAGAGTGAACATTTTGTTAACTATTATATTGCCAAGGCCTAACACATCAGATCTATAGGGTACTAATCTGTATTCCAAAAATTGCCTAGGCAAAGCACAGAAAGGTCATTACTTCATATCCTAAATACTAGAATATGCTGGGCTCTGTGTAAAAATAGTCCTCTATTAGTAGGTTAATATATCTTGATTTTTCTGATAATCTGATCATCTAATCACAAGCTATTGGATTATGATTCACCTCATTAATAACGAACAATTCACATTGCTGATACATTGGATGTAGTTGGGTAAAATAGGAACAGCTACAAAACAGAATCAAGTTCATTAGATCAGGAGTCCCCAAATCCTGGGCTGAGGACTGGTACCAGTCTGTGGCCTGTTAGGAACTAGGCTGCAGAACAGGAGATGAGCAGGAGGCCAGCGGCGAGCTTGACCGCCTGAGCTCCACCTCCTGAGCTCTACCTCCTGTCAGATTAACAATAGCATTGGACCAGGCACAGCGGCTCATGCCTGTAATCCTAGCACTTCGGGAGGCTGAGACTGGTGGATTGCTTAAGGCCAGGAGTTCAAAACCAGCCTGGCCAACATGGGGAAACCCCCTCTCTACTAAAAATACACCAAATTAGCCGGGCGTGGTGGTGGGTGCCTGTAATCCCAGCTACTCGGGAGGCTGAGGCAGGAGAATCGCTTGAACCTGGGAAGCAGAGGTTGCAGTGAGCCAAGATCATGCCACTGCACTCTAGCCTGAGCAACAAGAGTGAAACTCCATCTCAAAAAAAAAAAAAGGATTCTCATAGGAATACTGATATGAGAGGGGGCAGGGAAGTGCTGGGTAGAGAGGGGTGGGGTCCCTGGCAAGGACTCCACCCTTGGGCCTGTGCCCACAGACCTAGGTGAGGACAGGCATTCCTGTTTTAGTGCCCAAATGTTGCATTTTCCAAAACCACTCTGGCCCACCACGCCCCCTGTCCTGTGCCTATAAAAACTCTGAGACCCCAGCAGGCACACACACAAGCAGCTGGACATCGAGAGGAACACACTGGCAGAAAAACACACTGACAGACGCTGGCAGGCCATCAATGATGGAATAACACGGACGCCAAGGGGGATTCGGCAGAGGGCAGTCGGAGGAGAGCACGGCCGCTGAGCAGCCCAACTCCAGGGGAAGATCACCTTCCACTCCACCCTCCTTCTGGCTCCCCATCCATCTGCTAAGAGCTACCGCCACCACTCAGTAAAGCCTTGCACCCATCCTCCAAGCCCACTTGTGGTCCAATTTTTCTAGTACACTAGGACAAGAAACCTGGATACAGAAAGCCCCCTGTCCTTGCGATAAGGCAGAGGGTCTAAATGAGCTGATTAACACAAGCTGCCTGCAGAGGGCTAAGCTGAAAGAGCACAGGGTAACAGATGCCCACACCTGTTACAGCTTCGGGAGCTGTAGACACTCACCGCTAGACTTGCCTGTCTGCATGCTCCCCCTAGGGGTTTGAGAAGAGGGGCACTGAAGAAGTGAGCCACACCCACATTGCACACCCTGTGAGGGAGATAAGGAAAAAGGTGTTTTTTGTTTTTTGTTTTTTTGAGATGGAGTTATGCTCTTGTTGCCCAGGCTGGAGTGCAATGGCGCGATCTCGGCTCTCTGCAACCTCCACCTCCCAGGTTCAAGCAATTGTCTTGCCTCAGCCTCCTGAGTAGCTGGGGACTACAGGCACACACCATCACACCCGGCTAATTTTGTATTTTTAGTAGAGACGGGGTTTCTGCGTGTTGCTCAGGCTGGTCTCAAACTCCCGACCTCAGGTGATCCGCCCTCCTTGGCCTCCCAAAGTGCTGGGATTACCCGTTTCAGCGTGAACCCTATTGTAAACTGCACATGTGAGGGATCTAGGTTGTGCGCTCCTTATGAGAATCTAATAATGCCTGATGATCTGAGGTGGAACAGTTTCATGCCACTACATCCCCACCCCCACCCCCACCCCTTATCTGTGGAAAAATTGCCTTCCATGAAGCCAGCCACTGGTGCCAAAAAGGTTGGGGACCGCTGCATGAGATCCTATGGAGATAACTCTGTGACTCTGGCCTTATTAGGGTTATGCCCTGAAGAGCTAATAAGTGAATGGCATTTCTCCAAAATCAGAGAATCATTGAAAGCCATTTAAAACCATTAGGATCAGTACCTCTTTTGGTTTGGACATATACTTACACGCTTTCCTCTTGTTCAAGATAACTCCCTGCACTAGCAATACCTCCCCATCACATTGGTTAAAGGATATAATAATTGAGCAATACTTCATCCTGTTCAAAGACATCCATCATGTCATCAGAGCCTTACAGCAACCCTGAAAGGAAATAGAACAGGTGTCTGCCTGTGTCCACGCTGGAGAAGTCAGTGCAGAAAGAAAGAGATGACTGTGGCTTCCCAAGACCGGCAGGGGAAAGGATGGTAGATTCGTGTCTCTCATCATAAACCTTTGCTCCCTTTCCAGCCACTGTGAAACTTCAGGACACAGTGCCCAAATCTAACACCTGAGTCACGGAAACCTTAGTCTACAAACACACCCAGGACTTCCTCACAAGGGACTGGCTGAGAAACTGCTCGAATGACAGTTTGCAAAGAACCTTAAAAACAAATCAACGAGGCCAGGCCCTGTGGCTCACACCTGTAATTCCAGCACTTTGGGAGGCCAAGGTGGGCAGATCACCTGAAGTCAGGAGTTCAAGACCAGCCTGGCCAACATGGTGAAACCCCGTCTCTACTAAAAATACAAAAAAATTAGCCGAGCATGGTGGCAGGTGCCTGTAGTGCCAGCTACTCAGGAGGCTGAAGCAGGAGAATCACTTGACAAACCCAGGAGGCGGAGGTTGCAGTGAGCCAAGATCATGCCACTGCACTCCAGCCTGGGCGACAAGAGCGAGACTCCATCTCAAACAAAAAACAAAAACCAATCAACAAAAACACGGTCGATCTCAGGTACTTTGGGGAAGGGAGGTATAGGAGGGGTACATATAGAAGGGTGGTTCTAGATTGCTGATGTGTTGCATTCTTGAGCTGAATGTTGGCACATGGATGTGCTCAAATTGTGACAGTTCATTGAGCTGTGTCCTTATAATTTATGCACATTTCTGTGTCAAGTTTATGCTTCCATAAAAGTAGAGATTTTCTTTTTTTTTTTTTTTGAGACAGAGTCTCGCACTGTTGCCCGGGCTGGAGTGCAGTGGCACAATGTCGGCTCACCACAACCTCCGCTTCCTGGGTTCAAGCGATTCTCCTGCCTCAGCCTCCTGAATAGCTGGGATTACAGGCATGCACCATCACGCTCAGGTACTTTTTGTATTTTTAGTAGAGATGGGTTTTGCCATGTTGCTCAGGCTGGTCTCGAACTCCTGACCTTGTGATACACCCTCCTCAGCCTCCCAAAGTGCTGGGATTATAGGCGTGAGCCACCGCACCCGGCCAATGTAGAGATTGTTTAAAGGCACAGATGTCTTGCTAATTCCATGCTCGCCTTTGCCTCTTTGTCTCTCGGTTTTTGCATTCTTCTTCTCTCCCCTCCCAGGGTGAATCACCCTACTTGTTAAAATTGTACTACAGCAAATGTTAGTAAATTATGTGCCTTGTGGTGGTGATTAAGTCAAATCAAACACATTTGTCACTGAAGAGATGGCCTCCAGCTGTTTATCTGGGAAATATAATTGAATACTAATGGAATAAACACTGGAAGTCGCCAGTTTTATTTTTACTATAGGTGCGGGCTAAAATATGAGAGAGTGAATTTCACTGAGTTTAAAATACAAACAGAATTTTTAAAATACACCATAGTTTTTCCAAAGAATTTAACACAGGTGATTTCAAAATCAATTCCTCTCACTCCATCCATAAAGAAACACAGAGGATGCCCTTATTTGCATAGTACAACTGGGACTTTATTTTAAGCCCAAACTTACTATGTTCACTTCTTATTTATCAACTTGTCTCTGCATTTCACATTGCATTTGCTCAATTTGCATTTTCCAAAAATACTTGTTATATTGCTTACCTTTGAGCCACACTTGCTGCCAAATAGAAGTTTTAAAGATTTCAACAAAAATGAGCTGGGCACAGCGGCTCATGCCTGTAATACCCATGTTTTTGGAGGCTAAGGCAGGAGGATCACTTGAGGCCAGGAGTTTGAGACCAGCCTGGGCAATATAGTGAGACCCCCGTCTCTACTAAAGCAGATTTGTTTTAATTAGCCAATCCACCTCACACCTGTAGTCCCAATTGCTCAGAAGGCTGAAGTAGGAAGATCACTTGAGCCCAGGAGTTCAAGGTTACTTACCTTGAGCTGTGATTGAGCCGCTGCACTCCAGCCTAGCTGACAGAATAACACCCTGTCTCAAAAAATACACCTATATTTGACAAAAGTGATAATGAACTTCGAACATATTTAAGCAACTCAAAAAGTAGATTTATGCTTTAGAAGACAATGATATTGCAAATAGAAGTAAAATGTTTGCATAAAATTTAACAAATTTAAAAAACGTCCAATGATGGCTGGGCGCGGTGGCTCATGCCTGTAATCCCAGCACTTTGGGAGGCCGAGGCGGGCGGATCACGAGGTCAGGAGATCGAGACCATCCTGGCTAACATGGTGAACCTCCGTCTCTACTAAAAATACAAAAAATTAGCCGGGTGTGATGGCGGGCACCTGTAGTCCCAGCTACTTGGGAGGCTGAGGCAGGAGAATGGCGTGAACCCAGGAGGCTGAGCTTGCAGTGAGCCGAGATGGCGCCACTGCACTCCAGCCTAGGCGACACAGCAAGACTCCATCTCAAAAAAAAAAAAAAAAAAATTAAAAGTCCAAAGACATTCTATAATACTTCTGAAACATCCTGCATGCTCTCCAAATTGAACTACAAACTTGGATGCAGTTCACTCTGAGGATGCCTGCCATCCTAGAGAGGTGAAATACAGCAGACACAGACCCAATACACACACCAAGACATTAGCACAGTTTGTTGTTATCAAGCATCTTTTGACTTTTGGTTTACCTAGTTGCAAAGGTGCGAGGTCCACCTTCCACGATCCCCTCTTTGGACAAAGCCACTAACACAGGGAGCAGTTAAGCAACACATCCAAGCTCCCAAGACTGAAACCCAGTACTATTTTGTGACTGTACATGAAGATAGAAATCACACAGTTCAGCCGGGTGCGGTGGTTCACGCCTGTAATCCCAGCACTTTGGGAGGCCAAAGCAGGTGGATCAGCTGCGATCAGGAGTTCGAGACCAGCCTGGTCAACATGGCGAAACACTGTCTCTACTAAAAATACAAAAATTAGCTGGGTGTGGTGTCACACGCTTGTAATCTCAGCTACATGAGAGGCCGAGGCATGAGAATCACTTGAACCTGGGAGGCAAAGGTTGCAGTGAGCCGATATCATGCCACTGCACTCCAGCCTGGGAGACAGAGCAAGACTCTGTCTCAAAAAAAAAAAAAAAAAGAAAAGAAAAAAAGAAAAGAAAAGAAATCACACAGGTCAAGCATTCATGAACTGCAGTGGTAGTGTAACAGGAGGCAAAATATGCTTGTACTGGGGATGCTGTCATAGACATGGACTGAATGGTGGAGGTGGAGCTGACCAAGACCAGGACCAAACTGATCAGTGATGACAGGAGTAGTGGAAGGAGATGCAGTGGAGTAGGCAATAGGCAGTCTACGTCAGGGGACAGTCAGTATTTGCAAAGCATGACACTAGGCTATTATTATCAGAGGTCTTGCAGAAAGGCAGAGCCCTGGATCAGAAAAGTCCATCATGATGCAGGCAATAGGGGTTAACTTTCAGGAGAGCTACAAGTGTTCTGGACGAAGCTGAGTACTGGGTTCAGGAGACCTTGCAGGGTTTCAAGACCATCTGCAGTCAGAAATCAAAGAGATTCTATTACAGGCATGTATTAAAGTGTTCACTTTTTTTTTTGAGATGGAGTTTCATTCTTGTTGCCCAGGCTGGAGTGCAATGGCACGATCTCAGCTCACTGCAACCTCTGCCCCCTGGGTTCAAGCGATTCTCCTGCCTCAGCCTTCCGAGTAACTGGGAATCCAGGTGCCTGCCACCACACCCAGCTAATTTTTGTATTTTTAGCAGAGACAGGGTTTCCCCAAGTTGGCCAGGCTGGTCTCGAACTCCTGATCTCGGGTGATCCACCTGCCTCAGCCTCCCAAAGTGCTGGGATTACAGGTGTAAGCCACCACACCCGGCAAGGTGTTCACTTTTCTAACTTCTCCCGTATGTATGTGTGTGTGTATATATGTGTGCATGTGGGTGTGTATATATATACACATATATACATATATATAAACGTATATACGTATATATACGCACATATACACGTATATACATATGTATACACACATATATACATATATATGTGTGTGCATATATATATATATATATATATGTATTTGAGACAGGGTCTCTGTCACCCAAGCTCTGGCATGCAGTGGCGCAATCACAGCTCAGCTCACTGCAGCCTTGACCTCCCAGGCTCAGATGATCCTCCCACCTCAGCCTCCCAAGTAGCTGGGACTACAGGTATGCGCCACCACACCAGGCTAATTTTTGTATTTTTTTGTAGAGACAGGGTTTCACTATGTTGCCCAGGCTAGTCTTGAACTCCTGAGCTCAAGTGATCCTCCCGCCTCAGCCTCCCAAAGTGCTGGGATCACAGCCATGAGCCACTGTCCCCAGTGCTCTCTCCCATATAGTTTTGCATTTAGCCCATCACCTCCCACTTCTGAGAAAGGCTTGTCCAAACCAGTCAACCCCAGGAAGGGAGAGAGAGAGGAGACAAGTCATCAGTTCTTTACCCCGCCACCTCTTCCAGATGACTGCTTGCCTCTCTCTCTGGTTAACACGAGCCTGTTCACTGAGCCACAATTTTCAGAAAAATTCAATCTCCTTGAGTTAGAACCAGAGAAACACATTGTTCATCAATATTTTTTGCTCCATCAAATCAGCCTTACCTCTCCCCTTCAACCATCTTTCCATTCAAAATTCTTTAAAAATACACACAAAGGGGAACAGGCAGGCCAGCATGCATGCTAATTACATTGTGTTCATTTCTCCTCAAGCACAGCCTGCTAACAGAATCATGTTACGCATTTGTTTCACTCTCTGTTCTATTCTATAATGCACAGTTGTTAGACTCTCGCTTGGCAGACACAGTAGAACCAAAGGGATTATACACTTCGCATCTGGAAATATTCCACAATCATTATAGACCAAAATCTGTGCTGGGTTTCTTCCCTCCTATGCCAACCAGGTAAAACAAGAAAGAGAGAAGGATACATTTGCTCACCCAGAGAAGCCCCATCAGAGAAACCGCCAGGATAATGGGAATCACATGTTCTCAGAGCCGGTTCTGGACGTGAAACCTACATGTAGCAAGTAAGCAAAGAGAGGACTTGGAAAGGCTTAGGTGATAGGCTTTTAACGCTGTCAAGGGAAACATTCAAATCCTTCAAATCGTGAATACTATGCCAGCACATTTTTTCTCCAAAAACTGGAGCACAACTCCAGACCTTTAACGAGGCAGAGTCATAGAGCGACTAACCAACCAATACTCAAATCTGGGGAAGTTGGGTGGGCTTACTGATGTCGTCGCTCTCACCGCAGGTCTCACATAGGGCAGGTTTCTGATTCCTGCCTCTGCACAGATTTCTGCAATGCACGGAGTTATGGGGCCACTCTAGGATAATGAAATCCACAAAAGTGAAATCGTCACAAGGAAAAACTTAGCATCGTGGTGCTCAACCTTTGACGTGCATCAGAACAGCTCTCCGAATGTCTGGGTGCAAACCTACCTAGTCAGAATCGCTGAGGATGGGATCCAGGTGCGCCTAATTGTAAATGACGGCAGGCACGAGTTGGCTGTGCCCCCCTCCCCTGTTCAGAACAATGGTTTCTCGAAAAATACTGATATGCAGTTTCATTTATTTTTACATCTCACTCTACCATCTGTGATAATGAGTGATTTCTTCTTTGGAGAAGATTTCATCACAGAAATATTCCATGGGAGGACACCTCACTGTAAATTAAAACTGAGTGAAAAATGCGAGGGTCAGATCTCCATGCCGAATCCATTAGCTCTTATTCCCAGCCCTTTCTCACCTCATCTCAACTCCAGCTGACTCACAGCCAATATAGAAAAGGCAATAGCTTTACCAAATTGAGTGTCCACTTCTCAGGTATTCAAACACACAGAATTTTCCCTACCAAAAAGGAGCCAAGATTTTACAATCCCTATAAAATATGTGCACGTGGACCCAAGCCAGACGCAAATCATGACCTGGCCCTGTTTGGAGAGCTGGCTGTGGTGCAGGGAAAATAGCCCAAGCCAGGAGTTGAGAGACCCAAAGCCATTTCTGTTTTCACCACTTAATAGCTTTGGGGCTCTGGGCAAAGTGACTTCCTCTCAAAGCCTCAGCATCTTCAACTTGAAACAGGGCTGTAATACAAGTACATTGCTTTCCATATAAAGACAGGGTCTTGCTATGTTGTCCAGGCTGGTCTCAAACTCCTGGCCTTAAGTTAATATTCATGCACTCATCTTCCCTCCCTATCCTCACCTTCTAATCTGCTCCATCCTCAAGCTAGGAGCCTCACCAGGAACACCGGAAGAACTTGTGGATGAGACAGAGCTTCACCCTTGCTTGGTGCTGCTTTGCTCTTAACTGTTCTTTGACCCAGTTTCATGACATTATTTCTGCTCTCTACGGCAAGCCTTGCTGGCTCCAACCACAGCCACCCTCTATTTGATCCCCTCCCTGACAATCCCAGAACTGAACTGTTGCAGGAAGGAGAACTAACTCCCTCCAGACCTTGCTCTGACATTCAGCCTCAGTTTCCCATCGCCTAGGTGCCTCTGCCCCCACTTCTCAGGAGCATATTCTGATACCAAGACTTGCACCTTGTTCACCCAAACCAGGATCTCCCAAACCTGGGGCCTCACCTTTTCATTTGTTTTCTGTTTTAGTCCAGCTCCAAGTCACCCATTTAGCATTCTAATTATCATCTTGGACTGAAGCCCTAAACTTCAATCCCAACCCAGTGAGTGAGTGACTCAGCCTGTTGCCTATGGAGGAGACTTTTAAAATTTTTTTTTTTTTTTTTTAGGGACAGAGTCCTGCTCTGTCACTCAGGCTAGAGTGTAGTATGGCACTCGGGCTAGGTATGTACATAGCTCACTGCAGAGTCCACCTCCAGGGCTCAAAGGAGCCTCCCACCTCAGCCTCCTGAATAACTGAGACTACAGTCATGTGCCACCATGCCTAAATAATGTTTTTTATTTTTTGCTTTTTATTTTTATTTATTTATTTATTTTCAAGACGGAGTTTCGCTCTTGTTGCCCAGGCTGGAGTGCAGTGGTGCAATCTCAGCTCACTGCAACCTCCATCTTCAGTTTCAAGTGATTCTCCTGCCTCAGCCTCTCGAGTAGCTGGGGTTAAAGGCACCCGCCACCATACCGAGCTAATTTTTATATTTTTAGTAGAGACAGGGTTTCACCATGTTGGCCAGGCTGAAGAGACAGGATCTTGCCATGTTGCCCAGGCTGGTCTCAAATTCCTGGCCTCAAGTGATCCTCCTGCCTTGGCCTCCCAAAGTGCTGGGATTACAGGTATGAGCCACCATACCCAGCCCCAGGGAGGCCTTCTTAATGCCAAGAGTCTGCAGGACTGTCCAGCTAGATACACCCCACCCCCTTCCCAGGTGCTCCATTTCTGTGCACCGCCCACCCGCCAATCCTGCCCAAGTGGCAACTAGCAATTGCCTCACTTTTCTTCTATCTGCAGTCCCTGCAGCTAGGCTGATGGCCCCAGGCTCTGGCTCACCCCAGGAGGCGGGCTTGGTACCAAGACCCAATCCCTTCCAGCCTGGCTCACCCTTCCCGTCCCAGGTCAACGAAGTCCCACCCTTTATTCTGAGCCTTGTCCTCACAACCTGTTGACTCCACCCTACTTTAAAAAAATGCACACCCGACCTTGACTTAGAGTACCACCCTATCTGCTGCCACCCATATGCCTGGGGCGTTAAACCCTGGAGACCATTCCCTCCTTCTTTGAACAGTTTATCATTCCCTTGGCGACTGTATTCCTTTGCTTTTGTTGCTGTAACAAGTTACCACAAACTTAGTGGTTTAAAGGATACAATTGTATTATCTTCATTTATAAAGAAAGGGTGGTAATGTGAGCCATGGGGATGGCTATAAATACAGATGAAGCTTTGCTTGCTCGCTGGCCCAGTTCCTAACAGGCTGCAGACTGGACCTTCCTTCCTTCCTTCCATCCTTCCTTCTATCCTTCCTTCCTTCCTTCCTTCCTTCCTTCCTTCCTTCCTTCCTTCCTTCCTTTCATTCATCCTTCATTCCTTCCATCATTCTCTCCTTCCTTCTTTCCTTAGGTGAGGCAACATTTTTCCCATGCATTATTTTCTTTAACTTGCATAACAAATAGCTGCTATTCCTAGCTGTATATATCCAAAGGTATTCCTCCAGATCCAATAGCTGAAAAAGCAAGGTTTAACTATAGTATGAATTTATCCTTGAATACAAGAATTGGTCAAGGACTTCCTGCATGGTAGCAAGTAAAAGATGAGAAGAGTGCTGTAGATGAGAATAAATGACATCATGTTGACCTGTTCATGGCTCTCTTAGGTGATAACATAAATAGACAAGTATTTCCTCCTGCTGTGTGGCCAGTTCCTAACAGTCCAAGGACTGGTACCAGCACCGTCTGTGGCCCAGGGGTTGGGGACCCCTGAGGAGGTGGACATCTTTGGGAGCCACTATTGTGCCTACCACAGAGATGGGGGCATTTCTCTCTCCTAATTCTCTCTTCTTTGCTTTCCGACCATTCTGCCTAATTTTCCTTCACTGGCTTTTTATTCTCCTGTGATTTTGTGTGTGTGTGTGTGGCGGGGTCTTGCTCTGTTGCCCAGGCTGGAATGCCGTGGTACAATTTCAGCTCACTGCAACCTTCACCTCCTGGGCTCAAGCAATTCCCCCACCTCAGCCTCCCAGGGAGCTGGGACTACAGGCGTATGCCACCATTTCTTGCTAATTTTTGTATTTTTTAGTAGAGACAGGGACTCGCCATGTTGCCCAGGTTGGTCTCAAACTCCTGGGCTCAAGCAATCCAACCCCCTTGGCCTCTCAAAGTGCTGGGATTACATGTGTGAGCCACTGCACCTGGTCCCAGTGAGCTTAAATGTTGACCCCCCCCGCCACCCTGATTTCACCGTGGCCCTGTTTCTGCTATAAATCTCCTGGTGCACTCCTACCAATATGGCTTAGGTCATACACTGATGAATTCCTGAGTAGATATCTCCAGCCTAATCCTTTCCCCAAAGCTTCAGACCTGTATGCCCAGTGGTCAGACCTCTCTGCCTGGGTAGATGGCAAGACCAGTGTTCCCAGGGGGCATTGCACCCCAAAACAAAGTCAAAAAATAATAGCTAATGTCAGAGCCTCAACAAGGGGAACTCTGGGCATAGTTTTTTCCCTCCTGGGTGCAATGAGCAAAAAGAGACAAGTTGATTCTTGCAGAAGAAATCAACATGGACAAGCAGAAGGAATAAACATGTATTAATTTTTTACTAGTCTTCCTTTTTTGATATGTAAATAGCCCCATTTTCCCACATCTTGCTTTCCTAGTACCTTCTCCATGAAAGAAAAAGAATTACTTAAACATAATACAAAGAAGAAAATTACAGAGGATAAGAATGTAAATGGCTATCCCTTACTGAGAACTTATCAGGAATTTTGTAAAGCACAGTAAGTGAAATACTTTATCCCATTTAATCCCCACGAACAGCCAGTGAAGTAAAGTATTTTTTAAATCAAATGAAGAAAGTGTGGCCTTGGAGGTTAAGTAATTCACCATGTTCATACCACTGTAAAAGAAGCTGAGCCCAGACTTGAACCAAGGTCTGCCTGACAATGATGGCCACGCATCTTGAGATAAGACGGAAGGCAGATGTTCAATGAAGAGCATGTAAAAGCAAAAGGTAATAGCTTCTCTTCTTCCATTAGGCAACACTCATACTTTCTGGTGTCTTTTAATTTTTTTTTTTTTTGAGATGGAGTCTTGCTGTTACCCAGGCTGGAGTGCAGTGGCTCAATCTCAGTTCACTGCAACCTCCACCTCCCAGGTTTAAGCGATACTCCTGCCTCAGCCTCCCAAGGAGATGGGATTATAGGCCTGCACCACCTCGCCGAGCTAATTTTTTTTTTCCTAGACGCAGTCTTTCTCTGTCACCCAGGCTGGAGTGCGGTGGCGGAATCTTGGCTCAGTGAACCCTGCAACCTCCATCTCCTAGGTTCAAGCAATTCTCCTGCCTCAGCCTCCCAAGTAGCTGGGATTACAGGTGAGCACGACCACGCCTGGCTAATTTTTTTTTTTTTTTTTTTGTATTTTTAGTAGAGATGGGGTTTCACCATGTTGGCCAGGCTGGTCTCAAACTCCTGACCTCGTGATCTGCCCACCTCGGCCTCCCAAAGTGCTGGGATTACAGGTGTGAGCCATTGTGCCCAGCCTATTTTTTAATGTACAGTAAGTTATTGTGGACTGCAGTCGCCTTGTTGTGCTCTCAAATACTAGATCTTATTCGTTCTATCTAACTATATTTTTATACCCATTAACCATCCCCACATCCCCTCTACTGCCCTTCCCTTCCCAGCTTCTGATAACTATCCTTCTACTCTCTATCTCCATGAGTTCAATTGTTTTGTTTTGTTTTGAGACAGAGCCTCGCTCTGTCACCCACGCTGGAGTGTAGTGGCATTATCTCTGCTCACTGCAACCTCCGCTTCCCGGGTTCAAGCCATTCTCCTGTCTCAGCCTCCCAAATAGCTGGGATTACAGGCTCCCATCACCACGCCTGGCTAATTTTTTTTGTATTTTTAGTAGAGACAGGGTTTCACCATGTTGGCTAGGCTGGTCACAAATTCCTGACCTCAGATGATCCACCCACCTTGGCATCCCAAAGTGCTGGGATTACAGGTGTGAGCCACCTTGCCCAGCCCAATTGTTCTAATGTTTAGCTCCCACAAACGAATGAGAACATACCAAGTTTGACTTTCTCTGCCTGGTTTATTTTACTTAAGATAATGACCTCCAGTTTCTTTCATGCCATTGCAAATAACAGGATCTCATTCTTTTTTATAGCTGAATAGTACTCCTCCATTGTATATACGTACTCTGCCTCCTTTTTTTTTTTTTTTTTTTTTTTGAGAAGGAGTTTTGCTTTTGTTGCCCAGGCTGGAATGCAATGTCACAATCTTGGCTCACTGCAACCTCCGCCTCCTGGGTTCAAGCAATTCTCCTGCCTCAGCCTCAAAAGTAGCTGGGACTACAGGTGCCCGCCACCATGCCCAGATAATTTTTGTATTTTTAGTAGAGACGAGGTTTCACCGTGTTGCTCAGGCTGGTCTCAAACTCCTGACCTCAAATGATCCACCTCCCTCAGCCTCCCAAAGTCTGGGATTACAGGTGTGAGCCACTGTGCCCAGCCCCATTTTCTTTATCCATTCATCTGTTGATGGACACTTAGGCTGCTTCCAAATCTTGGCCATTGTGAACAGTGTTGTGATAAACATGGAGTGCAGATATCTCTTCCACATACTGCTTTCCTTTCATTTCAGGTACATACCCAGCAGTAGGATTGCTGGGTCTGATGGTAGCTCTATTTTAAGTTTTTGAGCAATCTCCATATCATTCTCCATAGTGTCTGTACCAGTTTCCATTTGCTCTCGTTTCTTTTCCACAGTCACTCCGGGACTCTGCAGCCTAGAGAGAAGAATCTCTGGCTCCCTGTTCACTCACATACTTGCCACCATTCCCCTGGCTCTGGAGTCAGATTACCCAGCCTGCCAGCCCCCAAGAGGGCTCCAGTAATGAAAGCGTCTGGAGGACAGATTGCCTGGGAACTGCCAGCCAGTCACCACTGGCCCCACCATGCCCCTGGATAATTTCCTCCAGTTAGTGGAAATTGTTGCTGGCTATTGATTTTAGAAGATGCCAAGGCAAAAGGAACAAATACAGCCCAGTACTCACGCAAGAAGGGAGACGCACCGCAGCTCCCTAACTCCTCCATGGTCAACAGGTGGTCTATGGAGACACGCTGCTCTTCCCGGGTCTGCTCCAGGATCCCAAGGGCATGGTCATCACCTAGGGGCCCAGGGTTCCTCCTCACTTAGGTGCTTATCCTAGAGGATGCAGTCTGGGCTTTGCACAACAGTGGACAATGATAGCACCCAGACAGAGCCCTGCAAAGTGCAATGAAGGGAGGTAGTTCCATCCATAATCCTCCAACAGGGAACAGATGAGCACGTTCCAACCTCCCCTCACCCACCTCCCTCCACCCTTCCCCTCCCTTTCTTCATGCCCATTACTTTTGTTAACTGAAAAAAAAAAATCACAGTTTATAAATGTGGAAAAGACTTCATTTCTTTATTTCTTTTTTATTTTTTTAAGATAGTCTCACTCTGTCACCCCGGCTGGAGTGCAGTGGTGTGATCATAGCTCACTGCAGCCCCAAACTCCTGGGCTCAAGCAATCCTCCCATCTCAGCCTCCTGAGTAGCTGGGACTACAGGTTCATGCCACCACACTTGGATAATTTTTTTTTTTTTTTTTTTTTGGTAGAGACAAGGTATTGCTATGTTGCCCAGGCTGGTCTCAAACTCCTGGGCTCAAGCAATCCTCCTGCCTCAGCCTCCCAGTGCTGAGATGAGATTACAAATGCAAAGACTTTATTTCTGGTAAAGGGTTACAGCCTGCAAGATGGTCATCCAGCAGGCTGGGAAGCACAGCCTCCAGCCAAGACCAGAAATAGGCATGTTGAAGAGGGAGGGGCTGGGGCAGGAACTTTATGCTGAATAGTTTGGCTAAACATATATATTCAACAGGTTACCAGAGGAGCTATGAATATTCATGAAGGTGGTCCTGACGCATGTATATTGAACAAACCACATGTAACATAATGACTCAGGTTCACTTTGGGGTGGAAACTTAACATTTCAATGTATCGCAGTTAGGCCCTGTATGTGAAAAGGACTTTTCAGGCCACAAAAGCACTCCGTGTGCAGCCTCTGCAAACCGGCCAGAACCAGTCCATAGTTGGTGGTCTTCTTATCAGGAGAAAGTTACTGAAATCAGGCACCTGTCCAATCAAAGCTGGAGTTATGGCTGGGGGAACAGGGGGTCAGTTAGCCAGCATCTGTGAGCTGGAAGAGTTGTAATTGTTTAAACATTGCTTATCTCTAGGGCAGTGATTGTTTTGCTGCTAGAGAAAAAGAAAAACCTTGTGGCAGTGAGAACATAATTTATTATTCCAGTGTAGGCGTTTGTGACTTAACCCCGCCTGACATGACCTTAGATCCTGTTTATAATTTGGTATCTTATTGCCACAAAGAGTCTGTTCTGCTGGTCTCCTGGTCTCTATTTTAACATTAATGCTGGTCACTTGTTGTGTCTAAACTGCAAAAGAACAGGGGTATTATGAGGCACACCTGACCTCCCGTCATGGCTGGGAACTCAAGTTTTTAAAATTTTTCTGTGGCCCCCTTGGCAAAGAGGAGGTCCATTCAGTTGACAGTGAGCAGGAATTTAGGAATTTTGTTAGTTTACACTTTCATTTTTGTTTTTGAGACAGAGTCTCACTCAGTCGCCCAGGCTGGAGTGCAGTGGCGTGATCTTGGCTCACTACAACCTATGCCTCCCTGGTTCAAGCGATTCTCATGCCTCAGCCTCCAGAGCAGCTGGTATTACAGGTGTGTGCCACCACACCCAGCTAATTTTTGTATTTTTAGTAGAGATAGGGTTTCACCACGTTGGTCAGGCTAGTCTCGAACTCTCAACCTCAAGTGATCCACCCGCCTTGGCCTCCCAAAGTGCTGGAATTACAGGCGTGAGCCACCACGCCTGGCCAGTTTACACTTTCTTTTCACAAATATTAAATTAGATGTTTCACTCCTATTTGGGGTGCTATAACAAAATGCCATAAACTGGGTGGCTTATAAACAACAGAAATTTGTTTCATACAGTTCTAGTTCTGGAGGCCGGAAGTCCAAGTTCAAGGTGCTGTCAGATTCAGTGTCTGGCGAGGGCTGATTCATCACAGACAGCTGTCTTTTCACCCTAACTTCATATGGCAGAAGCAATGAGGGATCTCTTTGGGGCCTATTTCTAATGAGGGCACTAACTTCATTCCTGAGGGCTCCACCCTCATGACCTAATCACCTCCCAAAGGCCTCACTTCTAATACCATCACCTTGGGTGTTAATATTTCAGCATATGAGTTTTGGGGAGACATAAATATTCAGTCCATTGCCATTTGACTCCAAAAGTCATTTCTAGGAAAAGAATGAAAAACAGAGACAGAGGAAAAAAAGGAAGGAAAGAAAGGAAGGAAAAAGAAAAGAAAACCCCCACCCTCTGCTTTGGAATAACATTTTGTTCATTTGCAACTTTATTACTTTAAAATTAATTTAGCATATGGGCCGGTAGTGGTGGCTCACGCCTGTATTCCCAGCACTTTGGGAGGGTGAGGCAGGTGGATCACTTGAGGTCAGGAGCTCGAGACCAGCCTTGCCAACATGGTGAAACCTCGTCTCTACTAAAAATACAAAAGAATTAGCCAGGCATGGTGGCGGGCGCCTGTAATCCCAGCTACTCGGGAGGCTGATGCAGGAGAATCGCTTGAACCAAGGAGGTAGAGGTTGCAGTGAGCCAACATCATGCCACTGCTCTCCAGCCTGGAGACAGAGCAAGACTCCATCTCAAAAACAAAAAACAAAAAACTAAACTAAACAAAATAAATAAAATTAATTTAGCATATGTATTCATTAAGCATACATTCATTCGTAGAGTTTTCAGATTAAATTTCCATATGATTAACTCTGCTCACAAATTTAAATCCCCTCATATATTGTATACTACGTCTACAAATATTTCCTTTCAAACTTCAAGTACCTAGAGGAAGATTTACAAATCTAACAGGAAATGTCACTAGGCCCTTCAACAGTTCATAAATCCAATCACTCAAAGCTTTAAATATAATCATTCAGAATCTTACATTCGATATAGTTTATAAACAGCCTTCTACTCTTAAATTGTTTATATTAAAATCACAAGTATAATCGCTTTTGTAAATTGACAAATAATAACTGTATATATTTATGGGGTACAATGTTTTGATGTCTTCATAGATGTGTACATTCTGAAATGATTAGATCAAGCCAATTAACATATCTATCACCTTACATACTTAACACTTTTGTGGTGACAACACTTAAAACCTACTCTTTCCGCTGTTTTGAAATATACAATACGTTATTATTAACTATAGTCCCCATATTGTGCAGCAGATCTCTAAAACGTATAGCATAACATTTAAAAAATATTCCAACACCTGCTGAAGTCTCTGAGTGCCTTGTAACCTGCAATGCGTTATCACAGCGGTCCTCAAGCTTTTTGGCACGAGGGACTGGTTTCCTGGAAGACAATTTTTCCATGGACTGAGGGGAGGGTAGATGGTTTAAGAGCATTATATTTATTGTGCACTTTATTTCTATTATTATGACATTGTAATATATAATAAAATAATTATACAACTCACCATCATGTAGAATCAGTGGGAACCCTGAGCTTTTTTCCAGCAACTAGATGGTCCCATCTGGGGGTGATGGGAGACAGTGACAGATCATAAGGCATCAGATTCTCATAAGGAGTGTGCAACCTAGATCCCTCACATGCACAGTTCACAATAGGGTTCATGTTCCTATGAGAATCTAACGCTACTGCTGACCTGTCAGGAGGTGGAGCTCAGGCGGAAATGCGAGCGATGGGGAGTGGCTGCAAATACAGATGAAGCTTGGCTTACTCACCTGCCGCTCACCTTCTGCTGTGCAGCCTGGTTCCTAACAGGTCACAGACTGGTACCTTCCTTCTTTCCTTCCTTCCTTTCTTTTTCTTCCTTCCTTCCTTCCTTCCTCCCTCCCTTCCTTCTTTCCTTCTTTCCATTCTTCCTTCCTTCCATTTTTCCTTTCATCCATCCTTCCTTCCTTTCATCCATTCTTCCTTCCTTTCATTCATCCTTCCTTTCTCCATCCTTCCTTCCTTTCATCCATTCTTCCTTCCTTTCATCCATTCTTCCTTCCTTTCTTTCTTCTGTCCTTCCATCCTTCCTTCTTTCCTTAGATGAGGCAACATTTTTCCCATGCATGATTTTCTTTAACTTGCAAAACAAATAATTGCTATTCCTGGCTGTATATATCCAAAAGTATTCCTCCAGATCCAATAGCTGAAAAAGCAATATTTAACCATACTGCAAATTTATCAATGAATGCAAGAATTGGTCAAGCACCACCTGTAGGCTGGTGAGTAAAAGATGAAATCGGTGCTCTAGATAAGAATGAATGTCACCATGTTGACCTGTTCATGGCCTTCATAGGTGATAACATAAATAGACAAGAATTTCTGCTTCATGTCAGGTCTGTGGCCCTTCTAGGCCCATGTTTCAGCTCTGAAAATGGCACCAAAGAACATTTGAGGAAGAATATGGGAGTAATCACAAACGCTACCTTTAAGTACTACCTTCCTAAGTAACCTGGTGCCACCAGGCAGTTGCACCTGGCACACAGTAGGTGCTCACTAAAAGAGGTCGTTCATGAAAGACAGAGGTCAGGCATGGAGAGACTGCTGTGTGGGTTTGCTCTTTTTTTTGGAACAAGGTCTTGCTCTGTCACCTAGGCTGAAGTGCAGTGGTGCCATCTTGGCTCACTGCAACCTCTGTCCCCTGGGCTCAAGTAATCTTCCCATCTCAGCCTCCCAAGTAGTAGGGACTACAGGCACATGCCACCAAGCCTGACTATTATTTTTTCTGTATATTTTTAGTAAGGACAGGGTCTTGTCATGTTGCCTGGGCTGGTCTTGAACTCCTGAGCTCAAGTGATCCACCCGCCTCAGCCTCCTAAAGTGCTGGGATTACAGGTGTGAGCCACAGCACCCAACCACAAGTTGATTCTTGGTTACCTGCACACCACTTGGAAAACAAAACTAAGTGTTAGTGAACAACGATCCTGTGCCAGGCATTGTGAGATATGCTTTACAAACAGATATACTTTACAAAATAACCCATGAGATGGGTTATTTTATGAATGAGTGGGCACAGCAGTTGAAGGGACTCACTGTGATCTCTGATGCTCTCCTGCTCCCAGAGCTTCCACTAGACTTTAGAGAAAGCCAGGGCCTACTGGAGAATCACGCAGCCAAGTCCTAAGAGAGAGACAAGCACCCAGGTGGCACCTATGTCTGCTCTTGGGAAATCCTTGAGTGTACGTCAATGATGAGAATTCAGGAGTGATTTCTAATCCAAAACCAATGGCAATCAGATTTACTTTGCCCCAAAACTCTATCCAGCTGGGGCCCAAAGGATTCCTGAAATTCCTTCAACAGCCAGTTGAGGTCAGTTAATTGTCATTGTCCTGACCTAGCCTCTTTGGTAGATACAGAGAATCTACTTCCTACCCAAGAGAACACAATTCTTGAGGGACTGTTACAGCACCAAAGGCCTCCATTTTTTGTTTGTTTGTTTGTTTGTTTGTTTTAGTACAGTTATGCATTTATCTTTTTCCCTTTTTTTAGACAGAAGTTCTCACTCTGTTGCCCAGGCCGGAGTGCAGTGGAGTGATCACAGCTCACTACAGCCTCTACATCCTAGGCTCAAGCAATCCTCCCACCTCAGCCTTCTGAGTAGCTAGGACTACAGATGCATACCATAATGCTCAGCTAACTGGTTTTATTTTTTGTAGAGACAAAATCTCACGGTGTTTCCCAGGTTGGTCTCAAACTCCTGGCCTCAAGGGATCCTCCCACCTCAGTCTCCCACTGAGGATTACAGGGATGAGCCACTGTGCCCAGCCAAGTCCAGTTATTGAATAATTTTTTATTAAGAGCCTACCATGACCAGGGCAGTGCCAGGCACTAAAGATACCATGATAAACAAGACAGACATGCCCTCTACTCTGACAGCTTAAAATCCACTAATAATTCTATTTCAGTGGAGACACCAGCAATCTAGAAAATGCTCAGGGGAAGGCAGATGGGAACAAGGTCAAGAAACCATATGACGAGATTAGCAAAAATACTGGTAATTTCTGCCACTGGGTGATGGGTATGGGTGGATGGGGTCATTACAGAATTCTTTCTATTTTGAGGTGTTTTTGGAAACTTATGTAAGTCTTGTGGAGTTGTCATGCTGAAATGAGGTAAGCATGATGAACGTTGCCCAAAAGGATAATGATACCCCTTAAATTTTTAGCACTTTCCAAACCAATGTAGTCACAACCAGTGCTAACAGGAGTGGTATGAAGTAGGCAGGGGAGGTAATAACTATGCTCATCTTATGAATGAGGAAAAGACTAGATTAGACTCATAAAGGCTTGGAGTTAGAAGGGACTTAAGAAGCCTGCTGTCAGTTTTCCATCCTAATGTTTAACTTGACAATGATCCCATCCAGTACAGCACATTACATCAAAAGTTATAGAGAGGGCTGGGCACTGCGGCTCATGCCTATAATCCCAACACTTTGGGGGGCCTAGGCAAGTGGATCACTTGAGGCCAGGAGTTCGAGACCAGCCTGGCCAACATGGTGAAACCCCGTCTTTACTAAAAATTCAAAAATTAGCCAGCCATGGTGGTAGGCACCTGTAGTCCCAGCTACTCAGGAGGCTGAGGCAGGAGAATTGCTTGAACCTGGGAGGCAGAGGTTGCAGTGAGCCAAGATCGTGCCATTGTCATCCAGCCTGGGTGACAGAGCGAGACTCCGGCAAGAAGAAAAAAAAAAAAGAAAGAAAAAAAGGAAAACATTCTAGGGAGATAGATGTGAACCCAATATGAAACAATAACTTTTTAAAATCTGAAAATGATCTAGGCATCTTTAAAAAGCAGAGTCTCTGGCCCTACCAGTATGGAGCAAAAGGTAGAAGCTTCTCCCATTAGGAATGACTTGGAGAGATGTTTGCTGTAAATGGGATTAAAAAGCATCAAAGGAGGCCAGGTGCAGTGGCTCACACCTGTAATCCCAATGCTTTGGGAGGCCTAGGCAGGAGGATCACCTGAGCCCAGGAGTTTGAGACCAGCCTGAGCAATTTAGTGAAACCAAGTCTCAAAAAAAATAAAAATAAAAATTAGTAATAATAATTAGATGGGCTCAGTGGCGCATGCCTGTGGTCCTAGCTACTTGGGAGGCAGAAGCAGGAGGATCGCTTGAGATCAGGAGTTGGAGGCTTCAGTGAGCTATGATCGCACCACTACACTTCAGCCTGAGTGACAGAGCAAGACCCAGTCTCAAGAAACAAACAAAAACAACTTAGAAAAAGTTTTGCTGTAGTTGGGATTAAAAAGCATCAAGGGGGCCGGGCACGGTTGTTCACACCTGTAATCCAAGCATTTTGGGAGGCCAAGGTGGGCGGATCACCTGAGGTCAGGAGTTCAAGACCAGCCTGGCCAACATGGCAAAACCCTGTCTCTACTAAAAATACAAAAAAAAAAAATAGCCATGCTGGTGGTGTGCACCTGTAATCCCAGCTACTCAGGAGGCTGAGACAGGAGACTTGCTTGAACCCCGGAGGCAGAGGTTGCAGTGAGCCAAGATTGCACCACTGCACTCCAGCCGGGGTGACAGAGCAAGACTCCATCTCGAAATAAATAATAAATAAGCGTCAAAGGTGTCATCCAACTATTGAGATTTCAAAAGGCTTCTTTGTATTTTTTTTTTTTTATGGATTCCCTCCTGGGATAGGCAGGGGTAGGGGGGACCATCCAGACAGGACTTTGGTCCCCTCTTGTAACGATAGAAGAAAGAACATTGAAATAACAACAGCTCCCTTTTATTGAGCAGGGCGCTCTGCCTTGCATTTGCTGAGGGCGTCTATGCCTTATCTCACCTAACCTTCCCATGGAGCTAGTAGGTGGGTACCCACATGATCCCAAAACTGCGGCACAGAGAAATCAGGTGACTTATCCAGCCGGCAAAAGGATCTCCAGAGTAACCTTCAGTTTCCTGCTCCCCAAGTTTTCCCTGTTTTCCTTGTTTTGAATTCTCTAGCACCCAGGGAGGCCGGCCAGAGACTGACAAGGGCACTTAGGGAGTGGAAATGAAAAACAAAGGCACCTGCAGAGCCAATTAGTGAGTCGAAATTCAACTCCCAAACCTGAGGGTTGGTTCCTTGAGCTAAAGCAGAGAGCTTTGATCACAGTTACTAACTCGTGAACAGCACGGACTGACCTCGGTTCCCTGCGGGGAAAGGTAAACATTCTTGTGGAAATGCAAACACATCACTAATGGTCTAAAATGGCCCTTAATGGAGGCATAATTTCTTTTGGAAACAAGCCCCCCATCAAGGTAAAGGCGATGGTATTGTTGTTACCCCCTGTGGGGATGATCTTTCCAATTCCAGCCAGCAGTCTTTCTCTGGTAGTGACGGCACCCGCAGGGCAGGTGAAGAATGAAATACTAATTTCCTAACCCCCAAATCTGCCTTGATCTGCTTGAAAAGTCAGCACCTCTTCTACTTGGGAGGTGAGTGCCACTCAGTATAGTTCTCCTCTGAAAAGGAAGTGGATAGGTGAGGTTGAGAAGGTATAATTACAGGTGGATCCCGGAACATCTCAGACTGTGATACCAGGCGAGGCTTTCTCTGCCAAGTGCACCCATGAAAGAAACTTCCCCGCCACCATTATCAAAACAGCTGTCAGGAAAGCGCCCCTGTTATTAAATGTCGCTCTGCACGTCTGCATGGGAGGCGTAATCACAGGTGGCCGACCTGGAGGGGAAGCTCTTCAAGGGGAGGAAAGAAAGAAAACACAAGAATGCATGGACTAAAAACACATAAATGAAGTGTAAAAATTCAATTAGAGCTCTAGGAACAGTGAGATGAAGTGGAAAAGTGGGGAACGGGGAAGACTCTCTGAAGGTTTCTTTAGCTCTTTGGTGAATAGATCTGTTCTTTTTTTCTTTTTCTTTCTTTCTCTCTCTCTTTTTTTTTTTTTTTTTTTTTTTTTTTTTTTTTTTGAGATGGGAGTTTCGCTCTTTCGCCCAGGCTGGAGTGAAGTGCTGTGATCTGGGCTCACTGCAACCTCCGCCTCCTAGGTTCAAGCGATTTTCCTGCCTCAGCCTCCTGAGTAGCTGGGATTACAAGCACCCATCACCATGCCCGGCTAATTTTTGTATTTTTAGTAGAGACGGGGTTTCACCATGTTGGCCAGGCTGGTCTCAAACTACTGACCTCAGGCGATCCACCTGCCTCGGCCTCCCAAAGTGCTGGGATTATAGGTGTGAGCCGCTGCACCTGGTCCCTTTTTGTTTTTCAATCCATGGAGCAGAGAGAGAGGTTCTAGAAAGGTGACAAACAGGAGAACGTGCAGTCCCGGCATGGCCATGTCTGTCTGGCCCACCCACCGCTTCCTTCAATGAAATAATGGGGTCTTGGATCAATAAACTAGAAACATATTGGTGGCGTGTCTGACCTGGCCTTTGTCAAGTCATGAAAAACACAAATGACTATCAAAGACCGCTCACCAGGAATAGCTGAGTGAGAGGAAAGGGTAGGTCGGCCTCCCAAGATTCAGGCATGGGGAAACTAAGTAGGATTTGTTATCCCCAGAGTCATCCCCATGATGGGCCAGTGAACTAAAGATAATCTCTAGGTGTGCCAGTGCCAGTCACCAATTAATAAAATTGTCTTTGAGCTGTGGCTAGCAAACCCAGGTGCACATTAGAATTACTGGAGGGAGGGGGTGGTTTAAACAGAATTCAATGGGCTGGGCATGGTGGCTCTTGCCTGTAACCCCCATGCTTTAGGAGGCCAAGGCAGGAGGATTGCTTGAGGCCAGGAGTTCAAGACCAGCCTGAGCAATAAAACAAGACCCTGTCTTTACAAACAACAGCAACAGCCACCAAAAAAAAAAAAAAAAAAGAAGCACACAACCCACAGTTCAATGCTAGGTCTCATTCAAGGACAGTTAATGTAGAATTTCTGGGAGTAGGGGTGGGGGTACTCAAGCAGCCCCTTGTCTTTTTTTTTTTCTTTTTAAGAGACAGGGTCTTGCTCTGTCATCCAGTCTGGAGTGCAGTGATACAAGCATAGCTCGCTGCAGCCTTCAGCCCCTGGGCTCAAGTGATCTTCTACCTTAGCCTCCTGCATAGCTGGGACTACAGGTGTGTACCACCATACCTTACCTGCCTAATTTTTAAAATTTTTTTGTAGAGACAGAGTCTTGCTATGTTACCCAGGCTGGTCTCAAACTCCTGGGCTTAAGTGATCCTCTTGCCTCAGCCTCCAAAAGCACTGGAATTACAGGCATGAGCTGTCTCTCCTGCCGCCCATGACTTTTAAAGCTCCCCAAGATGATTCTAATGTCCAGCCATGATGGAATTACCAATCTGGAAGGAAGCAGGGCTTGTACCCTATCTCCCGGGAATACCCACCCATACTAATCTAAATCCTCCCAACCTCGAAGGCACAGTTCACATGTCATCCCTGAAAAAAAACCATCACTGAGCCCTTAGAGGGTGCAAGATAATGAGCTACACGCTCTCGTGGACACAAATAAGAACAAGACAGTCTCTGCCCAGACAGTTTATAAATGCAGGGAGGGAGAAAGCAAGTGTCTCGTACAGAGGGAGAGCTCAATAAATATTTATGAAATAAAAGAATGAATGAATAAATAAGCGAATGACTTTACAATAATAACACAGCAAATTAAATACATGAAAACAGAAGCAAGTTATTATGCACAGAGGAAGGGATGATCGATGGGGTGGGGGCTGGGGGGGACTATAAAGGTGGTAGCATTTGAATTGGGCATTGAAGGATGCGTAGTAATAACATGTAGCATTTGTTCGGAGCTTTGAATTTGACAAGGGTTTTACATGCATTAACCCATTTAGTGCCTTTCTATAGTGCTTGAGGTCGGCAATGGTTAGTATATAGCCCCTACTTTAGAAGTGAGGAAAGGTCAAATGAGTTAACCAAGGTCATGTAGCTGGTGAGGAAGGGAGCCCGGGTCTCAAGTGTGGAATCCATCGCCTCTCCATAACGCTGCTGTGGACTCGGGACATTCCATTGGGAAAAGGACATTACAGGCCAGGAAAACAGCATAAGAGAGACACGGATGTGTCGTTTTGAGCATGTGGTTTATACATGGAAGGGTGATTTTTTTTTTTTAAAGGAACCTTTCTTTTAGGAAGATGATTGTGAATGCAAGAAGGGCTGGCTGGCATAAAAATGAATGAAACCATGTCCTTTGCAGCAACATGGATGGAGCTGGAGGCCATTATCCTAAGTGAACTAACTCAGAAACAGAAAGCTGTTCTCACTTATAAGTGGGAGGCGAACATTTGGTACACATGGACAGAAAGATGGAAAATTATTATAGACACTGGTGATTCCCAAAGTGGCCAGGGAGGGAGAGGTTGAAAAACTACCTATTGGTGTGTACAGTGTTCAATATTTAGGTGACACGTTTACTAGAAGCCTAATCCTTAACATTATGCAATATTTCCATGTAACAAACATGCAGATGTACCCCCTGAATCTAAAATTTTTTGTAAAAGAAGGGGCCAGGTGCAGTGGCTCATGCCTGTAATCCCAGCACTTTGAGAGGCCGAGGCAAGAGGAGGCCTTGAAGCCAGGAGTTTGAGATCAGTGTGGGCAACATAGCAAGATCCTGTCTCTACAAAAAAATACATAAAAATCAGCAGGTGTGGTGGCATGCACCTGTCATCCTAGCTACTCAGGAGGCTGAGGTGAGAAGATTGCTTGAGCCCAGGTTACGGTGAGCTATGATCGCACCACTTCACTCCAGCCTGGGTGACAAAGCAAGACCCTGTCTCTAGAAGAAAAAAAAAGACTGGCTGGGAGAGCTGAGACGTTGGTGAAAGTGTCCCCAGAGACCTCTGAACCCCCAAAATCATTGTTAATATTTCTCTTGAGACTCTTGTCACATCCTGCCAGGTATTCTTCTTGGATGAATTTGTCTCATCTCTCCTCCTATGTGATAAACTCCTTGGCCAGTCACTGGGCACATCTGTATTTAAATTTCTCTAAAACCCAGCCAAGGTGGATGTAGTTCTCGTGGATCCTGCAGCTTATACAATTTGAAAAGCCTTCTTTAAGAAAAATAATCTAAAATTATAAACACCAGATTCGGTACAAAGTGAATATTTATTTAGAATGAAGGAAGGGCATACTGCCAATTACAGACTTTAAAAATAGACAAATATAACAAAACCAGGAAAAGAACGGATATGTTTATTTCTTAACTACCTGACACTGCTTTGTAATACATTTTTAACCTCCGATTTTTTGGCCACATAAACCTTGATTGGCTTTTGAAATGATTTTTAAATTTGTAATATCATTTTTGCTAGCAAGCATGGTTGACTAAAACCTAGTTTCGTATTATTGAAGGTTTGCAAATGTTTATTTGAGCATCATAACTAGTTAATAATGATGTTATGTTTAGAAAGTTATTTTTTTGATAGCTGTAAGATTTGGAGGCATTTCTTGCACAGGAACAAATCTCAAATACTCTTTGTCTTGATGACTGAGACATAGGAAAAAAGGAAAATCACACATCATTCAACTCAACACTTCTGACATCAGATGTGTAGAATATGGAGGGGGGTGCTTCCCCCACACGCCAACCAAGCAATTCTTCAGCAGACACCAACTGGAGGTCCTATAATTCAATTCAATTCAGTTCTCACACTATCTATCTGGAGATAGCATTAGATCCTACAGGTTAAAGACTCAGTCCAAAGACTGTCCCCCACTTCAGATGCCAATCACAAGCCCTAGGCTGTGATTTGTGCTTTTGACCAACTATCAATCAGGGGTTCTCACAACCCCCTCCATGGGTTCGATTAATTTGCCAGAACAGCTCACAGAACTCAGGGAAAGGCTTACATTCACCTATTTATTGCAAAGGATATTACGGAGGATAGAGATGAACAGCCAGATGGGAGACGGGCATGAGGCCAGGCACACGGGTGGGTGCGAGGGAGTTTCTGCACTCTCCAGGCTCAGCACCCTCCAGGAACCTCAACATGTCCCACTATCCATAAGCCCCCTGAACCCTGTCCTTTTAGGTTTTCATGGAGGCTTCATGACATAGGCATGATTGATGACATCATTGGCTACTGATGATCAACTCAAGCTTCAACCCCTCTCCCCTGCCTGGAGGTCGGGGATTGGGCTGAAAGTTCCAACCCTCTCAACACGTGGTTGTTTCACCTGGCAACCAGCCCCATCCTGATGCTGTGCATGAGCCAGCAGCCATCAGTCATCTTAGTAGCCTACAAAAAGACACATCACGACTGGGCGCAGTGGCTCATGCCTGTAATCCCAGCATTTTGGTAGGCTGAGGCAGGTGGATTGTCTGAGGTCAGGAGTTCAAGACCAGCCTGGCCAACATGGTGAAACCCCATCTCTACTAAACATACAAAACATTAGCCTGGTGTGGTGGCAGACACCTGGAATCCCAGCTACTCGAGAGGCTGAGGCAGGAGAATCACTTGAACCCAGCAGGCAGAGGTTACAGTGAGCCAAGATCACACCACTGCACTCCAGCCTGGGCACCAAGAGCGAAACTCCGTCTCAAAAAAAAAAAAAAAAAAAAAAAGACACATCACTTTGGAGATTACAAAGGCTTTTAGGAGCCACGAGTGGGGAGATGGGGGAATATAATATATATTTCTTATTATAAATTGCGATTTTACAATGACCCTCATTTACCAATGTGTTATAGATGTTCTCATTGCAGTGGCGTTGTATCCTTCATGTTATCTTTTTTGTTTTTGTTTTTGTTTTTTTTTGAGATCGAGTCTTGCTTCGTCACCCAGGCTGGATTGCAGTGGTGCGATCTCGACTCATTGTAACCTCCGCCTCCTGGGTTCAAGCGATTCTCCTGCCTCAGCCTCCTGAGTAGCTGGGATTACAGGTGAGCACCAACACACTGGCTAATTTTTTATTTTTAGTAGAGACAGTGTTTCACCATGGTGGCCGGGCTGGTCTCGAATTCCTGACCTCAAGTGATCCCCCTGCCTCGGCCTCCCAAAGTGCTGGGATTACAGGCATGAGCCACCATGCCCAGTCCCCTGCCAAAGGAAAATCTTGAGTTCCTTCAAGGCAAATTCTAGGCACCTAGCCAGCTGTGAGACATAAATGAGCAACATGATAAGCAAGAAGGTAATAGTGGCTTAAAATGATAGCCAAGGAAGTTACAGTGAAATGTTTGGTCTCCTATAGAAACTAAGATAACATCTTAACATATGACCCCGAGTTGCTTTTCAGAAACCCAGACCCTCACCAAAGGGATCCGCTGACACAGAGACCTCAGATAAGGGGAAGCTGAGGACTGAACCCTGACCTCTGTTGTTTGTTCTAAATTTCTTCCTGCAGGACCTAGAGGAAGCCATCTTCACAGGCCAGAGCTAACATTCTTTTCTACTGAACCCTAATTTTTAGACAAAGCTTTGCCTCTTTAACCAGCCTCAAATCAGAAAACCTTTGAATTCACCTATGACCTGTGCCCTCACACCCCCATTTTTAGATGTCCCACCTTTTTAGGTCAAACCAATGTAGAGCCTCCATGCATTGACTTATGGCTTTGCCTGTAACCCCTGCCTTTCCATCTTTAAAAACCCCTCCCTGCAAGCCATCAGAGAGTTCAGGTCTTAGGCGTGAGCTGCCTGATATTCTCCTTGCTTGGCGCTCTGCAATAACCACTTCGCTTTCTCTCACTAAAAATCTCCATGTCAGTGTTTTGCTTTGCTGCGTTGGGCGGTGGAACCCAAGCTTGGTTCAGTAACAATGACAGTTATCATGTATTAGGTTTATGAATTTAGCAAAAACATATGAGCATGCAAACACATTGCTGAGGCTCATCCAAAACCTTGGAAGAAAAACCGAGGCAAGAAAGGAGTTTGAAGCTTCAGTTAGTTTCATCAGCTTCAAAGTAGATTCCGCCCCCCCTTTTTTTTTTTTTTTTTTTTTTGAGACGGAGTTTCGCTCTTGTCACCCAGGCTGGAGTGCAGTGGCACCATATCGGCTCACTGCAACCTCCGCCTCCTGGGATCAAGTGATTCTCGTGCCTCAGTCTCCCAAGTAGCTGGGATTACAGGCATGAGCCACAATACCCAGCTAATTTTTGTATTTTTAGTAGAGACGGTGTTTCATCAGGCTGGTCTCGAACTCCTGGCCTCAGGTGATCCGCCCACCTCGGCCTTCCAAACGCCTGCTGGGATTACAGGCATGAGCCACCACACCCGGCCGTAGATCCACCTTTGAACACATTCCATGCTTTTGAGAGAATAAGTGCTGAATGAATGAATGAATGAGTGAATGAATGCCTTTTTCTCATAATGTGGAAGCCTAGGCTGGGAGCTGAGATTACAGAACACGCCAAACAAGGGACCTGCAGGAGCTCTCTCCCTGATACGCGTCCCAGGTTGGTGGGTCCAGCCCAGAATTAAGCACAGTATTCCAGGAGTGATCTGGCTCTGCAAAGTGGGTGGAGAACACCTGTTGCCTTGCTCATTCCAGACCATTTGCCTCTATTAATCCAAACTAAAATTGCTGTATTGGGCTTTTTGCCTTTCCTTCTCTTTTTGGCCAACTACTCTTTTTTTTTTTTTTTTTTTTTTTTTTTTTTTTTTTTTTTTTTTTTGAGACGGAGTCTTGCCCTGTCGCCCACGCTGGAGTGCAGTGGCGCGATCTCGGCTCACTGTAAGCTCCGCCTCCTGGGTCCACGCCATTCTCCTGCCTCAGCCTCCCAAGTAGCTGGGACTACAGATGCCCGCCACCACGTCCGGCTAATTTTTTGTATTTTTAGTAGAGACGGGGTTTCACTGTGTTAGCCAGGATGGTCTCGATTTCCTGACCTCGTGATCTGCCCGCCTCGGCCTCCCAAAGTGCTGGGATTACAGGCGTGAGCCACCGCGCACGGCGGCCAACTACTCTTGACATGGATGCATACTGAGCCTGTAGTCAACTAAAACCTTTCAATGTTTCACACTTGCTACCCCAGTTCTCTCTCAGGCTGTAACTGAGCAATTTAAGGTGGAAATGCATGGTTCCATATTGATTCCAATTCAATTCCACATTTTTATGCTTAGCCCACCACTCTGACCCCATGAGATGGGTTTCACTCTCTAGTGTGTCATCCAGCATGATGACTATGGCTACCCTTTCTAGAACATCCAAGTCACTGATTCCAAGACATCGGATGTGGCTCTGAGTGGACCCCTGCGTCTCATCCCCCTGAACTTCCACTCTGGCCTGACATTAATTCATCCATCAATATATTTTTAGTCCAGATGTTTAATCTATTTTGAATCCATGTGGTTGTAATGCCACACAACCCAAATTTCAAACTTAGAAAGATACCAAATGCCTTGGTAGAATCTATATATATTCCATAATTCCACAATCCAACAGTACAGATATTCCATCAAAAAAATTAAATGGGCCAGTTGTGGTGGCTCATGCCTGTAATCCCAGCACTTTAGGAGGTGGAGGCAGAAGGATCACTTGAGATCAGGAGTTTGAGACCAGCCTGGCCAACATGGTGAAACCCTGTCTCTACTAAAAATACAAAAATTAGCCAGGCATGGTGGTGTGTGCCTGTAATCCCAGCTGCTCTTGAGGCTGAGACAGAAGAATCACTTGAACCTGGGAGGTGGAGGCTGCAATGAGCCGAGATTGTGCCACTGCACTCCAGTCTGGGCAACCGAGTGAGACTCTGCCTCAAAAAAAAAAAAAAAAAACTAAATGTAGTTGGTAGAAGATGCCTTTTTTTCTTAGCGCATCTATTCTTTTTCCTGTTGACCATCACTTCTTTTTTTACACGCACATGACACTGGCTTATCAGCATCTGATGTAGTTTGGATCTGTGTCCCTGCCCAAATCTCATGTCGAATTGTAATCCTCAATGTTGAAGAAGGGGCCTGGTGGGAGGAGATTGGATCATGGGGGTGGATTTCCCTCTTGCTGTTCTCGTGAACTCCTGACCTCAAGTGATCCACCCACCTCGACCTCCTAAAGTGCTGGGATTACAGGCGTGAGCCACCATGCCCCGCCAGGATTGCTTTCTTAGAGACCATCTGTGAGAACCAGAGATGTGGATCTACTCAGAATGTAGTAGGGGAAACCAATGGTCAAACCTCAGTAAGACAGTACAGTCATCAGGTCCGGAAAACTATTAATAGAAACAGGCTTGAAATCAAAGACTAAGACAGGGCACTGGTCAGTAAATCTGTCTGGATCAGAGAAGACTCAGAATGTTACCAAATTGAACTGGGGTCCCCTCACCCAGCGCAGTAAAGCTAAACATCCACACTGAGGTTTTGCAGCAGGAGAAAGGAGGGCATTTATTTTCAGGGCACCAAGCAAGGGGAATTGGGCAGCTCACACTTAAGACCTGACCTCCCCGATGGCTTGTCAGCAAGGATTTTTAAAGGCCAAGTTTTTAGACAAAGCTTCACTTCCTTACCCAATCACAAATCGGAGTCTTTGAATCCACCTCTGGCCTGCAAGCCTCTCCACTTCAAAATATCCTGCCTTTTTCAGCCAAACCAATGTATAGTGAGTGAGTGAACTCTCAGGAGATCTAGTTGTTTAGAAGTGTGTAGCACCTCCCCCTTCTCTCTCTCCCTCCTACTCTGGCCACGTGAAAGGTATGCCTGCTTCCCCTTCACCTTCCATTATGATTGTAAGTTTCCTGAGGCCTCCCCAGTCATTCTTCCTGCACAGCCTTTGGAACCATAAGCCAATTAAACCTCTTTTCTTTACCAATTACCCAGTCTCAGGTAGTTCTTTATAGCAGTGTGAGAATGGACTAGTGCATCTCACCAGCTCATCTGACTCATGGCTCTCTCCAGGAAGAACTCTTTGCAATAGGTAAGAATATATCTTCCCATGTCTTTTGAGGTCAACAATTCCAGAATGTATTCATATACAATTATTAATATCATAATAATACTTTGAGACTGTGCAGTTTACAAGGCTCTGTCTTGTATAATCTCATTTAACAAAAAGCTGCCTAGGAAAAAATACAAGAATTCTACTTTATGAAAAAGTGTATTGAACTCTAATTACTAATGCCCTGTCCAGCCCCAGGACATTTGACTCCAAAAGTCAGTGAAATTGTACTTACCAATTGAACATTCTGAAATCCAGGTAACATGATACCAGGATTCTAAAAGCCTTCATCTCCATACCACAGTCTTCATTACAGCATGAAGAGAGTTCTACAAAATACTGATTTCCTAATTTCATGGGCAGCCTCTGTTAGGACTTAGAATGTATCTACACTGTCCTTTCCCAAAGACTTATAATTTGCATTCAAATAACGGTATCAGATTGGAGACAGGATGAGGTGTTAAATAGAGTCAAGGAAACCAAGTTCAGAAAGTGGACAAGTTGCACGTTTTACACCAGGGATAAAGCTCCTAAATCTTGAATTTGACTTTTTACTCACTACCTGGAGTTCAATGTAGACTATGATGAGAATAGATTAAATAAATGTAGAGACCTGGAGAATGTGGACTTCTATGGAAGTTAAGAGCATAACCATTTCTGGCATGCTTCTCCTTCAAATGGGAAGAAAGCCAGATGGAGACAGAAAGCCTGCAGTTGCAGTCAGAAGAGAGAAATTTAAATCCCCAGCTCTGTCACTTAGCAGTAGCCACCTTGGGTAAACCATTTAGTCCCTTTTGCTTGACATACATCCTTTCTGTAAAACAGGAATAATTCCCCCATTGCTGGGCTTTTCCTGAGATGTCCTAATCTACTGGTTTTCAAACTTGGTCTCTGGACTGGCAGCATTGGCATCAACCTGGAACTTGGTTAGAAATGCAGATTCTCAGGCCCTTTCCCAATTCTATTGAATCAGAAACTCTGGAGATGCGGCCCAAGAATCTGTGTTTCAGCAAGGTCTCCAGGGGATTCTGGTGTATGCTAACATTTGAGAACCCGACTTCATATAATGCCAGAAAACATTTATTTTATTTTATTTTAGATTCAGGGGGTACATGTGCAGGTTTCTTCCATGGGAATTTTGCGTGATGCTGAAGTGGGTTTCTGTTGATCCAGTCACCCAAAGAGTGATTATAGTACCCAACAAGTAGTTTTTCAACCCTTCCCCTCTCTTTCCCTCCCCTCTTTTGGAGTCTCCAGCATCCATCATTCCCATCTTTGTGTCCATGTGTACCCAATGAATAGCTCCCACTTATAAATAAGAACAGGCAGCATTTGGTTTTCTGTTTCTGCATTAATTCCCTTAGGGTAATGGCCTTCAGCTGTATCTGTGTTGCTACAACAGACATGATTTCATGCTTTTTTACGGCTGCATAGTATTCTATGGTTTAAATGTATCACATTTTCTTTATGCAATCCACTGTTGATGAGCACCTACATTGGTTCTAGGTCTTTGCTATTGTGAATATGGCTGTGAAGAACATACAGGTGCAGGTGTCTTTTGGTAGAATAATTTATTTTCCTTTAGGCGTATACCCAGTCATGGGATTGCTGGGTCAAAGGGTACTTCTACTTTTAGTCCTTTGAGTAATCTTCAAACTCCTTTCAATAGGGACTGAACTAATTTATATTCCCACTAACAGTGTATAAGCATTTTTTTTTCTTCTATACAATCTTGCCAATATCTGGTGGGGTTTTTTGACTTTTTATTAATAGCCATTCTGACTGGTGTGAGGTGGTATCTCATTGTGGTATTGACTTGCATTTCTCTAATGATTGATGATGACGAGCATTTTTTCATATTTGTTAGCCACTTGTATGTCTTCTTTTGAAAAGTGTCCGTTCATGTCCTTTGCCCGCTTTTTAATGGGGTTATCTGGGGTTTTTTTTCTTGTTGATTTGTTTAAGTTTCTTATAGAATCTGAATATTAGTACTTTGTCAGATATATACTTTGCAAATATTGTCTCCCATTCTGTCAGTTGTCTGTTTACTCTGTTGATAGTTTCTTGTGCTGTGCAGAAGCTCTTTAGTTTAATTAGGTCCCAGTTGTCAAGTTTTGTTTTTGTTGCATTTGCTTTTGAGGTCAGTAAACATTTACAGTCTGCAGATGAAATACTGGATCTCATCTGTGGTCACTTTGCCACTAGCACACAGCTTGTGCTCTCTGCCACTGGAAATATAAGACTCTCCAAAGTTAGACTCCTGTAGAATGGCCCACATTCAGAGGCTGCTATTACCAAGGGTACTGGTGGTTTACCTGGAAAGGCATGAGCAGGGTCACATGCAACCCTCTATCCAGGGAGGTGTGAAAGTAGCTGAATCAGCTCTGCGTGGTTTCATTGTGCTGGGACCTTCTTCACCCCCACTAGCAATGTCACAAAGCAGAACACACGCCAATCAACTCCTTGTTCTATTGTATATGGGCCCTACAAAAGGAGTATACACTGTGCTGGGTCCCCAGCAGCCTCATTTCAGATATAGGATATGTCTGTCTAAATACTTTCTGCCCCACCTCTGACCCTGTAAATCAAGGCAAAAAGTCAGGTATCAAGGGTGACCAACCATCCCAATTTGCCCAGGACTAAGAGATTTCCCAGGACATGGGTTTTTCAGTGCTAAAACCAGGGATGTCCCAGGCAAATCAAAACAGTTGGCCAGGCCGGGCACGGTGGCTCATGCCTGTAATCACAGCACTTTGGGAGGTCAAAGCCCATGGATCACTGAAGGTCAGGAGTTCGAGTCCAGCCTGGCCAACATGGTGAAACCCTGTCTCTACTAAAAACACAAAAAATTAGCTGGGTGTGGTGGTACAAGCCTGTAACCCCAACTACTCACAAGGCTGAGGCAGGAGAATTGCTTGAATCTGGGAGCCAGAGGTTGCAGTGAGCCAATATGGAATCACTTGCACTCCAGCCTGGGTGACAGAGTAACACCCTGTCAAAAAAAAAAAAAAACCGCTGACCACCTTACAGTGAGACAGCACACACTGCAGAAGGGCTTCTTGAGAGATATTTACCACACTCATCCCTGAGAAGGAGCAGGGAACCCTCTTAGAAGTCTGCTGAGCCCCACAAGGATGGAAATAAAGAAAAATCTTGAGTTCCTTTGTGAGCATCTTGGTAAGCAAGAGGAAACCCGGGCCCCACCAAACAGATCTGCTGGTGTGTAGACCTCAGATAAGGGGGATCTGAGGACTGAACTTTTACTGCTATTCTTTGTTCTAAATTTCTTCCTGCAGAGCCTGGAGGAAGTCACAACCACAGGCCAGACCTTAACATTCCTTTCTGCTGACCCCAAGTTTTTAGACAAAGCTTTACTTCCTTACCCAATCACAAATCAGAGTCTTTGAATCCACCTCTGGCCTGCAAGCCTCTCCACTTCAAAATATCCTGCCTTTTTCGGCCAAACCAATGTATAACCTCCATATATTGGTTTACAATTTTGCCTGTAATTTCTACTTTCCTGAAATTTACCCCTGCCTTTAAAAATCCTTGCTGGCAAGCCATCGGGGAGGTCAGGTCTTAAGCGTGAGCTGCCCAATTCTCCTTGCTTGGTGCCCGGCAAATAAATGCCCTCCTTTCTCCTGCTGCAAAACCTCGGTGTGGATGTTTGGCTTTACTGCATTGGGTGAGCGGACCCCAGTTAGATTTGGTAACATCCTGAGTCTTCTCTGATCCAAACAGATTTACTGACCAGTGCCCTGTCTTAGTCTTTGATTTCAAGCCTGTTTCTATTAATAGTTTTCTGGACCTGATGACTGTACTGTCTTACTGATGTTTGACCATTGGTTTCCCCTACTACATTTTGAGTAGATCCACATCTCTGGTTCTCACAGATGGTGCAATCACAGCTCACTGCAATCTCCAACCCCTCAACACAAGTGATCCTCTTGCCCCAGCCTCCCAAGTAGTTGAGGCTACAGGGGCATACCACCATGCCTAAGTCACATGTTTTGAGCCTACCCACTGTGCTCCACTTCTTAGCATTCTTAACCTATAAAACAACTTCACGTATGTTATCTCAAGAATGACCTCATGATAAATCTGACACCAACCCTATGAAACAGGGAAAAAGGTACCATTGTCTTGTTCCTGATGAACTGATGGATGCCCAGAAGGAACAAGTGACTTATGACCCCAACAGTTAAAACCGCCATTTAAACTGCTCATGATGTTGTAGGTCAGAAAGTCTTGGCTGACGGTGCATCTCTGCTGTCTGTGTCACCAGCTGGGCAGGCAAGGACTGGAGCATCCACTTCCAAGAGAGCTTGCTCACTCTCATGTGTGGTGCCTCGGTACTCTTTGGCTTCTGTCAATCTACAGTTGCCACATCTTCCAGGCCCTCTCCACGTGGCTCAGATTTTTTACTACACAGAGACCTCATGGTGAACACACTTCTAAGGCAGATGGCTCCCAAGAACAGGAAGTGGAAGCTGCCAGGCCAGCAAAGAGCTATGCCTGAACTGACCCTGAGTCATTTTTTCTGTGCCCTCTTTATTAAAGTAGTCACAAGGCCTGCTTGGGGTCAAAGGGATGGACACTCTCCACTTCCTGATAAGGTAGAATAAAGTCAGGCTGAGGGATTATTCTGGTCACCTTTGCTCCATGTCAGGACCTTGATTTCCAAAATCCCATTTCCTATTGCTTCCCAACAAATGACACTTTTGTTTTTTTTTAGACTGAGATCTTGCTCTATCACCCAGACTGAATGGCATGGTGTCATCATAGCTCAACTGCAACCTTGACTTCCTGGGCTCAAGTGGTCCTCCAGTCTCACCGTCCTGAGTAGTTGGGACTACAGGTGCGTGCCACCACACATGGCTAATTTTTTTATGTGTTGTAGAGATGAGGTCTTGCTATGTTATCCAGGCTGGTCTTCAACTCCTGGCCTCAAGTAATCCTTCCACCTCGGCCTCCCAAAGTGCTGGAATTGCAGGCATGAGCCACCACACCCGACCAGATAACACTTCTTGATTATGTACCAAATGTAAATGATGCACATATATATATATTTACCTTAGCAGAACATAAGTGCTTCATTCATCCCTTGTCTAACATTTTCCCCAAGAAAACAATTTGAATTTAGCCCAATTTTTGGCAATTATAAATTCACCAGTGGATGGTAAATTTTTGTAAGCCAATAAAACACACATCCAGAATCAGCTCTTCTGAAATTAGTAGCGATTCTAGAAATAAGTTTGCAAATCAAATGATCAATTCTAACAAAATCGGAAGGGGGACATTGAATCTACTTAAGAAAATTAACTCTGGATACTTGACAATCACGTTATCAGCATCATTTTCATGTAAACATTCTGCTCTTATCAAAGATTCTTATCTAATCATTAAAGTAGGCCTTGTACTTGGCTAAATGCTTGTCATAATTTCACAATTTTCACTCACTAGGGCTGGCCACCCTCCAAGATATTCCAATTAAGAGTTTATTACTCTGTCACACTTTCAGGAGCCTGAGTAGACATATAGTTAAATTCTATCTAAAGGACATATCCCAGGCTATAGCTGCTCTGTTTCTGTGTGATTTTTTTTTTTTTGCCTTGTGTTTCTAATGAAAATAATCTATTGATCCTGTTCAAAAGAGGAACACACAGCTCCAAATCATTACCTCCTGGCAGTAACTAATTTTTGAGTCCTATCTGCTTCACCACACTCCTTTAATGGCAGTTGAATAAATATCTAAAATGCAGACTTTTCAGTCCTTTTTGAAGGATAGTGTCTTCCAAGAAGGGGGCGAAAATCAATAAAACCAACAAATATTTACCGAGCATCAAACTATGTGTTCAATGCCAAGCTAGACACCCTCAGGGTCTTTGTCCTTAAGGAGGTTACACACAGCAGTGGAAACAAGATAAGGTCAAAAGGGTAATTCTGAACTGCCTGAAAGGGAACTCAAACCTGCCATTTGACCTTCCCTTGCTCCTGATCAAATAACAGCTCAGGGGACCAGGGATGGACATGTGACCAAAGGCAGCCAGTGCGAGTTATTGCTTGTGTGTGTGGCCTGGCTCAGGGAGATAAACTGGTACAATCCAATTCTCACCAGAATTTAGGCTAAAAGGCATAGAAGTTTTTGCCAACGGGGGTGGTGAGCACTAGAGCTGAAAGGTCATATTGATTTAGGGAATAGGGCAAACAATTTTCCACAAAAAAAGGGCTAATCTGCACAAAGAGATGAATTGCACAAACCCACAGCACACAATCAGAAAGAGAAAGAGAAGACAGGTTTCAGTTTGCGATGCCCAGACACAGTTTCCCAGAGACTGGTTCTACTTTGATTTCTTTCCTCGGATTCTGTGAGATCTCTTTACAAGACAACAGCTCCTTTTTGGGCCTCAGATGGTTTGACTATATTCTGTAACTTGGAACCCAAAAACCCAAAAGAAGCTCATGCACTTATGTACTAAATGCCACATTGGCCAGGTGCGGTGGCTCACGCCTATAATCCCAGCACTTTGGGAGGCCAAGGTAGGTGAATCACCTGAGGTCAGGAGTTCAATACCAGCCTGGTCAACATGGCAAAACCCCATCTCTACTAAAAATACAAAAATTAGCCAGGCGTTGTGACAGGCACCTGTAATCCCAGCTACTTGGGAGGCTGAGGCAGGAGAATCGCTTGAACCAGGGAGGTGAAGGTTGCAGTGAGCTGAGATTATGTCATTGCACTCCAGCCTGGGCAACAAGAGTGAAACTCCATCTCAAAATACATAAATAAATGTCACATGAGCAGTGTTGACAATTTTTTGCAACCAGTGTTCACTTGACACAGTGCTGGCTTTGGGCTGCAGTTGAGGACTAGAATTTTAAAACTGAGCGCAACTCAAAATGATGCAGATAATACTGACTCTTTCTAAGCCCAGAGACCTTTTAGATGTTGGCAAATAACATATAACAAAAACTCCTAACCTGTTAGGTTGTCTTAGAATAAAGAACTGGCAAGCCAGGGGGCAAGAGTGGGCAGGAGACTTAATTGGTGCTACATACCTTTTTGTGTTTTTGGATTTTTGTTAACATATGCATATTCAAAAGATGAATAAACAATTTATTTTTTCATAGGCAGCAAACTTGGGCATGAACAAAACATGTAGCAATGCTATGTCTTCCTGAAAACAACATCTCACACTAGAAAAACATTTTGTTATTTGACCTGGTTACCGGGTCTACCACAGTCTGGTTCAAACGAATTTACTCAATCCTGCTGCCAGCAGCCCACCTTCCAGAACATTCCTTTCCAGCCACTCTGGTGTGATACAAAAGTTGCCTTTTTCCTATATATTTTAAAATAATAGTACTCTCTTGCAGACCTATCAATATAATAGGTCCATTTAGAGTCAGTAAGTAAATATTTCAAGAAACTAAAAATCCAAAAACAAACTTATACATAAAAAAGTTGTCTTCTACTTTCTCCGTTCTGAGGTTTTGCTTTTGAGGTTCTACTCAGGAATGCTCTTCTCACCCCAATCCCTCACTCCCATGCCCCTCACTCCTCCAACACCTAGTGCTACCCTCCTGCTCTTCAGCCTCTGAAGAATTTTCCTCTTGAAGCCCTCCCAGATCCCACCAATCAATTTTCCAACCTCACCTATAGTTCATTCAGGCAATTTGTCAGTTTCTCATGTCTCTTCCAACCAGGGACTGTATGGTCTATAACCCTAAAATAAATATTAGTTCTTTCTTGGCTTAAACCATTGCTACTGACATTGTATGGCTATATAACCTCTCACAGGTAGACCCTGCTTCTCTAGAGATCAGGGACTATGGCCTACTTCAAATTCCCTAACTGAATATAGAAGGTTCCCAGCAAACATGAATCAATTAATTGAAAGCTATACATTAAAAATTTTTATTAGCACACACACATACAAAAATCAGAAGACCTGGGCCAGGCGTGGTGGCTCACACCTGTAATCCCAGCACTTTGGGAGGCCAACGCCAGGGGATCACTTGAGGTCAGGAGTTCCAGACCAGCCTGGCCAACATGGCGAAGCCCCACCTCTACTAAAAATACAAAAATTAGCCAATGGTGATGGTGGGCACCTGTAATCCCAGCTACTCAGGAGGCTGAGGCAGGAGAATCACTTGAACTCAGAAGGTGGAGGTTGCAGTGAGCCGAGATCGTGCCATTGCACTCCCGCCTGGGTGACAGAGTGAGACCCCATCTCAAAAAAAAAAAAAATTAGAAGACCCACATTCCCAATTCATCCAGCTGCATCAATCGTTCACTGTGTTTCCATAATCTTCTCAAAGAGCTACTATAGTCAATTTCCAATTATTTGTGTCAGTGGGGAACAGGAACAGTCTGAAAACTGAAACCCACAAATAATCCATACATTTAATTTTGGTGGATGCTTCCAGCCAGTATGAAAATTTCCCACTGTGAATGTCACCGTTGTTCCTGCCCCTCCTCTGTGGCAGGAGCAAACATTACCAAAACATCACATTAGCAGGGAGAAGGGAAAACCAGGGTTCGAAGGATCTGGGGACTGGCTAATCATGGCTTATCAGACTGCAAATAATGAAGCCTGACTGAGTCATAAGAGGGATTGCCCAATGTGGTGGCAAAGGACAGAGTGGATTTGTAGGATCCCACTCTGAATTCCAACTCATAATCGCACTCTGACCCCTCGGGCCACCAGCTATATGTGACCCTTGGCTAACTCAGCCAACTGTGCTGCCATTTCTTCATTCTGGACTCTGCAGCAAAGACACATGTGGAAAATAGAACAAGAGGCAGGGGGCGGTGGCTCATCCCTGTAATCCCAGCGCTTTGGGAGGCCAGGGCAGGCAAATCACCTGAGGTCAGTTCGAGACCATCCTGGGCAACAAGGCAAAACTCTGTCTCTACTAAAAATACAAAAATTAGCCTGGCATGGTGGTGGGCGTCAGTAATCCCAGCTACTCGGGAGACTAAGGCATGAGAAAGTCTTGAACCTGGGAGGCGGAAGTTGCAATGAGTCGAGATCATGTCGGTGTACTCCCACCTGGGCAGCAGAGCAAGACTCTGTCGAAAGAAAGAAAGAAAGAAAGAAGGAAAGAAGGAAAGAAGAAAGGAAGGAAGGAAAGAAGGGGAGAAGGAAAGAAAAAAAAGAAAGAAAATAGTACAAGAATCACACTAGCTAGTGCCAAATTAACTTCATTCAATTAGCAAATATTATTGCACACACTACGACAGGTGCCAATTATACATATATATGTATGTGTGGATTGATGGGTGTGTGTATAACATACATACAAAGCAAACACTGTGCTTGGAAATATTAGATATGCTCAAATTGAAACGGGACTGATTTAAGAAGCATTCCATAGGGCAACTATCTATCAGAGTCTTGAATGCAAATGGCACTTGGATCTACTCATTTTTGATGACATTTTAGAATGATAACCCAAAGGCAGGGGTTGTTTTGTTTTTGTTTCTGTTTTTAGAGTTGGGTTCTCACTCTGTCACCCAGGCTGGAGTGCAGTGACTCTACCATAGCTCACTACAATCTTGAACTCCTGGGCTCAAGTGATCCTCCCACTTCAGCCTCTCCAGTAGCTGGGACTATAGGCGTGTGCCACCACGTCCAGTTAATTAAAAAAACAAAAATTTCTGTAGAGATGGAATCTTACTATCTTGCCCAGGCTGGTCAACAGTCTCAAGTGATCTCCCCTCTTCAGCCTCCCAAAGTACTGGGATTACAGGCATGAGCCACTGCACCCAGTCTTTGTTTTTTTAAATCCAGGCTGCCAAGTTAATGTGCTTTCAAAATATATAAGAACTAATGTATTTCCTCTAGTCTCCTCTGAGTTGGGAACGTGTTAAATGTTGCCAACAACTTGCCTGAGGGCTGGCTCTGGCCATAGAAGTGTTTGGCTCTCCCAACGTGGGTGGTCTCCTGTTCACCAGCATCTCCTCTCTGCCTACTTTTTTTTTTTTTTTTTTTTTGAGACAGCTTCCCTCTGTCACTCAGGCTGGAATCTTGGCTCACTGCAACCTCCACCTCCTGGGTTCAAGCAATTCTTGTGCCTCAGCTTCCCAAGTAGCTGGGATTACAGGCATGCACCACCATGTCTGGCTAATTTTTTTTGTATTTTTAGTAGAGACAGGGTTTCACCATATTGGCCAGGCTGGTCTCCAACTCCTGGCCTCAAGTGATCTGCCCACCTCGGCCTCCCAAAGTGCTGGGATTACAGGCAAAAGCCACTGCGCCCGGCCCTCCCCGCCTACTTCTGCCAGGGCACAGAGGGAACATGTCAATTGCTCTCATCACCTGACACCTGACCTCCCTACCAATTTTCATTTTCTACCTGGCTTCTCTAGGCATTTATATCTCCATTCTGCAGCCTACTGTACTTTCTAAATTGCAGCAAAAATATGTCCCATCCCACAGTTCTTCTTACAATGCTACTCTGATACTCTTTCCATCAAGATATAGAGGTCTAAGCTCCTTTCTCTTGCATTTATACATGTCTGTGGACTACAGTACAAGTGACACTATGTGACCTCCAAGGCTAGGGCAATTTCCACCCAGTGAGGTGCTGGAGCTCATACCAGCTCTTGAAAGCTAATTGTATACATCTTTTCCCAATTGTATGTTCAGTAGTTTGAAATTAGCCATTCTGGGATTATTTACTCCATGGAAATTAGCAAACACTACAAATTAGGGCTTTTTCTGTCCCAGGAAGCCAATTGTTCAACATTTGCTAGCAGGCTGCTTCACCTGCTTCTTTTGTGAGCTCACGCTCAGAACTAAGCTGCCATGTTGTAAGGAAGGCTGAGCAGCTTGTGAAGAGGCCCAGATGGAGGGAAACTAAGACCCCTGGTCCTCATCCCCCACTGAGCTCCTAGCTCACATCCAGAACCAACTTGTCAACCATGAGAGAGCTCTCCCAAAGTGGATTCTCCAGCTCCCAGCTGATGCCACAAAGAGCAAAGACCAGCCTTCCCAAGGATCCCTGTCCAGTTGCAGATTCATGGACAAAATTGCAAATTCATGAGAAACTATTGAGGTTAGGGATGACTTGTTCAGCAGCAATAGTGACCAGAACATAGTTCCTGGTAGCTTGGAGTAGTTCAGCTCTGCCTTGCATAGGCCCTTTTACCTTTAATCCACCAGCTTTGCCCTTGTTTTCTGGTTCCCACAATGTTTCACATCCAACACAAATTCAAGTGCACTCGGCCATTTTTTTGGATCAAGGCTGACATCCTCCCCTCCAATAGTTCCAGGATCTCTATCCCTAGCTGCTCACAGTTCAGCGCACAATGACTTGAGTTGGAGTTTGTCTGCTTCTGTTTTCCTGAATCTCTTGCTCCAGGTATTCCTGACTTGAAAGTGCACACTTCCTACAAAGCAGAAACCTAAAGAGTTCTGCTCCTCTGTATCCACTGCTGTCATTTGGGATGCTTCCTCTCTGGCTATTGCAATGTACCTGACATTTTGGAGGAAATAGGAAACATCCTTATTTAGCACTACCTGAAAAGTTTTCCTCTCTGTCATGAATTACTGAAGCTACCTTACTTCCCATAACTCACTTTCAGACATGCCATCTGCCACAGTTTAAGTTTGTCCCCACCAAAACTCTTGTTGAAATTTGATTCCCCAATGTGGCAGTGTTAGGGGGTGGGGCCTAGTGGGAGGTGTTTGTTTCCTCGGGGTGGGCCCCTCATGAACGGCTTAGTACATTCTCCTGGTAGTGAGTTCTCACTCTGGCAAGACCGGGTTAGTTCCCTCAAGTGCAGGTTGTTATAAAGCCAGGATGCCCCTTGGGTTTTACCCCTTTGCACATGTCTGCTTTGCCTTTGACCTTCTCTGCCATGTTATGATGCAGCACAGAAGCCCCTGCCAGAAGCTAGGGCCATGCCCTTGAACTTTCCAGCCTGCAGAACTGTGAGCTAAATAAACCTTTCGTTGTAAATTACCCAGTCTCAGGTATTCTGTTATGGCAACACAAAATGGACTAAGACAAAACTCTTATGTGGCAGAACATGATTTTCTACTCACTTGTTTCATTTCTACCCATGTGTGAATCACATGAATCAGATTCTGTCCTTGCCTTCAAGAACTGCCATCTACTGTGTATATGCACTGAGGGAACTGGGGAAGACTTCTCTCAATCTGGGTTTTAAAGTTGGAATAAAAGTGTAGTTGGCAAAAAGGAAGGAAAGAAAGAAGGAAGGAGGGAAGGAAGAAAGGAAGGGAGAGAGGAAGGAGAAAGGGAAAGAAGGGAGAGAGAGAAGAAGGAAGGAAGAGAGGAAGGAAGAGAGAAAGGAAGAGAGGAAAGAAAGAAGGAAGGAAGAGAGGAAGGAAGAGAGGAAAGAAGGGAGGAAGGAAGGAAGGAAGGAAAGGAAATATTCATTACTTCTAGGCAGAAGGAAAAATATGGATGGGTTTGGAGAAGAGCAAGAATTTGGATATATTTGGAGCAAAAGGTACACAGAGAGTTCAGAAGATGGCTTGGGGTCAGATTAAGTTTGACCTTTATTCTATGGGCAATGTAGAGTTACTGAAAATAAGACAGAATAACATGATCTGATCTGCATTTTCTAAAAATAACTCTTTTAGAGGCAGATTGGAAAATGGCTCAAATGGGGACTTAATTGCAGGAAAGGAGGACAATCTGAAGGCCATTGCTTGGCCAGAGGCAATGAGGACTGGAAATGAGGTGGTGACCATTGGAACAGAGGAGAGATGGGACTTGTGGGTTAAACATCAGAAGATTTGATGAGTGCTTGCATCTGGAGGCTGCAGGGAGGCTTAGAGGGATTAGACTGTGTGGAGGAGGAAGAGGAGGAGCAGGAGGAGTTATATAATGGTAGCAGAAGTAGCTTCAGCAGCAAACACATATATGACACTATATGCCAAGCATTATTTTAAGGGCTTTATTATTATATCATTATTTAATTCTCACAGCAATCCTGTGAAGTAGATTTTATTATTATTATCTCAGTTTCACAGATGATGAAACTGAGGCACAGGGAGATGAAGTCACATACACAAAGTCACAGAGCTGGAATATTTTAAATCAGGCTCTTAATGATTTCCCAGAACTGCCTCTCCAGGGAATTAACATGAGGCAAAAATATGTAGGGTGGCAATCAGACTATGAAGCAGTGTACCCAGATCCTAGAGTGGGGGAAATGAAGACGAGGAAGAAAGGTCTTTTGAAGGAAGAAACAGAGCTAGGTAACAGTAAGAGCTGAGGGACTGCCAACCTCTACTTCCTTTCCCACTTCAGTCTCCCTAGCTTTTCATGGCCAATGGCCTCCAAAACCCCTACGTAAAAGCCGACACTCTTGTTGTGTGTCAGGACACCCATCAGTAACCACGGTTCTGCTGCCCTGAAATCCTGGCATGATCCCAAACTTTGGACCCAGTGTCTCAGTCCCAAGTCCTCCACTGATGCCAAACATACCTGGAGTCAATACTATAGGTAAGTCCCCAGGAACAGCTTCCTTTCCTCCTTCTCCCACTGACCCTTCTGCACAGCCAGTTGACAGCCTTATCCTTGGCTCCATCACACACTCTGCCAAGTACTTCAGAACATGTCTCTGGGCTGGGCACTGTGGCTCATGACTGTAATCCCAGCACTTTGGAAGGCCGAAGTGGGAGGATTGCTTGAGTCCAAGATGAGCCTGGGCAACACAGCAAGACCCCATCTCTACAACAAATAAAAAATAATTAGCCAGGCATGATAGTACATGAGAGCTACTTGGGAGGCTGAGGCAGGAGGATCACTTGATCCCGGGAGGTTGAGGCTGCAGTGAGCTCGCCACTGCACTTCAGCCTGGATAACAGAGTGAGACCCCATTTAAAAAAGAAAAAAAAACAAGCCTCTGGCCAGAGCCTGGCCCACAAGCTCTCATGCTTCTTTATGAGCCAATACCTACCTAAACCACCACCGAATCCTATACACAGCCACATACTAGCTGCCACCCAGAAACCCTGCTGCTGTGCTCCCTTGACTGATGGTTCCTTGGAGCTCACCCCTTCTAGAATTAACAATGAGACTGATGGATGCCCTCAGACTCTGTGCCTGGAGCTAGGTCAGCTTTCACCCACACCTGCCTTGGCCTAGGTGATTGCGTTTTGTGCCCTGTCTCTCTCTTGCACCACCCTGGCTGACCCAATGTCTGTCAAGGACAATGATATCTCTGGACAAAGCTGTGCCAAACCACAGCTACAGGAAGGAGGAAAGTGACAGCAGAGTCAGAGCCGGCGGCAATGTTTCCAGCCTGGGAGGAGTAATAGCACCGCAGAAGGAGAGTAGCAGGAAGGGCGTGGGGCCGTTTTGTTCCCTTTCTTCTGGGTGGGTGAGATCCACACAGCATCGCCACTCTTGTTGTGCAAGCAGCTGTGCCCATCAAACCATCTGCGTCACAGAATGCCAAGGGACTCACGCAGGGCTTGCATCTGCTTGGGGGTGGGGAGACGAGGCTTCAGGCTGACTCAAGGGCTGTTGTGCAGCGCTGCTCATTCTAGCACGCCTTTCCAGTGGGGCCAATTTGCCACTGCACAAAGCCCATGAGCTGCTGATCTGTGGCCATTTGTGGGTCGTTTGTGCTCACTAATGAGGATTGGTTGTCACCGAAGGCCTGATTTCCGTAGCCGGGCATTATTTCTGCATGGAATTCCAAGCGAATTTGCAAATGGCCTAAAGACACAGGGTACTTTATTTCAAGACACAGCTTCTAACCACACCAAGAATTCTTGAAGCATTCAGAGCACTAACAGTAAAGGGCTTGGCCTTGTGACCCCCGACAAGTGGTTACTTTGGGTGTTTCTTAATGATACTAGGGTTTTGACCTCAGCAACTGCCATCCCACATGAAGAATGAATGCTCGTTTCTGTATGCCTTCTTTAGAGCCTTGCCTTCTATCCTCATAGGATAATTTAACAATGATGGCTAATCTCAGACTATTCTGGAGAGCAACAATTACCAAGCTGGTGTTCATTAACAATAAGCAAAGTGATAGACTGTGTGCATAGTAGTGTGGGTAGATGATTGATTGGCTGGCTGGCTGGATGGATGGATGGATGGATGGATGGATGACGGATGATAGGTAAGTGGGTGAATGAGTGGATGGATGGTTGGATGGATGGATGGATGGATGGATGGATAAATGAGTGGACAGATGAGCAGATGGATGGACAGATGAATGGACAGATGGATGGATGAGTGGATGAACGGATAGGTGGATGAGTGGATGAATGGATGGTGAGTGAGTGGATGGATGAGTGGATGGATGGATGAATAGATGGATGGATGGATGAGTGGATGGATGGATGGATGGATGGTTGGATGGATGGATAAATGAGTGGATAGTTGAGCAGATGGATGGACAGATGAATGGATAGATGGGTGGATGAGTGGATGAACAGATAGGTGGATGAGTGGATGAATGGATGGTGAATGAGTGGATGGATGGATGAATGTATGGCTGGACAGACAGATAAAAATCTCTGTCCAATATGTCATGCCTCACCATTTGGAAAAGGTAAAATGGGGTCACATTAGAATGAATTCAAACCCCCTCAACTTACCCAAGAAGAAAAATAACCCTTATCCAAGGGTCCTCCAGTTATTTCTGGCAGCCCACAAACACCCTGGCTCCCACTTGGACTCCACCATTGTAATTCCCCTCAAGGGAGTAATGCAGCTGCCCTTGTAGCAGTCCCTGTGTGGGAAACTTATGCAAGAGCCAAGGGCGATCCCAAAATTGCCATTCCCCAGCCTGGCCAGGGAGTGCTGGATGCCCTCGGAGATTCCTCCCCAGCTTCACATTACTCATCAGCCCTGATAGTGATGAGAGGCCAGTACATTCTCTGGAATCTTTCTGATGAAGGGCTGGTCCATGGACCTGGAGTATCAACATCACCTAGAAGCTTGGTAGAAATGCCCAGGTCCCAGAGATTCTTATTTAATGGGTGTGGGGTGCAGCAGAGGCATTGGGAGTTCATTTTATTTTGTTTTTGAAACGTCTCATGGTGCAGTCATGGCTCACTGCAGCCTCAACCTCCTGGGCTCAAGGGATCCTCCTACCTCAGCCTCCCCAGTAGCTGGGACTACAGGCACACGCCAGCACACCTGGCTAATTTTCTTATCTTTTGTAGAGATGGGGTCTCTCCATGTTGCCTAGGCTGGTCTCGAACTCTGGGCTCAAGCAATCCTCCTGCCTTTGCCTCCCAAAGTGCTGCAATTACAAGGGTGAGCCACTGCATCCGGCCAACATCAAGACTTCCTCAATCTCCCCAAGTGTTTCTAATGTGTAGCTGAGCTTGAAACCACTATCCCCACTGCTTCTCAAACTGTAATGTGCTGAGGAATCACCTAGAGAACTGATTAAAATACAGATTCTGATTCTGTTAGGTCAATGATGGGGCCTGGGAATCTGCATTGCTGCAAGCTCCTGGGTGGCGCTGGTGCTCCTTATCCAACTATGCTTTCCACAGCAAGAATGTGCAGGAGTTCTCTCAGCCCCATTCTTGGACCCCCCAAACGAGAGCCTCAACCCAGTCAAAGGGACAGAACTGGAAACACCCACCACACCAAGTTTTTCCTCCCCCTCTTCTCCCCTCTCTGTTTCCCCAGTTAGTAAGTCTCCTGTAAAAATTAAAAATCTAGAGTATGGAAAGGGGTGGGAGGGAGGAATCGAGATTATATGTGTGTGGTCTGAAGGAACACTCCAGGGGTATGCCTCAGGGATCTGTCCTGTGTGTGATGCGGGATGTGGAAGAGGTTGCCAAAATGAGCAATGTCTGAACATCATCTCAGCCACCTACCCATATCCCCCCAAAAAATGTGACCATGAGAGAAAGAAAGAGAGAGAGAGAGAGAGAGAAGTATTACCAGCGTAAAACTATGTTAAAGGGTTAAAGCTCTGTTTGCATTTACCCTTAAGATCTCAAGGAAGCTTACAGAAAATTACAAGCATGTTTAATAATCCCTAAAGAGGTCATTTAAATAAACCATTTGTTAGAAACCAGAAGTTTCAACTCAAACACAATTTGGAATTGGCTAACATGTGATGGGTTTTAGACACAAGCAAAATCAGTACAGGTTTCATAGCAACACTACTGGAACCTGCCCGGAGCACAGAGCTGCCAAGTTCAACAGCCATTCCTCACATCCAGTGACCCTAAAGAAGTGTTGCTGTCACCTCCGTGCCCACCCCATGCCCTCAGCTGGCTCCTTTCTGGACTTGTGCAAAATCTCCTAATGCTTCTCCTACCCCCAGCCCCTCCTCACTGTAGCCCACAGTCAACCTTCTACAGGCAAAGGGCTTATCACGTCTCTGTCCTAATCCGAGCTTTCCACTGATTCTTCATGGCCCCCAGAATGAACCCTAAGTTCCCCAGGCTTGACACTCAGAGTCCTGTGTGCATTGACCCCAAAGGACCATTTTCCCCCAAAGCTCCCTCCCGCCTCTAGCTGTGTGCTGCAAGCCCGGAGCTCAAACTGGCCTCTCACCATTTCCCAAGTGCCTCCAGGCATTAATTCATTCTATTTCCTCCACCTACAATGCCCTCTGTCCTTCCAGCTCCTGTTCTGTTCTTTTGTACCTGTCAGAGAGAGTAATCTTTGTTCGCAAAGAGACAGAATTAACTGTGAAAAGCAGGAATTAGAGCTCAAGTGGGGCGGCCTATGCAGCCAAGCACTTAGGCACTCAAGAGTGCAAGTCTCTTGAACTGAATGGATTCCAAAGGAATGCTACGAACTTATTAATTAGACTGCCAAGCCAGTAGCAGAAGCAGCAAAGAGTAGACCTGAAGATGTACAAGCTGATTTCTGCTTCCCAGAAATTGCAAGAGTGATGTTCAAATATATTTGACCACCTGTAAGGCAAAGACACTGACCAATCAGAAGGCAGCAATGGCCTGGAGTCCTGGAGGCCGCCTGATGGGTTTAGCCTTTGGTTGACAGACCGTGGTTGGGGGTTGGCGGGGCTGGGGGAGCGGGTGGACTCAGGAAGTTTCCTGATGGAGCTTGGAGGTGGGAGAGAGACCTGCGGAGAGGCCAGGAAAGCCTGAAGAGTAGTGGGAACAGGGCCATCCAGGGGCTCAAGACAACAGCTGGCTAGCCCTCTTTTTGGAAGTTCCCCTCCCACCCTCAGAACCAAGAATGTATCTTGCTTTTGCCAGTTTTCTGAAAGAGAAGGAGATTGGAACCCTGCCTCTAAACCCAAGAGAGGCCTAAACCAGTGTGCTTTGTATTGATCCAGGAAATGTTATAGAGCAGATGGTTTTTGAGCTCTTAAAACAGGAAGCAGCATAGTTTCATTAAGAACTTGCTGTACCAGACCAGACACAGTGGTCCTTGCCTGTAGTAGCCCTTTGGAGGCCAAAGCAGGAGGATTACTTGAGGCCAGGAGTTCAAGACCAGCCTGGGCAACATAGTGAGACCACATTTCTACAAAAAAAATTAAAATTAACTTGGGCATGGTGGTGCACACCTGTAGTCCCAGCTACTCAAGAGGCTGAGGCAGGGACATCTCTTGAGCCCACTGAGTTTGAGTGAAGCCTGAGCAATATAGCAAGACCCCATCTCAAACAATAAAAATTTAAAAATTAGCCAGGCATGGTGGCCTGTGCCTGTAATCCCAGCTACTCAGGAGGCTGAGGCAGAAGGATCACTTGAGCCCAGGAGGCTAAAGCTGCAATGAGTTGTGATGGTGCCACTGCACTCCAGCCTGGGTGACAAACAGAGATGTCATCTCAAAAAAAATTTTTTTTTTTTGCTCTACCAAGTTAGCCTCACATCCGGTTTTCCCATTGGGTACAAGTTTCTTGATAACAGGCCACACATGGTTTTAGGGTTGCAGCATTTCTGTTCTGCCCATCTGAACCCACTTCATCCCCACTTGCTCCCATCCCTCCAAGGACCCAAGATCAATGCTACCCAGAGGCAAGGTCCTCAATTTCTGCAGCTCATTATTAGGCTACTGTTGCTTGTAGTCTGCCCCTGACCTCATGCCCAAGTTCAGATCATTGCCTTATCCCCTAAAAAAAATTAGTATTATTTTTAAAGAAGTGCCTTCATACTTATTGGTCCCCTTTTAGCTACTACTGCATTTCTCTGCCTCCTTTCAGAGTAAAGGTTACTGAAAAAAATGTGCAGTCACTTCCCCATAGTCTCACTTCCCCACTCACTCTTCAACACCCAATGCCACTGAAATGGTCTGGCAAACACCACCTCTGCCCTGCCTTGTACTAAAGCCAATGAATACTCTTCAGTCTTCATTCTAATTGATCTCTCCTTTTGTTTTTTTTTTTTGAGACGGAGTCTCGCTCTGTCACCCAGGCTGGAGTGCAGTGGCACAATCTCAGCTCACTGCAACCTCTGCCTCCTGGATTCAAGCAGTTCTCCTGCCTCAGCCTCCTGAATAGCTGGGATTACAGGCATGCATCATCACACTCAGCTAATTTTGTATTTTTAGTAGACACGGAGTTTCACCATGTTGGCCAGGCTTGTCATGAGTTTCTGACCTCGTGATCCGCCCACCTCAGCCTCCCAAGGTGCTGGGATTACAGGCATGAGCCACTGTGCCCAGCTGACCTCTCTTAACATCTGCCCTCATATCTACCTGACTCTCCTTCTCAGTCTTTTTCTTTCAATCGAGATAGGGTCTCACTCTGTTGCCCAGGCTGGAGTGCAGTGATGCAAACATGGCTCACTGCAGCCTGGAACTCCTGGGCTCAAGGGATCCTCCCACCTCAGCCTCTTGAGTAGCCGGGACCACAGGCGCGTGCCACCACACCTGGCTAATTTCTTAAATTTTAAATTTTAAATGGGGTCTCATTATGTGACCCAGGCTGGTCTCAAACTCCTGGGCTCAACAATTCACCTGCCTCTGCCTCCCAAACTGCTGGGATTACATGCCTGAGCCACTGCACTTGGTCCTTCCCAGTCTTCTTGACAGACCTCCTTCCCCTGCTGGTCATTTATCTTTTCTCTCCATATATGCTAGATGTGTGCATTCATTCCCATGGCTTCGAGACTGCCTGTATGTGCTCTCAACATTCAAATTTGTGTCTCTAAACCCTATCTCTCCTTCTGCTACTGATTCATATTTCCAACATCCTGCCCAACATCTTCATTTGAATGACAAAAAGAAACCTCAAATCTAACTTGGCAACAAGCAAACCATTTACTCCCATCTCCCACAAAAAGAAAGCATTGCTCCATCTTCAAGCCTTCTTTATCTCAGCAAATAGCATCATCATCATCCAAATTCTTATGTACAGAACCTAAGCATATTCTTGATTATTTTCCTCACACCCTACATCTAATCCACAAATATGTTCTATCCACTAAACCTCCAAAATTCATATCAAATATGACCATTTCTCCCATCTCCCTTGCTACTTCCATCATCAAACTACCATTATATCTTGCCTGGACCACTGTCCTAATTGGTCTCCCTGCCTGCACTTTTGCCTCACTACAAAACATTATCCACATAGCAACAAGGATGATCTTTCCAAATCATAAACCAGATCATACTTATGTTCCTAATGAACAATCTTCCCATCACAGCCAAAGTCCTCAGCAAGGTCTGTAAGATCCTACCTAATCTACAAGGCACCTGACCACCTGCTTTACATCATCTTCACCACTCTTTCCCTTCCTGCTCACTACCCTTCAGCTATTCCAGTTTCTCATTCACAAAGGCCAAGCTGATTCCTCTCTCTCTCTCTGCATCTTTGTACCTGTCATTCTTTAGTCATCCCAAGCTCATCCCCCAGATTGTCACATAAAACTGCCTCCTTCTCATGTAGGTCTCAATTAAAATGCCCCTTCTCGTTTCTTTACCATCCCAGCTAATGCTGCCTAACCTAGTTGTTCTCTTTCACATCACCCTATTTTATTTTCTTTGAGCCACTTGGTAACTACAGTTATCTCATTTTCTTATTGCTGCATGTTTATTACCCACCACAGCCATCAGAATACAAACTCCTCAGGGATAGAGGATTCTACCTTTTCTTCATTTGTCACTGTCATTGGCCCATAATAGGTACTCTGTTTGCTAGACTGATGGATGGTTGTATGGAGAGATAGACAGATAGAGGGATGGATGGATTGATGGATGGATGGATAGATGGTTGGGTGGTTAGATGGATGGATGGATGGATGGATGGATGGATGGATGATTAAGTATTTAGATGGATGGATGATGAAAGGGTGGATGAATTGATGGATTGGGTGGTTAGATGGATGGATGAATGGATGGATGGATGGATGGTTAACTAGTTAGATAGATGGATGAATTGATGATTGGGTGGTTGGATGGATGGATGGATGGTTAAGTAGTTGGATGGATAATGAATGGATGGATGGATTGATGATCAGGTGGTTAGATGGATGGATGATGTATGAATGAATGCATAGGTGGGTTGGTGGGTGGGTGGGTGGTTAGATGGATAGATGAATGATGAATGGAAGGATGGATAGATGAGTGAATAGATGCTGACCTCATAAAGGCTTCATCTTAGCCCTTTCTTTACACTTTCCCTAAACATTTTTACCCCTCCATATTCAACTATTATCTCAGGGTTGATGATCCCCAAATCTGTATCTCCCAGTCCACTTCACTTCTGCCCATGTGGATGGATGTATTCAACTGTCTTCTGGACATCTCTAATTAGATGCCTCACAGTGCATCAAAATCAAAGACTCATACTGAAATCTATTTCTCTTCTCAATTTCGTATCCAAATTAAGATTACCATTATGTACTCAGGTGCTAAGGCCAAGATTCTCGGCACCAACCTTCACTCTTTCCTTCCATTCATTACCAAGACCTGTTGATTCAATCCCAGATCTACATACACTCCTGTCCATCCACACCAACTTGCTTTATCATCACCCCCAACAACTCTCACCAGGAGCATGGTTAACAGTTCCACTGTCCTCTCCACCTCTAGGTGTGTACCATGTGCCCAATCCCCTTCACCCTCAAACTACATGGTGTTTCTTTAACCCAAATCTACATATATCAGCCCCCTGTAGAAGTCCCTTTGTGGCTCCCCACTGCCCATGAGGATGAAGTCTGAAGTCTTCAGCCTTTCATATCTGACCTCACCATCCCCCAAGTGCTTGCAGGTTCTCAAGTGTTCCATGCCTTAATGTATCCAACATCTTCTGCTCTCCTACTTTGTATGCAGGATTTATTTTAGGTGTGACCCCTGCAGGGATGCCTCCCCCCAATCCCTCATTTCTCACTCCGGTCTAGATTAGGGACCTCTTCTACCTGCTTCCATCAAACTTGGTTTCTCTTTTATTGCACCCAGGGCATGCAACTTTTTTTGCCTTTGTGCGTATCTGTGAGCTCTCTGAAGGCAATGACAGAGTCCCAAACATCTCTAAATCCTCAATGTTGAGAATAGCACGGACACAGAAAAGGCATTCAAATGTGTGTAGATTGATGGGTTGGAAACTTGTGGGAGTATAACATGTATTTTGGAAAACCTAATAAGGGCTCCAGGCATTTTTGACAGGATAGAGTGATGAACTGGGTTTAACAAGATAAAATTTAATTGGAACAAATGTAAGGTTCTGCCCTTGGGTCCAAAAGGCACAGGTGTGGGAAGAGGGAGCTGCACGTGGTTGCAGTTTATATGAAAAACCTGGGGAGTTAGACTTGTCAGTAAGCTCAGCGTGGGTCAATAGTGTGATCTGACTGCCAAAACAATTAACACAATCTTAGCTTGCGCTGAATGTGTAGTTTCCAGAATGAGAGAAGTGATACATGCAGGGCAATCAGGCCATACTATAGATCTGGGTTCGTTCAGAGCTTCACACTTTAGGAGTCAGACAGTAATACGTGCTGAGAAAAAATACCAGGTGGTAAGAAGACATCAGATCAAGTCTAATGAAAAACACGCGGAGGACCAGATCTGCTTAGCCTTCAGAAGCCTATCTATGCTTAGGTTTAGGTCCATGCTAGCTATCTTCAAACATCCAAGGATGTATAGCCAATTTTAAGGAATTATTTTCTAACCAAGAAGACTGTCCAAAATGTGGACAGGTAGAAAATCTCTTGCCAATGGTGATATCTCAAAGTATGACAGAATTGTCCTTTCAAAAACATGTTGTGACATCACACACACATACACGTACTCACAATTTCCACATGCTACACACCCTGCCCCACCCTTACCTGCTCAACCCCTACCCAAACTTCTGCTTAAAACCCTTCTAAGGCTGTACTGGACTTTTTTTTTTTTTTTTTTTGAGACAGAGTGTCACTCTGTCACCTAGGCTGGAGTGCAGTGATGTGATCTCAGCTCACTGCAACCTCCGCCTCCCAAGTTCAAGCCATTCCCCTACTTCAGCCTCCCAAGTAGCTGGGACTACAGGTGTATGCCACCACGCCTGGTTAATTTTTGTATTTTTAGTAGAGACAGGGTTTCACCATGTTAGCCAGGCTGGTCCTGAACTGCTGACTTCAAGTGATTTGCCTGCCTCGGCCTCCCAAAGTGCTGGGATCACAGGCATGAGCCACTGTGCCCGGCCCACCCCAAGATTTTTTTTTTTTTTTTTTTTTTTTTTTTTTTTAGAGATAGGGTCTTGCCAGGTGCGGTGGCTCATGCCTGTAATCCCAGCACTTTGGGAGGCTGATGCGGGCAGATCACGAGGTCAGGAGATTGAGACCAGCCTGGCTAACACGGTGAAACCCCATCTCTACTAAAAATACAAAAAAAAAATTAGCCGGGCATGGTGGTGGGCTCCTGTAGTCCCAGCTGCTGGGGAGGCTGAGGCAGGAGAATGGCGTGATCCCGGGAGGCAGAGCTTGCAGTGAGCCGAGATCGCACCACTGCACTCCAGCTTGGGCAACAGAGTGAGACTCCGTCTCAAAAAAAAAAAAAAAAAAGAGAGAGAGAGAGATGGGGGTTTCATGCTGGGTGCAGCGGCTCACACCTGTAATCCCAGCACTTTGGGAGGCTGAGGGAAGTGGATCGCCTGAGGTCAGGAGTTTGAGACCAGCCTGGCCAACATGGTGAAACCCCATCTCTACTAATAATATAAAAATAAGCCAGGCATGGTGGTACACGCCTGTAATCCCAGCTACTTGGGAGGCTGAGGCAGGAGAATCGCTTGAACCTGGGATGCAGAGGTTGCAATGAGCCAAGATTGTGCCATTGCACTCCAGCCTGGGCAACAAGAGCGACACTCCATCTCCAGAAAAAAAAGAGATGGGGTCTCACTCTGTTGCTGAGGATGGTGTGCAGTGAAGCTATTAATATCATTGCTCACTGCAGCTTCCAGCTGCTGGGTTCAAGTGATCCTCCCACCTCAGCTCCAAGTAGCAGGGACTACAGGTGTGCATCATCAAGCTGGGCTAATTTTTAAATATTTTGTAGAAATGGGATCTTACTATGCTGCCCAGGCTAGCCTCAAACTTCTGACCTCAAGGGATTTCTGCCTCAGCCTCCCAGAGTGCTGGGATTACAGGAGTGAGCCACCATGCCCGGCTTATATTGGACTTTGTAATGTGCTTCCCCATATTTGCCTCACTGGTTGACAAGCTGCTTGCTAAATGGATAGCTCTGGTTGTGCTTGTCTTCTCTGCTGTGAGGACCCTCTCAGGCATGGCCTCCATTGCACCTGCCAGACCAGTTCTCAAGCCAGCCCAACCTGACCTTGACCATGGAGTCTCTGTCTCCTCTCACCTTTTCCAGACTCAGAGATAGCACTGTGCCTCACTCCAGCTATGACTTCCCCAGGGGTCCCCTGGAGGGGTCTTTGGTGACACAGCCCAGGAGTGCTAGAGAGTTGAATTAGTCCATTTTCATGCTGCTGATAAAGACATACCTGAGACTGAGTAATTTACAAAGAAAAAGAGATTTAATGGACTCACAGTTCCATGTGGCTGGGGAGGCCTCACAATCATGGCAGAAGGCAAAAGGCATGTCTTACATGGCGGCAGGCATGGGAGAAAAATGAGAGCCACGCAAAAGGGTTTTTTTCTTATAAAACCAGCAGAACTTGTGAGACTTAATCACTACCATGAGAAGAATATGGGGTAAACTGCCCCCATGATTTAATTATATCCCACTGGATCCCTCCCACAACATGTGGGAATTCTGACAGCTACAATTTGAGATGAGATTTGGGTGGGGACACAGCCAAACCATATCGAGAGTTATCACCCTGTGAGGTCTACCCTGACCAAAGAGGGACAAGAGGTACAAAAAAGCCAGCACATGAATTTACCCTCTCACTCCTTGGTGGACCACTCTGTGCACCACAAATTATGGTCCATATGGCCCAACCATGCAACCCATAAAGCTGTGGTCAGCTCCCTATTGCACCATTTTGTTTTGTTTTGTTTTCTTTTTTTTTTTTTTTGGTAGGGGGGCGGCGGGGGGACAGGGTCCTGCTCTGTAGCCCAGGCTGGAGTGCAATGATATGATCACAGCTCACGGCAGCCTTGACTTCCTGGGCTCAAGCAGTCTTCCCACCTCATCCTCCTGAGTAGCTGGGACTACAGGTATGCGCCACCGTGACTGGCTAATTTTTACATTTTTGTAGAGAAAGAGTCTCTCTATGTTGCCCAGACTGGTCTTGAACTCCTGGCCTCAAATGATCCTCCCACCTCAGTCTCCTGAAGTGCTGGGATTACAGGTCTGAGCCACTGCACCTAGCTTAATGCTTTGTATTTGCTTTTTCTCCTTCTTTTTGACTCTCTCTCTCTTGCTGCTCTGGAATTGTATCTCCTCCCTTCTAATAAAACGTTAGCCTATTTAAAAAAACACCCTTCTAAGGCCCCCCAACATCCTTAGGACACAAAACCACAGTCTTCATGCAGCTTCTAAGGCTCTGCCCATTCTAGCCTCTGTCCCTCTCTATCCTCTCTCCTTGCTTCATCTGCCCCTATAGAAACCTCTCACCAGACTCTTCTGCCTTGAGACTCTCGCCCAGGCCGTGCCTCTGCCTGGAATCCTCTCTTCCCTCCCTTCTATGTGTGTTTTTGTTTTGTTTTGTTTTGTTTTGTGTTTTTTGAGATGGAGTCTCACTCTGTTGCCCAGGCTGGAGTGCAGTGGTGCGATCTTGGCTCGCTGCAACCTCCACCTCCCAGGTTCAAGCGATTCTCCTGCCTCAGCCTCCCGAGTAGATGGGATTACAGGTGCCCACCACCAGGCCAGGCTAATTTTTTTGACTCGCCCCTGGTTCCTCATTGTATTATTTAAGTTCTGGCCTTCCAGTCTCCACCTCTCAAGATGGAACATTCTCTCAAATCCTCACATGTGGTCATCCCTGCATGCTGACATCTGTTGAGGAGGCCCTGTCATTGTCTCTGCTCTCAGATATGGCATGGTATCAGTTAGGATTGTGTTCCACTGCAAATAATTGTTGTCCTGACTTACAGTGAGTTAAACCCGTGGTTCTCAATGTCTGGTCCCCAGATTGACAGCATCAGTATCACCTGGGTACTTGTTAGAAGTGAACATTCTCGGCCAGGCACGGTGGCTCACGCCTGTAATCCCAGCACTTTGGGAGGCCAAGGCGGGAAGATCACTTTAGTCCAGGAGTTTAAGACCAGCCTGGGTAACATGGTGAAACCTGACTCTACTAAAAATACAAAAATATTAGGCGGGCTTGGTGGCATATGCTTGTAGTCCCAGCTACTCAGAGGGACTGAGGTAGGGAGGATTTCTTGAGCCCAGGATGGGGCTCTGTCACCCACCTCCCTTTTGCAATGAGGCATGAAGAGGATCTGGAAAGGCAGTATACAATACTGGATGCATCCTATTTACCAAACTTGGTAACATCATGGCCCCACCTAGCTTTTCTCCCCCATCTCAGTGAGAGTTTCCTTGAAAAATCTCATCTTGGGTGGAGTGCAGGGGCTCATGCCTGTAATCTCAGCGCCTTGGGTGGCTGAGGTGGAAGGATCACTTGTGGCCAGGAGTTGGAGACTAGCCTGGGCAACACAGTGAGACCCTATCACTACAAAAGAGTTTTTTTAAATAGCCAGACACAGTGGCATGCACATGTAGTCTCAGCTACTTGGGAGGCTGAGGCAGGAGGATCTCTCTTGAACCCAGGAGTATGAGGCTGCAGTGAGCTATGATCATGCTGCTGCACTCCAGCGTGGGTGACAGAGCAAGATCTTGTCTCCAAAAAAAAAAAAAAAAAAAAAAGGAAAAAAGAAAAGAAAGAAAGAAAATCTCATCTTGAATAAAAAGATAACAAATGCTGATACAATATGTATTCTCCAAAATCTCTCTGATTTATACCAGGAATGCACCTTAAAAGCCAAACATTTGAAGTCTTTTTTCTCTGACTCTGTTCTTGAAGCAATGGAAGCATCAAATGTAGTGGTCCGGAGGAGGTGGAGGTGGAGGGAGTGGTGCTGAGTTGAAGAGAGAACGAGGGAGGGTGGAAGGCGCTGAATACTTGACAGTATCCTGTCAAATCCGGGATGACTTCATAAACACTAGCTGCTGTTTGCAAAAACATCTTTGGAAGAGAAACTGTACAGATGTTAAAGTGTGTTGGTGGGGGGTGTCTCCCCTAATGCTATGTCTGCAAAGTCCAAAATAGCAATGTGCCAAGAAATCTCTCTCCAACCCAGTTATTTCAAGAGGAAACCTGGTGGAGTGGATGGAATAGTGGGGTAAGAATCAAAAGAATTGGTTTCTCTGTCCAGATCTGCCACTGCCTACCTGGGTAATCACAGTCAAGTCACATCGTCTCTTTGAATCTTGGATTATGGAGCCGGTAAAATGGGAGTGAAAACACCCTCTTTGGCTACATGGTATGTATTTTTGTACCCATTTTATGGATAAGGGTTGTAGGGGTCAAACTAAAGGCATATAAAAGTACTTTGGGCCAGGTCCAGTGGCTCAGACCTGTAATCCCAGCACTTTGAGAGACTGAGGTAGGAGGCTTGCTTGAGTCCGGAAGTTCAAGACTAGCCTGAGCAACTTAGCAAGACCTTGTCTCTACTAAATAAAATAAAGCATATAAGCTACAGGCATATAAAAGTACTTTGGGCCAGGTGCAGTGGCTCACATCTGTAATCCCAGCACCTTGAGAGACTGAGGTAGGAGGCTTGCTTGAGGCCAGGAGTTCAAGACCAGCCTGGGCAACATAGCAAGACCCTGTCTCTACAAAATAAATAAATTAATTAAACAAGTACGATTTTTTTAATTAGGAGACAAAGTACTTTGAAATGAAACAGGGATTATACAAATGAAAGGTCATATAAGTACCATTATCTTCTTTCTTACAATCTAAAGAAAGAGATCATTATTTTCTTTAACAGAACTGGGTTGTTTTCGTTGCTGTTGTTTTGCCCAGTTAAATTTCAATCACGTTTCTAGACTTACTCTACGGTTTTCTCTTCAGACATTTCAAAGAGGTTAGAGAAACAAAATTAAGAGGTTAGGGAAATAAGAAATAACAGAAAAGTATGTTTTGCATGTAACTCAGTAGGTTATTTTAGGTCAAGTATGTCCTTACTGAGTCCCTGCCTACTTGATATCAGTTACTGAGAGAGGGATATTGAAGTCTCCAACTGCGATAGTGGATTTGTCTACTTCTTCTTGCAGTTCTCTCAGTTTTTGCCTTATGTGTTTTCATTGGTGATTAGGTATACAAACATTTAGGATAGTTAGATCTTCTTAACTTATAGAGAATTGCCCTCCTTATCATAATGTAATACCTTTCTTCATCCCTAATCAGGTTACTTGTTCTGAAGTCAGCTTCATCTGAAATTAACAGAGCTACTCTAGCTTGCTTTTGACTGGTATCAGTATGGTGTATTTTTGTTTATGTCTCTCTGCTTTTTCTTTCTTTTTCTTCCTTTTATTTTTAGTTGACATGAAATAATTGTCCATAGTTATGGGATATAGAATGATATTTCAACACATGTCTACAGTGCGTAATGATCAAATCATGGTAATTAGCATATTCATCACCTCACACATTTACTTTTAACCTACTTGACTCTTTATATTTAAAGTGGGTCTCCTGTAAACAACATATAATTGGGTGGCTTTTTAAATCTACTATGACAAACTCTGTCTTTTAAATTCATATATTTAGACCATTCACATTTAAAGTGATTATCGATTTAATTGGATTGATAGCTACCATGCTTGTAACCATTTTCTACTCATTATATTTTGTTCCTTTTTCCTTCCTCTTTTTCTGGCTTTTCCGGTTTTAATCAAGCATTTTATATCTTAGCATATCAAGCATACTTCTTTTGTAAAACATTTCAGTGGTTGCCCTAGAGTTTCTGATTTACATTTTTAACTAATTAAGTCTGCTTCCAAGTAACACTAAACCACTTCACATGTAGTGCAGGTACCTTAGATTATTCCCAATTTATCCTTCTCATCCCCTGTGATATTACCATCATTCATTTTACTTACCTGTATGCTGTAATCACCAAATACCAGGTCTCTCACTCTCAGGCAAATTCACACTCTGCCTCCAGCAAGTCATCAAAATTATTATTTAAGTTTTTCTACTAGTTGATCATTCTGTTGTCATCAGGTTCAGGTAAACAGATCTTGGCTATGTCTCTTTGGATTTTCCTCTCTCTCCAGATGTCAAGCTGGCAGTTTGCCTGAAACCTTTATTCTCTGAGGGACCCAAGAAAAGTCACAAATTTTCAGTTTGTTTGGTTTTTACTTTTTGTGAAGGATGGGAATGATGACTTCCAAGCTCTTCATGTGTCGGAGCTGAAATTGGAAGTAGTCCAGCAGATTGGTTTACATCATGGAGACTGTAGTTGTGTTTGCTGATTTTCAAAAGCATTCAAGCCTCAGCTCAGGCATGCTTCATCCAACTAGCCAATTCTGGACTAAAAAGAGAGAGAGAGTATTTTCTAACCCACATGAAAGAGATCATTTAATCCTCCAATCTGATCTGAGGGCCCCAGACATGGGGTTACTTGCACAAAGCAAGAACAATTAAGTCCCTGCTTTGTGTTGGTTACAACCTCAATGACATTGGTGTCATTGTTTCAGGACACAGCTGACATTTTTCAGTACAGACACCTCAACTCCCTACCCTAAGCAAGGACTGGACTGTACAAATTCATCTCCCAGATAATCACTATTATTTATACTCTTATCCACCCAACAGCTCACCAGAATTAAACTTCTCTGTCCAAAAAAATTTTTAAATCAAGGATTTGGTTATAATATGCACTTTAAAGACACTTAGGCAAATTGTTGGCTTAAAAAAGAAGAAGAAGAATTCTGATTTCTCCAGAACTCTATCAACTCGCACTCCCTGACTGGCAGCTCCACACAATGAGAACTGATGCTCACATTAATGACCCTCCAACGCTATAAGATCCTGGAGAGCCTTTGAATCACCCAAGAAAGATTAAATTATGTTCAGTAGTGCTTTAGCATTAAGTGCATTTTATACTGTATTCCACATCTACAGAATTTGATCTTTTACAGGAGGCACAAGGTGACTCTCTTATTGTCCAGGTTCTGATTCATTTCAGCTCAGTTTGAATTACAAAGGTTTACTAAATACCTACTGCTCATCCCAAACTATGGTACACACTGGAAGGTATATTCCATTTATTTGTGGAGCTTACAATGTCATGATTTAAACAAAAAAAAGCAAACAGGCCAACAGAACAATACACATCTTATAACCATGGTACTCAGCACATGCAAGAGTTGATTGGATGAGTGTGTTTGCTCAATGACCTATAAACACAGTGCTAGACAGGCACAGAGACAAGAGTAATCAGAGAATGTGACACGAGGAGAAAATATTTCCACTCAGCTATGTAAGATGATCAGGACTCTGGCAGTCAGTAAAGTGGAGGAAAGTATTTGAACAATAGGGAAAGTGATGAGAAATTCCAGGAAATGGACAAAATCCTGGTATTTCTGGAATATGTGGGTAAGAAATGCCCTAACAGACAACTCTTAGACAACCAGCTGCAGGTACCTGCTAGTGGGGCCAAAGTGCCCAGAAGAGCTGCAGGCCAAGGTGAAATGAGCAATGCCCCATGTTCTGTGGTGAGATCTATGCAAACCTACTGCCAAAGTCTATGGAAACTGAGACCAAAGAAAGAGGCAGATAAATCCAGCTTCTCAGAAAATAACATTTAACAGGAACTTATGAACAGAAGCCATGTTTCAGGAGGATTCGAGATGGTTGGATCCCTGCGCTATTACCCCCCAGACCCAGGGCTTATATACCACAGAGTATTGCCTAAGGGCAAGATAAATAGTAAATGTGTGTCTGCAATAACATCAATGTTGCTTTTACCTAAGGGCAGGATTTACAGTAAGTAAATGCTCTTACATAAGGAACCGTAGATAAAATAGAAATCTTAGCAGTATCCCCAGAACTAGGGTTAATCAGAAGTCAACATGGTGGATTAGCATCCAAGATGGAGTTGCTTTAGCCTCCATGACCCATATGGGTGCACTGCATCTCTTCTACAAGGAAAATAGGGCTGGAGTTCAGAGAGGGCAACAGAGCAAGGAGGAGGAGAAAAGAGTTGTTAGAAGTTAGAGATATGCTGTCCCTAGGGTCATGGTGAACCCCAGCTTCATTTGGGGAGTCCATACCCTGACACAATCATAGGAACCAGAGGCTTGGGCAGTTGTAAAACGCTCAGAGAGTATGTTAAGCACACATATACACATAGACACGTCCACATCAGAGGTGACGTCTGCAGTTGGTCTTGGTGCCCTAAGTCCACTAGGCATGTGCTTACTCATGTGCCTGTCCACTTGCATCTCCCCATTCCCCACTGCCTTTGTCTTTGTCCCATCTATATGATTGGTTCTCGTGGGCCATGTGCTTCCTCATTAGGATCAGACTTGTCTTAGTCTGTTCAGGCTGCTATAACAGAATACCTACACTGGGTAGCTTAAACAACAAGTCATTTCTCATGATTCTGGAGGCTGAGAAGTCCAAGATCAAGGTGCCAGCCTGTTTAGTTCCTGGTGAGGGCTCTTTTCCTGGTTTGCAGACTGCTGCCTTCTTGTTCAATCTACACATTGCAAGGGAAGATGAATCTGGTGTCTCTTTCTCTTCTTGTAAAGACACTAATTCCATCACCAGGGCCTCAACTCATGGCCTCATCTAAACCTAATCACCTCCACTTCTGAATACCATCACAGTGAGATTAGAATGTCAACATATGAATTTGTGAGAATGGAGAGGAACGCAAACATTCAGCCCATAAAAAGACCTTTCCTTGAAGCCCAGAGAGCTTGGCTGGGTCCTTTCCACCTTGTCTAATTCTTGCCAGACCCATGTTTCTGCAGTTAGGACCCTGCCTGGAAAGCCTTTGCTACCGCCTAGACTCCTGCCCAGGTGGGATAAGACATTTACAACCGAAGCCCTGACACTCACCATACTTTAATAAATGTCACTCTCCAAAGACCTCTGCAGCAAACCCAAAGCCCTCGCATTTGGGAATTCTTTGGGGACTACAGGCAGCCCCAATGAAGTCAGTTTACCTGTATCCCTTGGGCTCTGTCATTTGAACAAATGGCTCTCTCTTCCCCCATCGCCATACCCCTGTAGAGCCAGCCCTGCAGTCGGGTTAATGCATCCCACCCCCCAACCCCTTCACAATCTCCACTGCTTCCTTCTCTGGTTTGGTCCATTTTGCAAAATAGCTTGTTTTTTGTTGTTGTTTTCTTTTTGTTTTTTGTTTATGTGTTCGTTTGTTTTGAGACGAAGTCTCGCTCTTGTCCCCCAGGCTGGAGTGCAATGGCGCAATCTCGGCTCACTGCAACCTCTGCCTTAACGGGTTCAAGCAATTTTCCTGCCTCAGCCTCCCAAGTGGCTCAGATTACAGGCGCCTGCCACCACGCCTGGCTAATTTTTGTATTTTTAGTAGAGATGGAGTTTCACCATGTCGGCCAGACTGGTCTCAAACTCCTGACCTCAGGTGATCCGCCCACCTTGGCCTCCCAAAGTGCTGGGATCCCACAGGCACGAGCCACCGCGCCCGGCCAAAAGAGCTTGTTTTTATGCACTCATCTGTTCAGTCAATGTTCATTAGCACCTGTCACATGTCAGGCATTGCTGGGATTCAGGAGTGAGTAAGAGAGCATGCCTTATAGGTGGCATCCAATGCAGAAATCCCTGTTCTCTAAAAGAGGCAAAAAAGTACATATGCAGAGATTTACTAACAGGAGAGCACTAGCATGCTGGGTCCAACACAGACTGCAGCTGGTACCAGGCAAGTGAGTCAGTATCCTCCCCCAGCAAAAAAAAAAAAAAAAATATATATACACACACACACACACACACACACACACACACACACACACACACACATATATATATATATATATATATATAAAAAATATAAAAGCATTTCTACAACCAAGACTGTAGGAGGCAAAATGAAGAAACAGACCAGGCCTTGAATTAATGATGGTTCTAAGCTCATTAGTGGTTCCCAGTTGACATGAGGCAGCCTAACAGCTTGGTCCAGCTTCCCAGCACCCAGGATCTGAGGACAGATGCATCAGTGGGAGGCAGCTTTCCCATGGTGAGGCTCTGTGGAAGCATTTGCCACATCAGAGAGCTCTTAAAATGCTCGGTTGGAGAAGCCGCCGGGTCATATCTAAAAAGCTATGTGCTTGGCACTGAGTCTGGTGGGGCCTGATTCATACAGAAACCCCTGAGAGCCATGGACAAGAGTGTTTACAGACTTAGAAAACCCTGCATGCTCTTGTAATTTTTTTTTCTTCTCCCCTGAGAAAAGTAGGAGTTAAGAGATTTATGGAACCTCTTGATTTATGGGAGACTCAGCCCTCCTCCCCTGATGGCCTCTCTCCAGGGCATTCCCATTTGTTCACATGGGAGAAGAGAGGCAGTTCCAGGCTCCCTTGCATGGAGAGAGAAACAGCATTTCCCCTGGACACACAGCATACTTTAGCCAGAAATCCCACAGCACTTTCTAAAACCATGAGCAATAATGATAGCATCCTGAGTGCCTCTGACAAGCTATCAGGCTTGGCTGTGTTTCCCCACTAAACCAGCATAGCACAGCCCCTGCCTCTGGGAGCTTGAATTGGCTTAGAGACTAGATTTCCTCATCTTAGATCCTAGATTTTCCTGCCTGGCACATCAACTAGGGGCAATATCATGTTGCATTCTCTTACTCCCAAAACCTGGAAAGAGTGAGACAAAAGCTGGTGCAAGCTTGGTCTGTGAGTCCTACCTTCCCCGGGAGATGCCTACGGTGGCATGAACTTGTCAAGGAGGCAGAGAAGGTCCCTCCATCACATGACCAAATGAGACTTCCCTAACTGTAATACCAAGTCCTGCCACCCTCCGAGGGATGTTTCATTACTTTGCTCCCTTTGCAGATGTGGGAACAAAAGTACAGAATTTTTTAAGAGAAAGGATCTTGCTCTGTCACCCAGGTTGGTGTGCAGTGGTGCAATCACAGCTCACTGCAGCCTCAAACTCCTTGGCTCAAGCAATCTTCCTGCCGCAGCCTCCCGAGTCATGGAACTACAGGTGTCTGCAGCCACACCTGGCTAATTTTTATTATTTGTTGTAGAGATGGGGGGGTCTCACTATGTTACCCAGGCTGGTCTTGAACTCCCAACCTCAAGTGATCCTCCCACCTCAGCCTCACAAAGTGCTGGGATTACAGAACTGTGCCACCAAGCCTGGTCTGGGAAGCCAGATTGATTCTGGTCTTGCCCAGTGTCACACAGCTAGTAAAGAGTGGGGCAAGATTTGAACCCCAACACCCACTTAAGTAGGCATCCCTTCTACTCCCCTGATTCCCAGCCCCATGTTTCCCAGACCATAAGAGAGCAATTCCCAGGGCCTTCTTCTGGGATCCCAGCTGGTATGAGTCTGAGGTCTCCGGAGGGCTTACCAGATCCCCTCACCGAGCCCTTGGAGGCCCTGGGATGAAAGTGATTATGCTAAGAATGAACATTTTTTTCCTGTTAGATTGTCCATTTTTTGCCTTTCAGCACGTTCCTCGTTTCAGTCATTCCTTTTCCTTTCCAGACCCCAGGAGCCAGAAATAAACACAGGCAGTCTTCGCATTGATGTAAATAACCATTGGCTTTATTGAACCCATCTGCTCAGGCTGTGGGTTGAAATCATAGCTCTGGAGTGTTTTCCACTCCTTGGGCATTTGGGAAGTTTAGCTGCTACCCTGCCTGGGCAAGTTTGTTGGGCTCCTTCAAGAAAGACCTTCACTACAGAAGCCATGGGTTCATTTCCTTGCTATCCTCAGGACTCAGGAGTCTAGCCCTTTTCTCCCCATTTAATTAATGCATATATTTATTTAGACACAGGATCTTGCTCTGTCTCCCAGGCTGGAGTGGGGTGGTGTGATCACAGCTCATGGCAGCCTTGAACTCCTGGGCTCAAGCAATCCTCCCTTCTCAGCCTCCCAAGTAGCTGGGACTACAGGTGTGCTCCACAACTCCTGGCTAATGTTTTAATTTTTTTTTTTAAGATGGTGTCTCACTATATTGCCCAGGCTGTTCTCAAACTCCTAGCCTCAAGCAGTCTTCCTGCCTCAGCTTCCCAAGTATCTGGGACTACAGGTGCACACAACCATGCCTGGCTAACTTCTGAAATCTTTTGTAGAGAAGGGTTCTCACTATGTTGGCCATACTGGTCTCAAACTCCTGGGCTCAAGCGATCCGCCCGCCTCAGCCTCCCAAAGTGCTTGTCTTACAGGCCTCAGCCACCACACCTGGCCCCTCTTCTGCTCATTAACAGTCATCTTCCCTCTCACTTTTTCTCTCTTCTGGCACCCCTAGAAGCTGCCTCCTGCCTCCCAGTCTTGCAGACTGCTTGGCCCCATCAATCTGTCCTGGGACCTTGAGTTCAAGGACAGACAGAACGAATGGCTGCAACGCATAGCCACAGCCTCTAGCACCCATCAGCCCACTGTGGCCCTATGTTGATGTCCCATGCTTCTACACTTTATACGGGGCCCTCTTCTCTTGTAATAACAATTAACAACCAGGCGCCATGGCTCACGCCTGTAATCCCAACACTGGGAGGCCGAGACAGGCGGATCACCAAGTCAGGAGTTCGAGACCAGCCTGGCCAACATGGTGAAACCCTGTCTCTACTAAAAAAAAAAAAAAAAGCCAGGCGTGGTGGCACACACCTGTAATCCTAGCTACTCAGGAGGCTGACACAGGAGAATTGCTTGAACCCAGGAGGTGCAGATTGCAGTGAGCCAAGATCACACCACTGCACTCCAGCCTGGGTGACAGAGTGAGACTCCATCTCAAAATAATAATAATAATAATAATAATAATAATAATAATTAACAGAGCAGCTAAGTGCATCAGACACTTGTTATATGCTAGGTGCTGCCATAAGCCCTATGCAAGTATTGTTTTTTCATCCTCACAATCACTCCAGGGAACTGAGGTACTGACAGTGATGAGGTAATTTGCCCAAGATCACAGAGCTAGCAGGAGGTTCACCTGGGATTTCAACCCAAGAAGTCTGGTTCTCGGGCTGGGGTTCTTTTCTATAGAAAAACTCAGCTTTGAAGCATGCAGGTCTCCACACCCCACTGGTCTAGAAGCCCCAGCTGGGGGTCGGAGCCCATGTTTTTGGTCATGTGTGGTTGAATTTTTGTTTTCTTATTTCTGGTTCCCCTTTGTTTTCTGGTTTTCGTTTGTTTGTTTGCCTCTCTCTCCTTCATTTCCTACTTCCCCTGACCGTAACTCATGACTTGAGCCTTTACTGCAATCGATGGCCTGGTCCTCACTCTGTTTTTCTCTCTTGCCCCACATTCAGTCAGTAGCCACGTCCTATGGATTCATTCATTTCAGAAATATTTAGTGAGCACCTACTATATGCCAAGCACACAGTAGGTGAACAAGATACATGGAGTCTCTGTACGTGGGGCACTTTTTAGCAGCAGCAAATCCACATGAGTCTACAGCAACCTCAATTCTTGTCTCCTCGGAAGAAATAATTCTACCAAGGAGCATAAGGCACAGGAAGAGATTGAGGCAAGTTTTAGAGCAGGAATGAAAGTTTATTCAAAAGCTTTACAGCAGGAATGAAAGGAAGTAAAGTACACTTGGAAGAGGACCACACAGCGACTTCAGAGATCAAGTGCAGTTTGACCTTGGACTTGGGGTTTTATAGGTTGGCCTGCTTCCGGAGGGTTGCATCCCTTCTCCCCTGATTCTTCCCATGGGGTGGGCTGTCCACATGCACAGTGGCCTTCCAGCATCTGGGAGGGGCCGCATGCACAGTGTGTTTCCTGAAATTGTATGCATGCTCACTTGAGGTGTTCTTCCCTTACCAGTCAAGTTTTCCTAGAGGAAGGTCATAGACCAGTGAAACTCAGCCATTTTGCCTCTTAGGGTGCATGCTTGAGCCCACTCACCCAACTCCTGAGGTCTTATTGGGAAGCTGCTGATCACCAGTTTCAGGTTTTTCCTGTCTATGGGGAAACTGCCTTTCCCTGGCACTGGCTGTGACCAATTATATTTTAGAGAGACAGCTTAACAGCCACCCGCCTGCCCATCACCTGCTGGCTGCCTGACATTGCTGGGTTTGGAGTGGGGGTGTCCTCTCCTGCTGTGCTCATGTCTGCCTGACTGCCTGCTGGAACACTCTCAGTACGGTTGTTCTGCCTCTTGTCTCTCACACCCACTGGCTCAGAAACCAATACCCCAAAATATGGCATTTAGACATGCTGAAATGAAGGAGCTTCAAGGTCTCTCTAGCCTCCCCACCTCCACACCTGAGAAGCTGAAATTCCTTTATCTGCCTGAGATCCAGAACCACCAGGGAGAACAGCTGTTTTTCTTTCCCCTCTGTCTATCTCATTGTCTATTGCAGAAAAGGAGACCAAGACATAACCACACCTGAACAGACCCTTTTACAAGTATGAGGATTGTCTCCAATGATCATTTAAATTCCAAAGAGAACTATTTACAAGTTCCCCAATCCATTCATTCTCCCTAGTAATCCCCTCAACAGAATTCTTCTCCCTGCTCCTTTTCCATAACCTGTTTTACCAGGATCCAGGCCTCCATTCTTTCTGTAACCTCAAAATGGTCTATAAGCTTCTGGTCTTCAACTCCTGACCTCAAGCAATCCTCCTGCCTGGGCCTCCCAAAGTGCTAGGATTACAAGCATGAGCCATTGTGCCCTGCCAAGATGGCATACAATCTTCTGTAACTCACTGGGGTGTTGGGTCTTTATTCTGAAGGCCCTTGTGTATACATGTTAAATAAATTTGTATGCCTTTTCTCCTAGTAATCAATCTGCCTTATGTCAGTGATTTTCAATAAACCTTTAGGGGGATAAAGCCTTTGTAAAGGCTGGTGGATCTGCCTAAATCTCTTCCACCATAGAGCAGCCTGGATCACTCACTCACCTCCATTTAGGCTTTCCTCAAATGTCACTTTCTAAGCAAGGCCTAGCTTGTCTACCATATTTAAAACTGCACCTCACCCCTGTACTCCTGTTACCCTCCTGTGCTTTTTATGTTACCCAGAATAATTTGTTATACATGAATTTATTTACTATATGTATTGTATTTTATATTATATATTAAATAATATATCTTTATTACATTTATCATATTATAAAAATGTATTATATTTATACTTATTGTTTTAAGTGGAGATTTATTCTCTCTCCACTAACTCAGTAAGCTCCTTGTGAATGGGAATCTTTATTTTGCTCACAGACATATTCCAATGATATGTTTTCGCTGTGTCCCCACCCAAATCTCATGTTGAATTGTAGCTCCTGTAATTCCCATGTGTCATGGGAAGGGCCCAATGGAAGGTAATTGAATCATGGGGATGGGTCTTTCCCATACTGTTCTCATGGTAGTGAACAAGTCTCAAGAGATCTGATGGTTTTATAAAGGGGAGTTTCCCTGCACAAGCTCTCTCTTGCCTGCCGCCATGTGAGACATGCCTTTCACCTTCTGCCATGATTGTGAAGCCTCCCCAGCCATGTAGAACTGTGAGTCCATTAAACCTCTTTTTCTTTATAAATTACCCAGTCTCAGGTATGTCTTTATCAGCAGCATGAGAGCAGACTAATACACCCAAGCACCTAAACTGGTACCTGATGCATAGAAGATGCTCAGTAAGTATTTGTGGACTAATGAATAAATGTGTGAATGGATGGGATATATGTCTTCAGCCCTAGCTGATGCTTTGTGCATCATAGGCGTTTAATTATTGCTTACTGAAGGGAAAAGCTCCACAATCAGATCCAGTTCACGTTCTTGATGACAGCAGCCCTGGAAAAACCAGTGTTTGCTATGATCTCATTCTTCCTGCTTGAATTTTTATTCTTAGAGACAGGGTCTTTCTGTGTCACCCAAGCTGGAGTGCAGTGGTGCAATCATAGCTTACTGCAGCCTCCAACTCCTGGGCTCAAGCAATCCTCCCACCTCAGTCTCCCAAGTAGCTAGGAATACAGGCGTATACCACCACACCTGGCTAATTTTTAAAAATTTATTTAGAGACGAGGTCTCACTACGTTGCCCAGGCTGATCGTCAATGCCTGGGCTCAAGCGATCCTCCCACCTCAGCCTCCCAAAACACTGGAATTATACAGGTGTGAGCCATCTTGCCCAGCCCTCCGTTTGCATTTTTAGGTCTAAACCACAGTCATGGACCCTGTGAGGTATAATCACGATGAAGGGGAGTTCAGAGCTCACCAGGATCCCTGGCCTCACATCCCCTCTAGTCAGCAATAGGTGAGCCCATTTCCTCTCTACTTGCCCTACCCTGGGGACCCTCCTCCTGCAGACAAGGACACCAGCTCTCAATCATCAGTCTAGTCTTGCTCCTTATCCTGCTCTGAGGAACAGAGAGGCCAGTGTGGCTGGAGCACAGTGAGTGAGAGAACCAGGGATTGGAGACACCAGTGGAACCCACATGATGCATGGCCTTGGAGTCATGCAGAGAAGTCTGGGATTGTCTAAAAGCAAGGGGAGCCTGGCGCAGTGGCTCCCACCTATAATCCCAACACTTTGAGAGGCCAAGATGGGAGGATCACTTGAGGCTAGGAGTTTGAGACCAGCCTGGGCAACATAGTGAGACCCTGTGTTTACAAAAAAAAAAAAATAATAAATTAGCTGGGCATGGTGGCACATGCCTGTAGTCTCAGGTACTCTAGAGGCTGAGGTGAGAGGATCACTTGAGTCCAGGAGTTCGAGGCTGCAGTGAGCTATGATCACACCACTGCACTCTAGCCTGGGCCACAGAGCAAGACCTTGTCTCTAAAATAAATAAATAAATAAAAATAAAAGTAAGGGGAAGTTGATGAGAATAATAAGCAAAATAATAGCTAGCCATTGTATTTATAGCAAGGTGCATATGTTTACTAAGACTTATATGTATAGTAAATTAACATTAACTATCAGGTATTGTTATAAGTACTTTATTTACACCAAATCAATTCTCAAAAATTTGTGTGAGGTAGGTACCATTGTCCCCATCTTACAGCCGAGGAAACTGAGGCACAGGGAGGTTAAGGAGCTTGCCAAGCTCACAGAGCCTGTAGGAGGTGGAAGCCGGAATTCAAATCCAGGCCATCTGGTTTTTCAGTTCCTGTAGGAAGCACTGGGCTGTAATGTATTTCCTGCCGAGGATTGCACAAAAAAAGAATTATTTGGACTTTAGCAGGAAGGTGGATTGGGGAGGGGTGAGCAATGGAAATAACAGATTAATTGAGAGGTCTTTATAGAATTCAGGTAGGAGATGTTGGTGGTGGACATAGGGTGGTAGCAATGAAAAACAGAGAAAAATGAACAGATTTAAGATACATTTGCGATTTGGGAAGAATGAAAGCTGATTCCTAGCTTTTGAGCTTGAGCAACTAAGTAGATCGCCATGCCTTTGATGACACAGGAACAGGCTTGGAGGTGGAAAGTCCCCAGAACCCAGTATCCTTGCCCTTGGATAGTCTCTGAGCCCATGTCAATCCCGCAGCCACATGCTAGAGAAAGCCTAGCACACGGGTGCCAAGGTTAGCCTGCACTGGTGAGCCCATGCCAAGAACCACAAAAGCCTCATTTTCTTTAAAACACAGGGCTTGGCTGAATTCCCCACCTAGACAGAGGCAAGCGCATTACTTCATCTTGTGAGCTGCATTACAGCCTCTGTTTTCGTGTATCTATTAGCGAGGCCTCTCAGCCGAAAATCCAGCCAGCCCATCAATCACTCCTCCCGGAGGCCCACAAACCAGGCAGCAGAGGCCGAAATCCCAGTAGGCATCTGTCAGCATTTGCCCATGGGACCAGGCCCCAAAGACTTCCCTGTTTATGCATAGGAGGTCTTGTTTCTTTATATTTTTAATTAAAAGCAGATTTTTATCAATCCCCCCACAAAATCTATTGGGGGAACTTTAATTTTGCTTCCAATCTCCCTATTTAATACTCCCCTAGTGCCCATAAAAAGCTGTGGTGTTTCAGTTCATGATTTGAATCTTTACAGATAATTAGTTGGCAGAACGACTTGGAGAGAGAAGCAGGTATATATTTTCACGACTTGGTCAGGAGTGGGTGGGAAAGTGGTGGGAGAAGCATCCCCAGGCAGTCTTGGCACATTTTGGCTCATGAAACATCAACAGCAATTCATTTAAAGACATGTTCATTTAGGTTCTTTGGCTGCTGCCATAAAAAGTGCTTTTCCCCCTTATTTCTGGCATGTCTTTATTAGAACACCTCTAGGCTCTTCCACCTTCGACTCCCCTTTCACCGTCTGTAATCATTTGACTTAACCTGCTCCCGCCACCTCAGCCTGGCCCTGAACCTGCAATCTTCTTCTCTGCAATTGTCTTTCCTGCAATGCGCTTTTCTCCTGCCTTCTCCACCTCCTCCCTCTTGATCAGCTTGCACCTCACAGTCCCCTCCTTCCCCTCCTGTCCCCCATTCCTTCCCCTTTCAGGCTCAACTGCTATTCCCATTAACTGACCACGTTGTGTGTGGGTCAGAAGATTTGTTGGAACAAATGTACTCACCAAAGCCTGATGAGAATCTTGTGAAATGACAGTTTTACACACACACACAACAACATCTGTACTCGCTCACCCCCACTCACACACATGCTTCTTTGACATCTGAAGAATCTGAGGCTCCTAGAGGTTACAAATTTTACTCAAGTCCTTTTCCCCCTCTTTCCCTTCCTTTTCACTCTCCATTATCCTTCATCTCAGTTAAAAAAAATATGTACGCTGGGTGCAGTGGCTCACGCCTGTAATCCCAGCACTTTGGGAGGCTGAGGGGGACGGATCACCCTGAGTTCAGGAGTTTAAGACCAGCTTAGCCAACATGGCAAAACCCCATCTCTACTAAAAATATAAACATTATCCGGGCGTGGTGGTGCATGCCTGTAATCCCAGCTACTCAGGAAAATGATTTGAACCTGGGAGGCGGAGGTTGCAGTGAGCCAAGATCGCACCAGTGTACTCCAGCCTAGCCTGAGCAACAGAGTGAGACTCTGTCTCAAAAAAACAAAATGCAAATACATGAATAGATACACATACAGACATATAGGTAGACGGTCAAAGAGACAGGTACACAGAGGGACAGACAGACTGACAGAAGGTCATACACGAGGATAGTTACATAAATAGAAGAAAGGTAGACAAACACAGATAGATGATAGATAATAGATAGATGATATACAGATAGATAAATAGATGATAGATAGATAGATAGATAGATAGATAGATAGATAGATAGATAGAGACAGATAGAGAGATGATTTGGCTCTGTGTCCCCACCCAAATCTCACTTTGAAGTGTAATTCCCATAATCTCCACATGTCAAGGGCAGGACCAGGTGGAGGTAATTGAATCATGGGGGCAGCTTTCCCCATGCTGTTCTCGTGACAATGAGTGAGTCTCACAAGATCTGATGGTTTTATAAGCATCTTGCATTTCCCCTGCTTTCACTCATTCTCTCTCCTGCCGCCCTGTGAAGAGGTGCCTTCCACCATGATTGTAAGTTTCCTGAGGCCTCCCCAGCCATGTGGAGCTGTAAGTCAATTAATCTTCTTTTCTTTATAAATTAACCAGTCTCGGGCATTTCTTCATAGCAGCTTGAGGACAGACTAATATAGATAGATAGATAGATAGATAGATAGATAGATAGATAGATAGATAGATGATAGATAGATGATACATATATACATACATGGATAGATACATAGATATGATAGATAAATGAGAAAGAGACTGCAATAGCTGGCAAAAATCAACCAAATATCCCCTCCATCTTTTGTCCTTTTTCACATGAAGCTCTCCCATTTGCATTTCTTACTCTACTTCTTCTCCTGTAATCTTCTGCTAGGTGGAATTGTAACTTGATGAAAACTCCATGAGGTAGATTTTAAAGACTGGGAACAATAAGAAGTAGCTAAGAGGGCTGTGTGGTGGCCCAGGTGTCAATCACAACAAATGAGCCAGGGGTGAGAAAGCTCTTCCTTTGTAAACAGTCAGATGAGCCAGGGGGTGGGAAAGCTCTTCCTTTGTAAACAGTCAGGTTCTCACATGTGGGAGGGTGTCAGATCAATTCATAATTCAACAGGGTTTAATGTGCAAGGGGAGGTGCCTTACCATGCATTTGAATTACCCAGAGGACTTCTTAACCCACAGATTGTTAAGCTCTACCCCAAGAGTTTCTGCTTCCACAGATCTGGGTAGGGCCTGAGAATTCACATTTTCTGGATAATGCTGATTGTTGCTGGTCCAGGGACCTCACTTGGAGAACTGCTGCTGTAAAATAATTTTTCAGAGGCTATTTTGGCTACTATGTTGATGTTCAATCATGTCCCTTTTAATTAAATCCTATTATTCAGCATATTTGAAAATGAAGGGCCAGGTGCAGTGGCTCACGCCTGAAATCCCAACACTTTGGGAGGCCGAGGCAATCAGATCACTTGAGGGCAGGAGTTCGAGACCAGCCTGGCCAACATGATGAAACCCCATCTCTACTAAAAATACAAAAATTAGCCGAGCGTGGTGGTGCACACCTGTAATCCCAGCTACTTGGGAAGCTGAGGCAGGAGAATCGCTTGAACCCAGGAGGTGGAGGTTGCGGTGAGCTGAAATCGTGTCATTGCACTCCGGCCCGGGCAACAAGAGTGAAAGTCCTTCTCAAAAAAAAAAAAAAAAAAAAAGGAAAAAGAAAAAGAAAGAAAATTTTGTTTAATACACCCCTAGGCTTCCAAGTTACCAGATCTTTTGGGCCTGAATCAAGAGATGGTTTGACCCTCCCCACAACATCACATTCAAAATCATTCCTCTCAACAGGACAAAATTGGCAGGGAGCCAGTGCAAAATGAAAATGTAGGACCTCTTATTTAAAAATGATTACGAATTTCAAGACAGCGATAGCAGAGCATCAACCAAGTGCCTGACCCTGTGCGACTGTGTAGGTTGCACCCAACCAGTGTTGCTAGACGGAGCTGATAGACCCAACATTCTTGTCCCACTCTGGGGAAGTTCTGTTCTTGTCCAGCATTTTGTGCATGGGATTAAGGGGTGGTCCTTGGGTCCACAGTCTTCCTGGGAGTTCATCAGCTCCAGTACAAACAGTCCTTGCCCTCCATTCATGAGGGGCTCATTTGAAACTGCATCCCACAGGGCTCTCCCTGATCTGATTAAAAACTCAAGGCAGGTGGGTAGAAGAAGAGGCCTCCTAGGAATTTCTCTCTTTTTTCTTTTCTTTTCTTTCTTTTTTTTTTTTTTTTTTTAGACAGAGTCTTACTCTGTCACCCAGGCTGGACTGCAGTGGCACAATCTCAGCTCATTGCAACCTCCACCTCCTGGGTTCAAGTGATTCTTCTGCCTCAGCCTCCTGAGTAGCTGAGACTACAGGCATGCACCACCACACCCGGCAAATCTTTGTATTTTTAGCAGAGACGGGTTTTCACCATGTTGGCCAGGCGGTCTTGAACTCCTGACCTTAAGTGATTCCCCTGCCTCGGCCTCCTAAAGTGCTGGGATTACAGATGTAAGCCACAATGCCTGGCCTCCCCTTAGGAATTTCTCACACTCGCTTCCTCCTCCTGAATGATTGCTAACTCCCTCCAACAGCCATGCGTGCATTTCCTTCCTTCCTTCCATCCTTCCTTCCTTCCTTCCTTCCTTTTTTTGAAATGGAACCTCACTCTTTCTCCCAGGCTGAAGTGCAGTGGAGTGATCATGGCTCACTGCAGCCTTGAATTCCTGGGCTCAAGTGATCCTCCTGCCTCAGCCTCCTGAGTAGCTGGGACTACAGGCATGTGCCACCACACCTGGGTAATTTTTCATTTAAGTTTTTGTAGAGCTAGGGAGTGGCTGTGTTGCCCAGGCTGGTCTTAAACTCCTGGTCGCAAGCAATCCTCCCGCCTCAGCCTCCCAAAGTGCTGGGATTACAGGTGTAAGCCACCACGCCTGGCCTATCTAGCATCTTAAAATTGAATTGAACTGATTTCCAAGCAGATGCCCATGAACATGAGCATTTCCTGTTTGAAGGAAAGAGACAGCGAAGTCTTAAGAACCACACCCTGTTTCTAAAAATGGGTCAGCTCATTACTGGCAGGCATTCTCCGAGGTCTCGAGGGCAAAATAAGCCAAATACAAAATGGCTATTAACTTCCTGAAGTTTCAAACCAGCTGGGGAAATTAGAAAAACTAATAGAAAAATAGATCTTGCAACCCTGAAACCAAAGTAAATGAAAAAGTTTCGAGATGAAGTCCATCACAAGGGAGAGAGTTGCCTCCCCAGGACGGCGTCTCTCTAGAGGGACTGAGTTCCAAACCCCAGTGCAGAAAGGTTGTTAAGGAAAATCAAAGAAGGTTCTGGAATTTGGGTTGCATATTAAAATCACCTAGGGAGCTTTAAAAGGGAAAGACAAAACTGAACCCAGACACTACCACAGGCAATTTGATAAGGATTTTTACTCCATAACTTTTTAACATTTTAGATAGAAAATTTTAAGAACACACAATTTACAGAGATCACCATGATGAACCCTCATGTACCTCATCAAATATCAGTAACTCACAACTACGGATCAATCTTGTGTCAACCTCTGCTTCCACCCACTTCCCTCTCCACCCCAAAATAATAATTTTTTTTTTTTGAGATGGAGTTTCACTCTTGTTGCCCAGGCTAGAGTGCAGTGGTGAAATCTCGGCTCACTGCAACCTATGCCTCCCAGGTTCAAGTGATTCTCCTGTCTCAGCCTCCCAAGTAGCTGGGATTACAGGCATCTGCCACCACACTCAGCTAATTTTTGTATTTTTAGTAAAGACAGGATTTCCTCATGTTGGCCAGGCTGGTCTCCAACTCATGACCTCAGGTGATCCACCGGCCTTGGCATCCCAAAGTGCTGGGATTGCAGGCATGAGCCACTGGGCCTGGCCCAAAAATAATTATTTTGAAGCAAATTCCAGATGCCATATTTACTTGATATTCAGATTATATTTCCTAAAAAAAGAGAACACTTTAAAAAAAAAAACCACAATATCATTATCACACAAAAAATTAATAATCTCTCATATAACAATAATTTCTCAAATAATCAGTCAAAATCTAATTTCCCCTGTTGTTTTATAAACATATATACACATTATTTTATATACATACATACACATTTTATATACATCATTATATATACACATTATATACACAATACATATATATGTCTTTAATATATATTATCGATATTATTTTAAAGATTAAATAATATATAATATATATTATAGACATATATGTATGTATGTGCATGTGTATATAATGTGTATATACACGTTCCAGCCTGTCACCTAGGCTGGAATGCAATGGCACAGTCATTGCCTCCCTGCAACCTTGAATTCCTAAGCTCAAGTGTTGAGCAGCTGGGACTACAAGCACACACCACCACACCCAGCTAATTTCTTTGTATTTTTTGTAGAGATAGGATCTCACTATGTTGCCCAGGCTAGTATTTAATTCCTGGCCTCAAGAAATGGTCCTGCCTCAGCCTCCCAAAGTGCTGGGATTACAGGTGTAAGCCACCATGCCTGACTAGAATATTGTCTTTTTGAAATTCCTGATACACTAATGAATCTGGTCAATGATTATTAGTGACTGTTACCATCACAAAAAAGAGGCAATGAGACATGAAGTATCTTTGATGTGAGTATACACCACTACCTATGAAGTAGTCTTATCAAATAATTCAAAATTGAAATGTATTAGGTCTCCAGATCTAACTACCAATTTTCAGCAAATACAGGGACAGTGTGTTAAATTACATCATGGAGCTTCAATCAGCAAAATCTGGATGAAAAGAAACTCTGCAAGACACTGTCCTCATTTCTTCTTTAAAAAATTGCTCAGTAAAAAGGAAAGGAAGAGGAGTAACTTATAGATTAAAAGAAATTTACCAGCCGGGTGCTATGTAATCATGCCTGTAATCCCAGCACTTTGGGAGTTCAAAGCAGGCAGATCACTTGAGGCCTGGAGTTCAAGACCATCCTGGCCAACAAGCCGAAACCTGTCTCTACTAAAAATACAAAAAATTAGCCAGGCATCGTGGCATGTGCCTGTAATCCCAGCTACTCGGGAGGCTGAGGCAGGAGAATTGCTTGAATCCGGGAGGCGGAGGCTGCAGTGAGCTGAGATCACGCCACTGCACTCCTACCAGGGCCACAGAGTGAGACTCTGTCTCAAAAAAACAAAAAACAAAAAAAATTCAATTCTATGGATTTAGAATTGTTTGCTAGAATGCTTCCATAAAGAGAAACGTTCTTTTATCCACTTTGTGGATAAGGAAATATACGTGTATAGTGCATATGCATATGCACATATAAGGTATGGTTCAAATAAGAAAGGCAGAATAAATACTTGATAACTTCACTTCATTTACCAGCTTCCAAAAGAAGGAACTGGATCCCTAGCATTCTCCCAAGGTGACCGAAGGTTTGTAGTTGTGGTTTCTTCCAGTATCATTAAGAACTCACTAATATGAACATATTTGATGGCTTCAATCCGCTGCTATTATTACTCTTATTCTGATTGAATTACCCTACCTTTGGCAGGGAGAGTGTATTTAGTTTGGCTCCTGAGTCCTTCTGAGATGATCCTTCTGTTGTCATCGCTAACAGATGATCCTTGTGTCTGGTGTGGCAAGATGTTCCAGACTTATGTATACATTCCTGCCCCAAACCTAGAATTTAGGCAGTTTATTTCTTTAAGAGGCGCTGGTTTGTTTTTGTGCAAAATAGTATTTAGAGATGACAATCTGGGGGCTAAGGGTACTTATTGCTACTGAGTTGGTAACTGTTTCTAGACCTTTTTAGAGGACAGAACTATAAAAAGTGCTTTGTTTTTGAAGAAAATATGAGTTTATATCATATTTCTAATTCAAATTCTGGACTACAGAGTTCTTAGTTCATTGGTTTTACATGTGTAAACTCTCGTGTTAAAAAAAGAAATCTGTTTATAATTATTCATTTGTTTTATCCCATACAACACACAATAGTCTCCAAAGATGGTATCAACTACTATCAACAATATGATTACTGAAAACAGTTTAAATTTTTCCCAGCTTTTTGTCCTTAGGGTATATTTTACTAAGGATGTATAGTCAACTTTCTACATTTTTAAACTCTTGAGAACAGATACTGCACTTGATCTAACAGCGTAGATCAAGAACAGATACTAACTTTGAATCCCAGCTCTGCCCTTAACTTATGCCTCATAAAATCAGTTATAATAGTTCCTACCTTATAGATTTCTTGAGAGATTAAATGAGCTAATATATGTAAGTGCTTCAATCAGTTTTTAGCACATTTCAGGAGATAGAAAAGGCCAAGAAGCAATAAATTACTACATTTTACAGGTACTTGGAATCGTTAATTCTTTCTGTTTTATTCCAACCAGATAAAATATTTGGATTCATTTGTTTCATTTTATCTTCATATTTTGGAATTGCTTATTTTTAATTAATTTGGTTTTACAATTACATAAAATATTTATATGGTTCAAAAGACAAAAAGTCAAGTCAAAAAATGGTGCAAAGAAGTTCAGCTTCTTATCCCTGCCCCTACCCCAATTCTACTCCCTCTCTCTTCCTACAGGGATCCTTTTTATTAAATTTAATTTTATAGTTTATATATTTTAATATAAGGACATTTACATGTATATCTATGTATACATACACACATATATAAGGAAATATACATATATACATGTAAAGAAATGTTATATGTATTTTCTTATCCTTTTTTTTTTTTTTTGAGATGGAGTTTCACTCATTACCTAGGCCTGAGTGCAATGGCACGATCTCAGCTCACTGCAACCTCTGCCTTCTGGGTTCAAGCAATTCTCCTGCCTCAGCCTCCTGAGTACAGGCACATGCCCAGTTATTTTTGTATTTTTAGTAGGGATGGGGTTTCACCAACTTGGCCAGGCTAGTCTCGAACTCCTGACCTCAGGTGATCCGCCCGCCTCCGCCTCCCAAAGTGCTGGGATTACAGGCGTGAGCCACCGTGTCCAGCCCATGTATTTTCTATATATATATATGTGTATATATATGTATATAGACATATATTTCTTATATTAAGGAAATATACATGTATATATGTATATTTCTTTATATTAAGGAATATGCATATACATGTATTTTCCTTATAATAAAACATAAAAGAATATACATGTATATGCGTATACTTTAAGGAATGCACGTATGCATATATACATGTATGTTTACTTATATTAAAATATAAATACATATACACATAGAAACATATATACATACATATGTAATGTGATTTATGTCACACATATAAACATGATCCTTCCCTTTCTTGAATGAAAGCAGCATACCACACACTTTGCTTTTTTCACTCCCTGCTGGAAATCCTTCCCTATGCCATGTGGAGATCTTCCTCATTCCTTTTTAGTAGTCTGTCATGGGAACATGCCATAGCTCTCTTTCCGGGTTATTTCCAGTTTTTTGCTATTACAAACAGAGCTGCAATGCATGACCTTATGTGAATGACTTTTCATATTTTCAGGCTCTCTAGTGAATCGAATGTGCAACCGGGGTTGAGAACTTCTGATCTAGAGGGAAAGCAGGTTGTTAAGAGATCTAACTTGGAATCCCAGCTCTGCCCTTAACTTACATCTCATAAAATGTAAGTAACAGTAGTTCCTACCTTGTAGACTTGTTGAGAGGGTTAAATGAGCTAATATATGTTAAGTGTTTAAATCAGTTCTTAGCGCATTTTAGGAGATGCATATTGTTATTGTTATTATTGTTGTATTAGTCTGTTCTCATGCTGCTAATAAAGACATACCCAAGAATGAGTAATTTATAAAGGAAGGAGGTTTAATGGACTCACAGCTCCACACAGCTGGGGAGACCTCACAATCATGGTGGAAGGCGAAAGAGGAGTAAAATCACAACGTACATGGTGGCAGGCAAGAGAGCTTGTGCAGGGGAACTCTTATTTATAAAACCATCAGATCTCATGAGACTTATTCATTACCACAAGAGCAGGGTGGGGGAAGCTACCCCCATGATCTAATTATCTCCACCTGGCCCCATCCTTGACACGTGGAGATTATTACAATTCAAGATGAGCCAAACCATATCAGTTGTGAATCTTCAAATTTTTTCCTTTTTTCCTTCCTTCCTAGCTTCCTTCCTTCCTAGTTTCTTCCTTCCTAGCTTCCTTCCTTCCCTCCCTCCCTCCCTCCCTCCCTTCCTTCCTTCCTTTCCAGAGACAGGGTCGTGCCCTGTTGCCCAGGTTGGAGTGCAGTGGTGTGATCATAGCTCATTGCAGCCTCCACCTCCTGGTCTCAGTCGATCCTCCCACCTCAGCCCCCTAAAGGGCTGGGATTACAGGTGCACACCACCATGCACACCCCAAATTTCTTATCTAGCTTCCCTGTTTCAATGGTCCTAACTGCCTCGGGATGTTGGCACAACAAAATTAGATCATGATTGTGAAATTGCTTGAAATAGTTATCATCCCTGAAAATTTGGAGAAAGGGTGTTGTTTTCATCACCATGATTTTAGAGTGGCCTTTTAGGGTGGTGGGACTGTCATCTCTGGAACTGTCTATACAGTTTTCAGACTCAACTAAATCCGTGAGACAACCTGTCAATTCACTCCAACCACTAACTTCATTGATTTCTTTATTTTCTACTAAATTGACAGACTGAGTAAATTGACTAAATTGACTGGCTGTTTTGATATCATTTAGACCTAGCTCAAGTGGTGCTAATCATGAAGGGAGAAATCATTGTTATTGACATTGCAGCAATGATCAAAGACACGCTTAGTGTGGGCTGACAGAGGAGTGCTGGGATCTTACCATGGAACTAGCTTCATGCTTCACCACGCTAAGTTTCAGAGAACAAACTTTGCCCTATCTACTTTGCTGCCGTAGTAGAGGGGTGATTAGAATGGAGGGCAGATCAAGACAAAAAAACTTTGGAAAGAATCCATCCATACATAAGTGCACCAGCTACTCAAGAGACTGAAGCAGGAGAATCGCTTGAGGCCAGGAGTTCGACACCAGCCTGGGCAAAATGGCCAGCCCTCATGTCTCCAAAATATAAAATAACTAGCTGGGCATGGTGGTGCATGCCTGTAGTCCCTGCTACTCAGGAGGCTGAGGTTGGGAGACCACTTGAGACAAGAAGTTTGAGACCAGCCCGGGCAATATAGAAAGACCCCATCTCTACAAAGAAAAATTAAAAATTAGCTAGGTAAGATGACACATGCCTATTGTCCTGGCTACTCAGGAGGCTGAGGCAGGAGAATTGCTTAAGCCCAGGAGATCAAGGCTGCAGTGAGCCAAGATGGTGTCACTGCACTCCATCCTGGGCAACAGAGTGAGAATCTGCACCTAGAAAAAATAAAATAAAAATGTTTTAAAAGAATACGTAAGTGCATATTATTGGTGTGAGTCTATGTGCCAAATTCTGACTGTGTGGAAGAGCTAATGGAGCTGAAGTGACCCAGATACTCACTGTGGTAGGCTAAACAATGGCCCCAAAAGATCTCCCCATCCTAATCCCTGGAATCAATGAATGTTACTTTTCATAGCAAAAGGAGCTTTGAACATGTAGTTGGGTTTTTTTTTGTTGTTGTTGTTGTTTGTTTTGTTTTGTTTGTTTGTTTTTTGAGATCGGGTATCATTCTTATCACCCAGGCTGGAATGCAGTGGTGCGATCATGGCTCACTGCAACTGCCACCTCCCAGGTCCAAGCGAACCTCCTGCCTCAATCTCCCTAGTAGCTGGGATTACAGACACCTGCCACCACACCCAACTAATTTTTGTATTTTTAGTAGAGAAGGATTTCACCATGTTAGCCAGGGTGGTCTCGAACTCCTGACCTCAAGTGATCCACCAGCCTCGGCCTCCCAAAGTGCTGGGATTACAGATGTGAGCCACAGCACCTGGCCTAAAGATGTGACTAAGTTCAGGATCCTGAGATAGGGGATTACACTGGATATCTGGGTGGGTCTCATATAATCACAAGTGTCCTTTTTATTGGAGGGAGTCTTGGGGAGATCTGACTTACAGAAGAGGAGCAGGAGCTGTGAGGACACAAGCAAGGGGCTGAAGTGGTGTGAGGAAGGGGCCATGAGCCAAGCAGTGCAGGCAGATCCCAGAAGCTGGGAAAAGCAGGAAAATGAATTCTCTCCTAGAGCTTCCAGAAGGAGCTGGTCCTGCCAATACCTTGAATTTAGCCCTGCGAAACTTGTTTGATACTTCTGGCTTGCAGGACTCTAAGAGAATAGATTCATACTGTTTTAAGTCACCACGTTTGTGACAATTTCTTAGAAGCAGTAGTCAGGGTTCTATAGAGGGACATAACTAATAGGATATATATATGTCTGCAAGGTGAGGAGCAAGGAGAGCCAGTCTGCGTCCCCAAACTGAAGAACTTGGAGTCCAATGTTCAAGGGCAGGAAGCATCCAGCACGGGAGAAAGATGTAGGCTGGGAGGCTAGGCCAATCTTTTCTTTTCACATTTTTCTGCCTGCTTTATATTTGCTGGCAGCTGATTAGATGGTGCCCACCAGGTGAAGGGTGGGTCTGCCTTCCCCAGCCCACTGACTCAAATGTTAATCTCTTTTGGCAACACCCTCACAGACACACCCAGGATCAATAATTTGTACCCTTCAATCCAATCAAGTTGACACTCAGTATTAACCATCACACAGGAGTTCAGAGCTGCAGTGAGCTATGATCACGAAAGCCACTGTACTCCAGCGTGGGTGACACAGTGAGACCCTGACTCTAACAAATAAATTAAGGCTGTTTTCATTTTATGCCTTTTAGTATAAAGCCATCACCAAGTTCCAGGACAGCTGATCACTTTGGGAGTTCCCTGTGTTACCCACTACCTTCCTTGGGCTATTGTGCCAGTGGGTGACCTTATACCAGAAAGGGATAGCTGATTCTGGTCCCTCCTGCACCCCACAGTGGGAGAGATGAACTCTGCCTTGTGTACAGAGCAGATTGTCATGGAGGTGGCAGAGCAGGCCAGGGAATGGGGCAGGGACAGGGAGGCAGCGTTGGAAGCAGCTGCAGGCTCATTAGGGGCTCTTGGGTGAAATCTGGACCACCCCACTCCTAGCCATATGCTCAGCTGCAAACCACAGCTGCTTGCCAACGAATATTTCCTCTAAACAGCAGCTGCAGAGTCAACATACTCTCCAAGCTCTGGGGGCGACTTCTCTTGCTGCTCAGCCACTTGCTTTGAAGTCCAAATGAGAAGGCATCCTGTTGGCCAAGCATCAAGAAGAAGGAGTAGGGTTTTCAATCAGGCCAGTGCTTTTCTGTGATTGCACTGTAGAGGAATGAGGGGGAAAGAAATAGTGGATTCGCTGGGAAGGCACTGTCCTGTGTTGTTCCACATCCCAGAGGTCTTCTTGCCTTTACTCAACTACAAGCATTGCAATCTCTTATCTAAATACAGCTTCTCACCTGGGCATTCGAGATTCTCAACTATCTTGTCCCTACTAACTGCTCCAAGGATTTTTTCAATTCCTCCACTCAGTGGGCACTCATTGGCACCCAAGTATGCCACTGCATCAGAATGGCATACTTGGGGGTTTCATGATGGAAGTTTCATGTGAAAGCAGCTTTGACTATCTTTTCGGTGTTGTCTCCCAGTCCTCATATGTCTAGCACAGGGTGGGTACCGTAAATACTTATGAAGGGAAGAATGCCACTCACTCAATACCCGCTAGGTACTAAACACAGTGCTAGGCATTTATTGGTGTGAGATCCTAGCCAAAGTTTCTGTACCTCCTTGTGTCTGTAAGTCTGAAACGGAGGCAAATATACCATATATCATCAAGGACATCTTCAATCTTAAAAATATAGAACTCCAGCCTGGAAAACGTAGCAAAACTCCATCTCTACAAAATAAAAATGAAAATAATCAGCAGGGCATGGTAGTGCATGTCTGTAGGCCCAGACACTCAGGAGATTGAGGTGGGAGGATCACTTGAGCTTGGGAGTTTGAGGCTGCAGTAAGCTATGATTGTACCCCTGCACTCCAGCCAACGCAACAGAGCCAGGCCCTGTTTCCAAAATAAATAAATAAAAATATAAAATAATAGTACCTATATATCCAGACTTTAGGAACCTCCTAGAGAAAATTGGATTAATAATATGTTCAGAGAGTTGATGTGAGAATCAAATGAAACTATATATATATGGCACCAAGTTCAGTCCCTGACACAAAGTACAGTCCAAAATGCTAGCCATTATTATTATGTGGCTATTATTACAAAGATTAATAGAATGGCAATCAATGCTGGAGATAAACAAGTAAACAATTGCAGTCCAAACTGAAAGGCACCATCACAAAATTATGAACAAAGCCCTGTGTGGTCCCAGAGGCTCTATCTTAAAAATGTGTCTAGAGGCCAGGCGCAGTGGCTCACACCTGTAATCCCAGTACTTTGGGAGGCCGAGGCAGATGAATTACTTGAGGTCAGGGGTTCGAGACCAGCCTGGCCAACATGGTGAAACCCTGTCTCTAGTAAAAATGTAAAAATTAGCCAGGTGTGGTGGTGGGCGCCTGTAATCCCAGCTACTCAGGAGGCTGAGGCAGGAGAATTGCTTGAATTCATGAGGCAGAGGTTGCAGTGAGCCAAGATTGCACCACTGCACTCCAGCCTGGGTGACAGAGCAAGACTCCGTCTCAAAAAAAAAAAAAAAAAAAAAAATGTGTCTAGAGCCAGGATCTTTTTACACCATCCCCACCAGTAGCATTCTAGTACAAGTGACCTATGTTTCTTACTTAGATTATTTCAGTTGCCTCCTAACTTGTCTCCCAGCCCTAACAGCTGCCCTTTCCCTGTCCTATCACCTACAATCTATTCTCAGCACAGCAGCCCAGGATGTTGCTAGAACTTGAGTCTGCTCATATCTCCTCTGTTTAAAACTCTCCAGTAGCTCTCCATGTCACTCCAAGTAAACACCAGAATGACTACTATCGTCTCCTGCGAGAGTTAATTTTAGGTTAACTTGACTAGGTCATGTGGTGCCCAGACATTTGGTCCAACATTATTCTCGATGTGCTCATGAGGGTGTTTCCGCATGAGATGGACATTTGCGCTGGTACACTGAGTCAAGCAAATTGCCCTCCCTAATGTACATGGGCCTCCTGCAGCCAACAGAAGACCTGAATAGATGAAAAGGCTGACTGAGAAGGAATTCTTCCTGCCTGACTGCATGAGCTGGGACATCAGTCCTTTCCTTCATTCACGCTCGAACTGAAACATTGGGTCTTCGGGGGACTTGAGCCTGCCACTCTCAGAATGGAACTTACACCATCAGCTCTCCTGAGTCTCCTGCTTGACAATTGCAGATATTGGCATTTCTTAGCCTTCATAATCACATGAGCAAATTCCACATAATAAATGCCATTATCAACCTCTGTCTCCTTCTCTCTCTATATATATATACATATACATAACTTCATACATATATACAGAGCTGACCCTTGAATGATGCAAGGGTTAGGGGATTCAACTTCCCGTGCAGTCAAAAATCGCCTATAACTTTTTTTTTTTTTTTTTTTGAGACAGGGTCTCACTGTCACCCAGGCTGGAGTGCAGTGGTGCTATCTCAGCTCACTGCAACCTCCGCCTCTCAGGTTCAAGCGATTCTCCTGCCTCAGCCCCCCAAGTAGCTGGGACTACAGATGCATGCTGCATGCTAATTTTTGTATTTTTTGGTAGAGATGGGGTTTCGACCATGTTAGGCAAGCTGGTCTCAAACACCTGACCTCAAGTGATCCTCCTGCCTCAGACTGCCAAAGTGCTGGGATCACAGGTGTGAGCCACCACGCCCAGCCCAAAAATCTGTCTATAACTTTTTACTCCCCCAAAACTTCACTATTAATAACCTGCTATTGACCAGAAGCCTTACTGATAACATAGTCAATTAACACATAATTTGTATATTATATTACATACTATATTCTTACAATAACGTGAGCTGAAGAAAATATTATTAAGAAAATTATAAGGAAGAGATAATCTATTATCCATTAAGAAGTGGATCATCGTAAAGGTTTTATCCTCATCCTCATCGTCTTGGCATTGAGGAGGATAAGGGAGAGGAGGAAGAGAAGGGGTTGGTCTTGCTGTCTCAGGGTGGCAGAGGCAGAACAAGATGCACATATACGTGAAGCCATGTTAAACCCATGTTGCTCAATGGTCAACTCTGTGTGTGTGTGTGTGTGTGCGCACACGTGTGTCTCCTATTGGTTCTGTTTCTCCAGAGAACCCTGCCTAATACACCTACAAATTCTAGATGTATCACCTACACCACCATTACCTTTATTTTTGAGATGGAGTCTTGCTCTGTTGCCAAGGCTGGAGTGCAATGGCACCGTCTCAGCTCACTGCAACCTCCGCCTCCCGGGTTCAAGTGATTCTCCTGCCTCAGCCTCCCGAGTAGCTGGGATTACAGGTGCCCACCACTAGGCCCAGCTAATTTTTGTATTTTTAGTAGAGACAGGGTTTCACCATGTTTGCCAGGCTGCTCTCGAACTCCTGACTTCAGGTGATCCACCCACCTCAACTTCCCAAAATGCTGGGATTACAGGCATGAGTTACCGCGTCCAGTCCTGTTACTTTTCTTATCTCAACTCTTTCCATTTTTCCCTTGCTTGTTCTGTTCCAGCAGTTTAACTTGTTGTTCACTAAAGTAAACTTATTGTTTTCCAAAATGAGAAGCCCAGTGAAGCCTCCAGACCTCCGCGCCTCCCATGGCAGAGGGGCCAGTGTCATAGCAGAGGATTTAGTATGCTCTTTTCTCCCGTATCTAAGTGGCACCCACTCTCAACTCCTTCAGGCCCATGTCCAATCTCACGTGATTATGAAGCCTTCCTGGGCTCACCAATATGAAATGGTATACACACAGACACACAGACACATACACACATGCACACACACATATATACACACACACATGCACACACACATACGTGGACACACACACACATCTTTTTATTTTCTTTCCCTTAAAGTGCCATAACTTTCTCTATAGCATTTATCATTATCTGACATACTATATATTTACTTGTTTACTATTTGTTGTTGTTTTTGTTTTCGTTTTTGTTTTTTTGAGACGGAGTCTCGCTCAGTCTCCCAGGCTGGAGTGCAATGGCGTGATCTCGGCTCACTGCAAGCTCCGCCTTCCGGGTTCACGCCATTCTCCTGCCTCAGCCTCCGGAGTAGCTAGGACTACAGGCGCCCGCCACCACGCCCGGCTAATTTTTTGTATTTTTAGTAGAGACGGGGTTTCACCGTGTTAGCCAGTATGGTCTCGATCTCCTGACCTCGTGATCCGCCCATCTCGGCCTCCCAAAGTGCTGGGATTACAGGCGTGAGCCACCGCGCCCGGTGTACTTGTTTATTTAAGGTCTATCTGTTCCCTCTAACTAGAATATAAACACTTTGAGAGTAAGAACTTTGTCTTGCTCACTGCTGTGTTCTCAACATGTAAACTGGTTCTTGGTACAGAGTAAGTGCTCTGTATCTATTTGTTTCTGTTTTTGTTTTTGAGATGGAGTCTCAATCTGTCACCCAGGCTGGAGTGCAGTGGTGCAATCTCGGCTCACTGCAACCTCCACCTCCCGGGTTCAAGGAATTTTCCCTGTCTCAGCCTCTTGAGTAGCTGGGACTACAGGTGCCCGCCACCACCCCCAGGTAATTTTTGTATTTTTTACTAGAGACAGGGTTTCGCCATGTTGGCCAGGCTGGTCTTGAACTGCTGACCTCAGGTGACCTGCCCACCTCAGCCTCCCAAAGTGCTGGGATTACAGGCGTGAGCCACCAGGCACAATGGCTCATACACGTAAGCCCAGTGCTTTGGGAGGTCAAGGTGGAAGGATCACTTGAGGCCAGGAGTTTGAGACTAGCCTGGGCAACATAGCAAGACCCTGTGTCTAAAAATAAATACAAAAAAATATTAACCAGGCATGATGGTGCATGCCTGTAATCCCAGCTACTCTGGTGGCTGAGGTGGGAAGATGGCTTGAGCCCAGGAGTTCAAGGTTGAAATGAGCTATGGTCTACACCACCACAATCCATCCAGGGTGACAGAGTGAGAATCTGTCTCTATTAAAAAAAAAAAAAAATTAAGCAGCAACGAATTTAGGGTTTTGCCCTCCAACAAGGACCTGGATTACAGACACTCTACACTGCTGATGAAGGGCTGATCTTTATGCTTTAACAGCCAGCAAAGCACAGAGTATGTATGACATCCTCATCTATAAATTAAAGAGCCCAACAAGGATATAAGCTTGAGGTAAGAGAAGTGAGTAGCTCCATGCAGGGCCAAGATTTTCCTCAGAAAACAGCCCTGGGTCTGTTCCAACACTGAGATAAATTGGAGACAGAAGCCCTCAAGTCAATGCCAACGAGAACAGCTGCAATATTTTTAGTTGGAAATAACCCACCAGAGCCATCCTATCTCAATGAAGAAATCAAACACAGAAGGTCTCGTTTTTAAGCAGTGTGACATCCTGGTAAAACCTGCAAGAAAAGCTGGTAGTGAAATATTGCCCCCGGTAAGTGAATGAGTTGTCTTTGCTATAAATGGTTGTCAAAAGAAAGAAGTTGCGAAGGTTAAAGTTGTAATGTACATCTTGATCAGGAGGCAAGAAGAAACAAAGAGACTGGAGGCTGGACCTTGAGAGAGCTGGCTCTAGTCTACACTGGGATCGTAGCCAAATGGGAAACCAGGTACTTGCTAATTGTCCTCGCCCATGAAATGGGGCTATTCAATACCCTACCCTACTCCATAGGGTAGCCACGTGAGTCAAATGACGCAAAGTTTGCTGAAGTATCTTAAAAAATTGTAGGCCAGTCACCGTGGCTCATGCCTATAGCCCCAGCACTTTGGGAGGCTGAGGCAGGAGGATCACTTGAGGCCACAAGTTCGAGACCAGCTTGGGCAGCAAAGCAAGACCCTTTCGCTAAAAAAAAAATTTTAAGTTAGCTGTATGTGGTGACTTGCATCTGTATTTCCAGCCACTAGAGAGGCCAAGCCAGGAGGATCGCTTGAGCCCAGGAGTTTGAGGCTGCAGTGAGCTATGATGGTGCTCCAGCCTGAGTGACAGAGTGAGACCTTGTCTTCAAAAATTAATATTAAAAAAATGGTAAGCCCTGGCCAGGCACAGTGGCTCACGCCTGTAATCCCAGCACTTTGGGAGGCTGAGGCGGGCAGATCACGAGGTCAAGAGATCGATACCCTCCTGGCCAACATGGTGAAACCCCGTCTCTACTAAAAATACAAAAATTAGCCAGGTGTAGTGGCACGCACTTGTAGTCCCAGCTACTCAAGAAGCTGAGGCAGGAGAATCGCTTGAACCCGGGAGGCGGAGATTGCAGTGAGCTGAGATCACGCCACTGCACTGCTTTCTGGGGAATAAGCCTAACTAATGCTGTTTGTAGGACACATCTTACATATCTCAGCTATGAAGGTGCTTCCTTCCTCCCTGTCTCTCCTGCCCATCTCAGCTCTGTTACAATCAACAGTGTATCTAACACACTGGACGTGAACACCAAGATCTTGCCTCTTTGGCAAGCCACCTCTTAAGGTCTTATTGACAGTCATAATCAGCTGTTACTAATGAAAAAAGTCATATATGTGGGGGTTGGGCGTGGTGGCTCACGCCTGTAATCCCAGCACTTTGGGAGGCCGAGGCAGGCAGATCATTTGAGGTCAGAGGTTTGAGACCAGCCTGGCCGACATGGTGAAACCCTGTCTCTACTAAAAATAAAAATTAAAAAAAAAAATTATATGTGATTGAAATGACCTATGTTCAAGGCTATTCATCACGGCATTCTTTATAACAACAACAAAAAAAGATTGAAAATAGCTTAAGTGTTTTCTTTAAATAAATTAAGATACCTCCAAAGAATGGAACAATTCCTAAACTATAGGAATCTCTGTATGTCCTTATAAGGCATTACTACCAAAACATATTAAGTTTTTTTTAATGAACAGAATGGCATGCATATACGTAGGCTACTATTTATATAAATAAGGAAGAGAAAAAGAAGATATACGTGTAGGGTTTTTTGCTTGGATATGCATAGAATATCTTTGGAAGTAAACTCATTATATTAGTAATATTAGTTGCTTCCAAGGAGAAGAAATAGGCAATTGATGAATAAATGAATGACTGGTTGGGTGGAAGACAGATGTGGACATTAACTTTTTTTTTTTTTTTTTGCGACAGAGTCTTGCTCTGTCACTCAGGCTGGAGTACAGTGGCACAATTTTGGCTTACTGCATCCTCCACCTCTCAGACTCAAGGGATTCTCCTGCCTCAGCCACCCAAGTAGCTGGGATTACAGGAGCCCACCATCACATCCAGCTAATTTTTGTATTTTTGGGAAAAATAGGGTTTCACCATGTTGGCCAGGCTGGTCTCGAACTCCTGGGCTCAAGTGATCCGCCCACCTTGGCCTCCCAAAGTGCTGGGATTACAGGTGTGAGCCACCACACCTGGCTGACAATAGACTTTTCACTATATATCTTTATACCTTTTGGATTTTGTCCCACAGGAACACATTACCTAAATAAACTAAATTAAAAATAAAAAGACAAAACACATTAGACATGCTCACTGTAGAAAAATTTCAAAATACAGCAAAATATAGAGAATTAATAAGTATAATTCTATAGTTTCATAACTGAAAATAACCATTAATAATGTTTGATGTATTTCTTTCTAGTTGATTTTTTTGCAATTTTTATGTAACTAAGACCGCATGGTATGTAGATTTTTATAATCTACCCTAAAAACAATATCATCAGCATTTTCCCACATCACTAAATGTTAACAGAGTGATTATTTTAATGAACGACTTTGAGTCTATCATATCACTGCACCACGGTTTAACTAATATCCTTGAACATTTAAGCAGTTTCCCATTTTTTATATAATCATCTTCAGGCATTGATCTTGGTCTGCGACTCTGACTATATCCTTAAGCTGAATTCCTAAAAATAGACTTACTGGTTCAAAGGGTATAATTTTTTGTTGTTGTTTCTTGATACACATTGCCAGATTCCCTTCAGAAATCTTGTACTAATTGATAATCCTATCAGCAATGTATGAAAGCCCCCTTTGTGATATAACCCAGAGCTGTTTTGATATCACAGTAGGATGTCCAGAACTCTAGCCATTCTGCAGCTCCAGATGAAAACCAATCAGATGGATAGCCACTATGAGAGCCTGCAGGTGTAAATTACACAACTTTGCTAATTGCCTTGTAAAAACACCTTTTCTGGATTCCTGAGAAAGGTATCCCGAATCTGTAGGTACTGAAAGCACTATTATCACTAAAAATAACACTGTCCCAAGTATCCTGAGAGATACTTTGTCCCTGGCCTGAGAGAAATCTCTGTCATAAAGCAATTTTCTCTACTTACAATTAAACACACCAGGCTTTAAATTCTACCAAACAACTGTGCTGCAAGAAAATACCAACCCTGCATGGCCTTCTTGATTTAAGAAGCAAGACTTGGCTGGGCGCTGTGGCTCATGCCTGTAATCCCAGCACTTTGGGAGGCTGAGGTGGGTGGATTACTTGAGGCCAGGAGTTCGAGACCAGCCTGGCCAACATGGTGAAACCCCATCTCTACTAAAAATATAAAAATTAGCCAGGTGCAATGGCAGATGCCTGTAATCCTAGCTACTTGGGAGGCTGAGGCAGGAGAATTGCTTGAACCTGGGCGGCAGAGGTTGCAGTGAGCCGAGACCACACCACTGCACTCCAGCCTGGGTGACAGAGCAAGACTCTGTCTCAAAGAAAAAAAAAGAAGCAAGACTTTTGGTGTGAACATGGCTAAATAAATAAGTAGCCTCTTCCCCTTTACCTCATTTTACCCCCTTTTCACCTTAGAAATCACACAAAAGCAAAAGGAAAATTATAAACCACACTGATATGGTTTGGCTTTGTGTCCCTACCCAAATCTCATCTTGAATTGTAATCCCCATAATCCCCATGTGTCAAAGGCAGGACCTGGTGGGAGGTGACTGGATCATGGGGGAGGTTTCCCTCATGCTGTTCTTGTGATAGTGAGTGAGTTCTCACTAGATCTGATGGTTTTATAAGTGTTTGACTTTGTCTCCTACACACACTCTCTCTCTTGCTGCCTTGTGAAGAAGTGCCTGCTTCTCCCCTTCCGCCATGACTGTAAATTTCCTGAGACCTCCCCAGCCACGTGGAACTGTCAGTCTGTTAAACCTCTTTCCTTTATAAATTACCCCATCTTAGGTAGTATCTTTACAGCAGTGTGAAAACGGACTAATATATACTCAAATCATTGTTTCCGTGGAATTTGGAGACAGATATATTCCAGATTTCAAAGTACATGGAAGGGGCCTGCTGGGGTTGAATAGAGTTTGTTTTGTCACCTCCAAATCTCATGTTGAAAATTGAAAATTGATCCCCAGTGTTGGAGGTGGGGCCTTGGGGGAGGTCCTGGGGTCCCGGGGAAAGAGCCATCATGAATGTCTTGGAGCCATTCATTCAAGAGTGAGTTCTCACTCTTAGCTCCTGTTAGAATTGGTTGTTGAAAAGAACCTGTCACCTCCTCCTTCTCTCTCTCTGGCTTCCTCTCTCACCATGTGATCAGCACACATTCCCCTTTACCTTCCACCATGAGTGGAAACTTCCTGAGGCCCTGATCAGTAGCAGCTGCTGGCACCATGCTCCTTGTATAGCCTACAGAACTGTGAGCCAAACAAACTTCTTCTCTTTATAAGTTACCCAGCCTCAGTTATTCCTTTTTTTTTTTTTTAATTTTTTTTAGAGACAGGGTCTTGCTCTGTTGCCCAGGCAGGAGTACCTTGTTGCAATCATAGCTCATTGCAGCCTCCAACTCCTGGGCTCAAGAGACCCTTCTGCCTCAGTCTCCTGAGTAGCTAGGACTACAAGGATTTATGCCTCCATGCCCAGCTAATTTTTTCATTTTTAGTAGATGTGGGGGTCTCACTTTGTTGCCCAGGTTGGTCTCGAACTCCTGGCCTCAAGCAATCCTCCCACCTCAGCCTCCCAAAGTGTTAGGATTATAGGAATGAGCCACTGTACCTGGCCAGATATTCCTTTATAGCAACACAAATGGACTAAGACAGGGCACGCAAATTGGCTGAGATTGAACTGAAATTCAAGTGATGGAAGTGAAGAGTGAAAGCACTAAGGGTGACATGAAGGCCCTAGGGGGACAAATCTCAGAAAGCACCAGAAAATGCCCTGGACTGACAGTAAGTGCACATCCTAAAGAGAAACTTCTGGCCGGGTGTGGTGGCTCATACCTATAATCCCAGCACTGTAGGAGGCTGAAGCAGGAGGATTCCTTGAGCCCAAGAATTTGAGACAAGCCTGGGCAACATAGCAAGTCCCCCATCTCTACAAAAAAAAAAAAAAATCTGTAAAAATTAGTCTGGTGTGGTGACTGATACATGTGGTTCCCACCTACTGGGAAGGCTGAGGTAGGAGGATTGCTTGAGCCCAGGAGGTTGAGGTTGCAGTGAGCTGTAATTGCAACCACTGCACTCTAGACTGGATGACAAAACAAAACCCTGTATCAAAAAAAAAAAAAAAAAAAAAAGGCCAGGCATGGTGGCTCAGGCCTATAATCCCAGCACGTCGGGAGCCTGAGGTGGGCGTATCACCTGAGGTCAGGAGTTCGAAACCAGCCTGGCCAACATGGTGAAACTCTTTGTCTACTAAAAATACAAAAATTAGCCACGCACAGTGGGGGGTGCCTGTAATCCCAGCTACTTAGGAGGCTGAGGCAGGAGAGTTGCTTGAACCCAGGAGGTGGAGGTTATAGTGAGCCGAGATTGTACCAGTGCACTCCAGCCTGGGTGACAGAGCAAGACTCTGTCAAAAAAAAAAAAAAAAAGAAGAGGAAGAAAAGGAAAAGGAAGAGCAAAATCTATGTTTAAAGAAACTGGTGAACAGAGCTGTTGACTTATGGCCTCTGGGGTTCACAGTGGCAGAGGAAGAGGGAGGGCGCACAGAGAATCACAGAATGAGCCAGGTTTACAGGCAGCAGTTTGTCTCTGCAGAGCAGAGGAGGAAGCTCAGGAGGCTCCCTGGCCCCTTCCTGCACAGCATCTTCCAGCAATTAGCTGGCTCAGGAAATCCAACCCATACCATGATAAATAATAATAACAACAGTCTTGGTGCAGTGGCTCATGCCTGTAATCCCAGCACTTTGGGATGCCAAGGCGAGCAGACCACTTGAGGCCAGGAGTTGAAGACCAGCCTGGCCAACATGGCAAAACCACATCTCTACTAAAAATACAAAAATTAGCTGGGTGTGGTGGCACATGCCTGTTACAGGCTACTGAGGACAGAACTGCCTGAACCTAGGAGACGGAGGTTGCAGTGAGCCGAGATCCACACCCCTGCACTTCATATTGGGCAACAGAGCAAGACTGTGTCTCAAAAAAAAAATGATAATAATAATAGTATCATGATTATTCACTATGGGAATAGGAATAATAAAGACATATAATATTATATAATATAAAACACAACAACAGTAATAATATAGATCATTGATTCAGCACCAATGCAGATTTTCTATAAGAAAAAATGTAGGGGGAAAAAGCAGCAAAATTATCAATTTCCAAAACTTCTTAATGAAATGTGGCTGGCAAAACTCAGGAAAGAAGTAAAGAAAATAAAATAAACATCACAGAAATGAAAACAAAATCTGAAGGTGCAAAAGGGAGAAGAGATACTGCAGAAAATAGAGAAAGGCATACTAGAGATAGGCATACAAAACTTCAATGAAAGAATGTAAAATATTACAGAGTTATAGAACATGAGGGATAAAATTGCAAATGTAAAAGACAGGCAAAGGAGATCCAATATTAAACTCCCTTTAAAAATATGGAATGTAAAATAAAATGAGCCAAAGCAATGAAGGAAAACAAATGTTTAACAAATACAATTCAAGAAAACTTTCCTGAAATAAAAGGCTTGACTCTACAAATTAAAAGGGAATACCATGATCATGGAAATTGACCCAGAATAGTCAACATTGATACATCTCCGTGTAAAGCTGCTGAACTTCATACATAAAGAAGCCTTTGAGTGGCATTTAAAAGTTCACTGACAGGAGCAAAAGATCAGGTTGGCTTCAGTTTTTTCCACGGCAACATTCAACACTTGAAGACAGTGGAGAAATGCCCGAAAATCACAGCCAAGAATTTTCTATTTAGCCAAATTATCCTTCAAGTATAATGACTATGAATGGTTTTGAGCCTACAAAAACTCAAGGAGCTATAGAGTGAAGACTGAAACACATACATGCATTTGGATGACAGAAGAGAATATGAGTGATATCAGCCCTGACAATCTAGAAGTGATACAGCTAACAAAAAATAATGGACAAGAGAAGGCAAAGAAGGAAGGAGACATAGTGTAGGAATTTTCTGTTCACTTCCTCTAGGATAGATGAGAGTCACAGAATATTATTTAAAGCTGACAAATCAAGGAATCAAGGTGTACTAGATGTAATAAAAGCCTACTGACAGTTCAAATGTAAATTGCAAGAAAAATAATGCTATTGACTAAATTCAGAAAACTAACAAGAGGGAAGGAAAGAAGGAAGAACACAGAAACATATCAGGTTTTTAAGTTTATAACTGTTCAGCCTAGGAAACAATTAGACACTGTAAAGAAATAGAAACTGTGATTATATAAAGTTACAATTAATTTTATGAGGTAGTGACTAGAATAAAAATACCAACCTTCCTGCATATCAGAAGAATTACACACACACAGAGCAAAGATCACAGTGAAATACTTTTTAAAAAGAAACTATAAAAAGAGTGCAATATGAGAAAAACCCAAGCATACATATCAGTATGGAAACAAACCTCAATCATTAATAAAAGTAAGAGAATTTTAAATCCTATCACATAACAAATCCAAACTCCATGCTGTATAAAAGAGACATATGTAGAACAAAGCAATCCAAAATAAAATATAAACGACTAGGCAAACGTATACCAGGCAAATCCAAGCAAAATGAAAGTAAGGTTTATATTAATATTAGACAAGATGAAATTGAGATAAAAAAAAACATTGAATGACACAAAAAAGGGCATTTGTAATGCTAAAGGGTACCATTCACAATTAAGATATAAGTTATGAATATTTATATATCTGATTACACAGCAGCAATATTCTCAAGGCAGAAATTACCTAGATATATAGAAAAATAAACAAAAACCTGCCAGCTACAGAAGACTAATTCAGTTCCCTTGGTTTATACTACTGCAAGTTGACAAAACATAACATAAATCTCTAGTCCTCTTCATCCAGCAATGCCAGGTGGGATATAGCCTTCAGATATACACAGGCACGTCCACAATGACATGGACATGAGCCTTATTTCAGCATTACAGTCATGCACTGCACAATGACATTCTGTCAACAACAGACCGCATATACAACAGTGCTCCCACAAAATTATAATACTGTGTTTTTATTATGTTTTATCTATGTTTAGAAACACAAAGCTTATTATTGTGTCATAATTGCCTATAGTATTCAGTACAGTCACTTGCTGAACAGGTGTGCAGCCTAGGGGCAATAGGCTAGACCATATAACCTAGGTGTGTGGTAGGCTAGACCATCTAGGTTTGTGTAAGTGCACTCTGTGATGTCAGCACCATGAAATTGCTTAACAGTGCATTTCCCAGAATGCATCCCCATCTTTAAGCAATGCATGACTATTTGTAAAAGGATGACTTTCCTGTTTGCCAAGAGAGGACTGGTGAAATAAATTATAGGATAGCAATTCAATGTGCTGTACCAAAAAGAAAAAGAAAGCAAAAAGAATGAAGATCTCCATGTACTGATGTGAAAAGCACCAACATATGTTTATTTTCCGTTTAAAAGAAACAGCAATGCACTTAACAGAGAAGTACACTACCTTCTATGCAAAGGAGACAAATAAGAATATAAATTCACATTTGCCACAAGAAGATATGGAGGAAATTTTAATGCATATTACTAAATGAGAAAGAAACCAATCTGTAAAGACTACACATTGTACCATCCCAAGTATGTGGCATTCTGGAAAAGGTGACAGGAAAAAGATCAGTGGTTGGTTGCTAGAAGTTGGGGGAGGGGAATATGGGGGCAGGGGATGGAGGATTTTTAGGGGCAGTGAAACTTTTTATTTTTATTTTTATTTATTTATTTATTTGAGACAGAGTTTTGCTCTTGTTGCCCAGGCTGGGGTGCAGTGGTGCAATCTCGGCTCACTGCAACCTCTGCCTCCCAGGTTCAGGCAATTCTCCTGCCTCAGCCTCCCAAAGTGCTGGGATTATAGATTATAGGCGTGAACTACCATGCCGAGCTTTTTTTATTTTTTATTTTTTTGATACAGGATTTTTAGTAGAGACGGGGTTTCACTATGTTAGCCTGGATGGTCTCGATCTCCTGACCTCGTGATCCGCCCACCTCGGCCTCCCAAAGTGCTGGGATTACAGGCGTGAGCCACCGCACCCGGCAGCCAGTTTTTGTTAGAATTTATGTTGAGCCAAATACTACCTTGTGCTTTGTACCCTAATTCAGAGCTGTGCAGATATATTTCAACAATTTTTTACCAAATAGCTTTCAAATATGTGAAGACATCTACTATTACTCCTGTTGGACTTCTGCTCAACAGGCTAAATACTTTCAACTGTTCCTCATGTAAAATGGTGCCATGTCATCTGACTACCTTCGTTGTTTTGGTATCTAGTTGTCTTGTTCACAATTATGCACTGCCACTTGCCAGAAAGGAAATGGTGCATTCTGATCCACTGCCATGTGACTAGTCTGAGCTTGACCACGTCACATCCAAATAGAAATTCTAAATGCAATTGCAGGGTTCTTCTCAGACCACTTGCTCTTCCCCTCTGTCAGAAGTATGGGCAGGCCAGGTGCAGTGGCTCATGCCTGTAATCCCAGCACTTTGGGAGGGCAAGGTGGGAGGATTGCTTGAGGCCAGGAGTTCGAGACCAGCCTGGGCAGCATAGCGAAGCCCCATCTCTACAAAAAAAATTTTAAATGGCTGAGCATGGTGGTGTGCACCTACAGTACCAATTACTCGGGAGGCTGAGGCAGGAGGATCGTTTGAGCCCAGGAGTTCAAGGCTGCAGTGAGCTGTGATTGCATCACTGCACTCCAGCCTGAGTGACAGTGCAAGACTGTCTCAAAAATAACCAAGTATGGACACATCCCACATTGAGGCTACTCCTGCAGCCTGGATCCCAGAGTGATTTGTTATATAGCACAGAGACCTGATGAGCCACAGCAGAAACCCACCTAAAACATGGCCAAAAATTACTATTTCTGTTGGCCAGTGAGATTTGAGGTTTGTTGCATGGCAAATTGTTCAATACAGAAATAATCCACATGTACAAATTTTGGGAAATGTTGGGTTTTTACTGTCTTTCTCATTGTCAAGAGATTTTCTCCATATTAAACTTTACAATGCAATACTTAATTTCATTTATTGATTTCACAAATATTTATCTAGCAGTTACTATATGCCAAGAACGATGCAAAGCAATTTGCAAAAATTAATTAGCTGAATCATCATAAAACCTCCTAAGGCAGGTTCCCTTATTGTGTCCATTTCACTGATGTGGAAACTGAGACAGAGAGAGGTCAAGGTCACACAGCAGGTAAGCAGCAGTGTCAGAGGTCAAACCTACATAGTGTGGCCCTAGAGTCCATGTCTTCAACCACTACACTATGCAATGATCATGACCATTAACATTTATTGACTATAATCTATACTTAGCATGATCAATCGTATTTGATGCTCGTAACTCCAAGAAATGAGGGGAGGAATTTACACTCAGAGATGTAAAGTTACTTGCCCAATGTCACACAGTGACCTGGATGGCAACAAAGTCCATGCTGTATCCAAAAGAAAAAAAAAAAAAAAAAAGAAACCAAGCTGGGTGCGGTGGCTCACGCCTGTAATCCCAACACTTTGGGAGGCCGAGATGGGTGGATCACCTGAGGTCAGGAGTTCTAGACCAGCCTGGCTAACACAGTGAAACCCCATCTCTATTAAAAATACAAAAAATTAGCCAGGCATGGTGGCAGGCACCTGTAATCCCAGTTACTTTGGTGGCTGAGGCAGGAGAATCACTTGAACCCGGGAGGTGGCAATGGCAGTGAGCTGAGATCACGCCATTGCACTCCAGCCTGGGCAACAAGAGTGAAACTCCATCTCAATAAATAAATAAATAAATAAAATTTAAAAAATTTAAAAAAGAAACCTCCAAATACTAATATAATCCATCAGTTTAATTCTTCCTATTTAAATCTGATGGGCAGAGATGTATCAACTGAGTCTTCACCGCCACTCTGTTTCCAAGAATTTGTTCATGCTCACCACCATCACTATCCTTAATAAATGTTTCCTGGATGTCTACTTTATGGGAGGCATTGTCCAAAGCTCCCATGCCCCAGTTAAGACTGGAGGAATTGGCTCAATCTAACTAGGTCTTGATGTGGTGAAAGGTGAAATAAACAAACACCCCTGTGGATAGAGGAGCATCCGGCACCGTGGTCAGGTAGCTCTCACTTGCAGACGACAGTTTTCACAAGATTGCATAGCAACCAGCTGCCCTAGAAAGTGGCAGGAACAGAAAACACAATATTCCCATCCTCCTCTTGTTTCATTATCACCAGGGAGGGGGTCAGCATGAAAGGAGCAGTGTGAAATGGACAATTCACACACCTTCCATGTTTCTCAACAATGTCAGTCCCTGCTGTTGCCACGGCCGCTATGGTCTTCTCACAACAAGAAGAGTATTAGACATGGACCAGCAGGAAAGCACACGTTCACAGGCACGTGCCCATGCTCACAAACACACACATGTGTGCATGCACACATGCACACTCCCTACACCCCTTCTCCACGCCCAAAAGGTGTCAGGGAATCTGGAGAAAAGAGAGAGATGGTGAGCTTTTGAAGAAGGTCTCCTCTTTTCTTTTCTGGGAGCCTTCAGAAGACCATCTTCTTTAAGTCCTCTTACAGCAGTGGTCGCCAAACATTTTGGCACCAGGGACCAGTTTTGTGGAAGGCCATTATTCCATGGATGGTTGCGGAGAGGATTAGATTCTCACTATGAGTCTCTGGCATGGCTTTCCTGCATGTCACATGTTATCAGGAGTACTGAAGACAGGAAGATAATGCCAGTCTTGGTCAATACTGCACAGCAGCAGTCCCCAACCTTTTTTTTTGGCACCAGGAAGCAGTTTTGTGGAAGACAATTTTTCCACAGACTGGGTTGGCAGGAATGGTTTTGAGGTGATTCAAGTGCATTACATTTATTGTGCACTTTATTTCTATTATTATTTATTTATTTATTTGAGACAGAGTCTTACTCTGTTACCCAGGCTGGAGTGCACTGGTGTGATCTCAGCTCACTACAACCTTCCGCCTCCTGATTTCAAGTGATTCTCTGCCTCAGCTTCCCGAGTAGCTGGGACTATAGGTGCCGGCCACCAGGCCCAGCTAATTTTTGTATTTTTTTTTTTTTAGTAGAGACAGGGTTTCACCATCTTGGCCAAGCTGGTCTTGAATCCTGACCTCAGGTGATCCACTCACCTCGGCCTCCCAAAGTGCTGGGATTGCAGGAATGAGCCACTGTGCTTGGCCCTATTATTATTACATTGTAATATATAATAAAATAATTATACAACTCACCATCATGTAGAATCAGTGGGAACCCTGAGTTTGTTTTCCTGCAACTAGATGGTCCCATCTGGGGGTGATGGGAGACAGTGACAGATCATCAGGCATTAGATTCTCATAAGGAGTGCACAACCTAGATCCCTCGTATGCACAGTTCACAATAGGGTTTATGCTCCTATGAGAATCTAATGCTGCCACTGATCTGACAGGAGGTGGAGCTCAGGTGGTAATGTGAGCAATGGGGAGTGGCTGTAAATACAGATGAAGCTTTGCTCACTTGCCCACCGCTCACCTCCTGCTGTGCGGCCTGGCTCCTAGCAAGCCATGGGCTGGTATCTGTCCACAGCCCAGAGGTGGGGACCCCTGTCTCACAGCACAAGGTAACAGACCAGTGGCTCCAGCGGAATCTTTGTCCAGTTTCTTCCTTCACTGTCAAACAGACTACTTCTGGAATACAGAGGTCTGAGGGCCCTTGAGGTCTCATCTGGTACACCTTGAGGCAGGGCACAGCCAGTGATGATACGGGCTTTCCTTCATCCCTGCCCACCCAGCCCTCCTGGAGCCTCCTGGTACCAGGAGAAAGTTCAGTCCCTCTCGGACATTTGAGAGACTCTTGCCTTTAAATGGGGAGAATTAAGGAGCTCTACTTTCATATTCTGAGCATTTGGATGTCAGTTAATTCTTCTCTAATCATGTGGCCTAATTCTCAAAAATGAGCTTTGTCCCCACTGACACCCATACCCCAGCCTCTGGCCATCTGGACCTTGTTTTGATGAACTACTCCCTGGTGATAAACACCTATTCCTCCAGGACAAAGAGACACCATGCTTTGGGGTTGTTGTTTGTTTGCTTGTTTGTTTGTTTGTGGTAGAGACAGAGTCTCGCTCTGTCACCCAGGCTGGAGTGCAGTGATGTAATCATAGCTCACTGCAGCCTCAAACTCTTGGGCTCAAGCGATTCTCTTGCATCAGCCTCCCAAATAGCAGTGACTGCAGGTGCATGCCACAATGCCTGGCTAATTTTGGGGGTGGGTTTGGTAGAGATGGGGTCTCACTATGTTGCCCAGGCTGGTCTTGAACTCCTAGGCTCAAGCAACCCTCTCACCTTGGCCTCCCAAGTAGCTGGGATTACAGGTGGGAGTCACTATGCCTGGCCAATCATCATGCTTTTGCTAGGCTTCCTTTTCAAGGTCAAGTCTCCCGTCATACAAATCCAGCTCTAAGCTTGAGCCTGGCTTTCTACGTTAATGCCACCAAATGTCTCATCTACCTCACTGATCTTCAACATAGCCCACCACCATTTTTTCGGGGGCCCTGATTACTTCTTGCTGAATCAGTCATTTCCTGTCAGTCATGCTTCATTTTATTTGATCCTATTATAACACATTTCTTACTGTAATAGAGTTTGGGGGTTACAAATCCCCCACCAGCCCCTCCAGTCCTTTTGGGCAAGTACCACATAGGTAGTGCATCTTATTCATCTGTGTATCCATAGCAACCGGCCCCCAGAGAAAGCCCTCAGCTAGTAGTTGCTGAACGAACACCTCTCACCAGCCATGGCAGTCTGGCATTCTCAGCTGGGTGACCAAGATTCAAAGGGCTAGGAAGCTCAGGTCAGCCCAAGAGAGTTACCGTCAAGAAGCTAAAAGACACACTGCCTCACAAGCCCAGTTGAGATTTTGCCTTTTTCCGTCTCTGTTGCTATGGGAATAGAGCTCCCCATATGTGGCAGAATCATATAAGTAGAGTATTTCTTCCAAGTAGCATCTCTGAGTGGAATTCCCATTGCAAGGATTCAGGCTTTCCCTCCCAGGAAGCTTTAGATGCCATTTAGATCCTCTGGGATTCAGAGGATCGTAGAGTCTGAAGAGAGAGCAGAGAAGACCACCTCCCTGTTCTCTTTAACCACCCCCAACCCCACATCCCATCTTTCATTATCTCTCTCTTCCTTCCTCTCCAGCCCAAATGTTCAGCAAGCCAAGTGGCCTCTCAAGATCTTCTTATAAAGATAGACCTCTGGCCAGCCACAGTGGCTCATGCCCGTAATCCCAGCACTTTGGGAGGCTAAAGAGGAAGACCATTTGAGTCCAGGAGTTTGAGACCAACTTGGGCAACATAGCAAGATCCCATCTCTATTGGAAAAAAAAAAACAGTCAAAACAAAACAAAACAGAAAGATAGACCTCTGATCTGTGCAAAGTCGAGTAACAAAATTACGTCCACATCAAGGGAACATCTGAAGCAATTTTATCTGCTCTGTAACCACAATGGAGTCAATATAACTTAAAGGGAAAAAAATGACCTAGATGAGGGATATCCTTAAGGAAGAAAGGATGCAAGCATTTATTAAGCACCTACTTTATATTGGTGCATAATATGGTTTGGTTCTGTGTCCCCACCAAAATCTCATCTCGAACTGTAATCCCCATAATCCCCACGTGTCAAGGGCAGGACCTGGTGGGAGGTGATTAGATCACGGGGGCAGTTTCCTCCGTGATGTTCTCTTGATAGCGAATGAGTTCTCACAAGATCTGATGGTTTTATTTTATGAGTGTTTGACATTTCCTCCTAACACACACTATCTCTCTTGCCTGCCACCACGTAAGACATTCCTGCTTCTCCTTTTGCCATGATTGTAAGTTTCCAGAGGCCTCCCCAGCCATGCAGAACTGTGAATCAATTAAACCACTTTCCTTTATAAATTACCCAGTCTTGGATATTTCTTTATAGCAGTGCAAAAACGGACTGATACAGTGCACTTTCTCACTTAACTTGCAGAGCAATTCCATGCAATAAGTATCACTACCTCCTTTTACAGTTGAAGCAATGGAGGCTTAGCAATCTCAAGTAATGGTTAAGTTACAAAGCCAAGATTGGAACTTAACTCAGATTTTTTGAATCCCAATGTAGTGCTCTTTCTACTATATTTGAGCCTCTCCCACACATAATGAGCATGCATTATCCTAACCAAGAGTTTCACTTTTGATTTCATTTTCAGTGCTCCAAATAAGTTGCCTTCAGTTTGCTCTGTGGCCCTGACACCTTCTTATATTGCCAAAATAGTCAAAATGTGGGAAGACAACAGGTGAGATGGGAAAAGATCAGCTATACCACATAATTGGCCCTGAATATGGTTTCGCTTTGTCCCCACCCAAATCTCATCTTGAATTGTAGCTTCCATAATTCTCATATGTTGTGGGAGGGACCTAGTGGAAGATAACTGAATCATGGGGGCGGTTTTCCCCATACTGTTCTCATGGTAGTGAGTAAGTCTCACGAGATCTGATGGTTTTATAAGGGGAAACTCCTTTAACTTGGTCCTCATACTCTCTTGTCTGCCACCAAGAAAGACGTGCCTTTCGCCTTCCGCCATGATTGTGAGGCCTCCCCAGCCAGATGGAACTGTGAGTCCATTAAACTTCTTTTTATTCTTATAAACTACCCAGTCTCTGGTATGTCTTTATCAGCAGCATGAGAACAGACTAATGCAGTCCCTTAGTCCTCAAATACTGGCTGGTTTGGGGGCTGCACTTCCGACCTCCCTGCCAAGTCTGCAGGCCAGTGGCATCAATGTGCCAGCAAGCATTTTAAAATAATCTGTTCTTATTTTGAGTCAGCATTTCCTGAGAGTGAGACTTCTGGATAAAATTGCAATCAAGTATCAGACAGGACTCAAAATGGGAAAAAAAAAAGTCCATTTTAGCCACGTTTAAATCTTGCCTGCCACTGAAATGCTACCTTTCTCAACCTGAGTCCTGTGGGAAATAAAGGGATGGATAAAGGGCGTAGAGAGAGGGGATATGCTTTCTGTTTGATTTGGAGGTAAACGTTTTCCCCAGCCCCACTCTTCGCGTCTCAGGGTATGTTTCTATTCTGCCCTATCTAAAGGCCACCAGGTATGCTGATTTTAAAACAGTGATTCTCAAAGTAGGGTAATCCCAGGCCGGCAACATCAGCATCAACTGGGAACTTGTTAAAACTGCAAATTTGGGGGCCCCACTCCAGGGCCCTGCTGAATCAGAAAGTTGGTGGCACCCACTGAGATCTGTCTTTTAGAAGTTCTCTGGCTGGTTCTGGAACACTCTCAAATTAAACAACCCTTGACTTGAAAGGCTGGTTCTTTTTTCCTTTCTTTTTTTTTTTTTCAGAGACAGGGTCTCACTCTGTCACCCAGGCTGGAGTGCAGTGACATAATCATAGCTCACTGGCAGCCTCGACCTCATAGGTTCAAGCCACCCTCTTGCCTCAGCCTCCCAAGTAGCTGGGACTACAGGCATGCACCACAATGCCTGGCTCATTTTTTAATTTTCTGTAGAGATGGGGGTGGGGCAGTCTCCCTGTGTTGTCCAGGCTGGTTTCGAACTCCTGGCTTCAAGCGATCCTCCTGCCTTGGCCTCCCAAAGCACTGGGATTACAGCTGTGAGCCACCACACCCAGCCTCCAGGTTGATTCTCTTACTCTCTGAACACATTCCCTCTCTCCAGCCCTCCACCCATTCCTTTATTTCCCACAGGACTCAGGTTGCATCCTAGTGACAGGTGAGATTTAAACATTGCTGAAACTGACATTTTGCTTTTTAAATTTTCCAGTCCTATCTGATACTTGATTGCAATTTTATCCAGAGGTCCCACTCTCGGAAAATACTGACTCAAAATAAGAACAGATTATTTTAAAATGCTTGCTGGCACATTGATGCCACTGGCTGGTTCAGACTAACTAATTAATCCTGATTTGACCTGAATTAATGCCTAATCTGTGTAAAATGATGGAGATTTACTGGAATGCGGCAAATGTGAGAATATGAAAACCAAAGGCACGTGGGAGTGGATTCAACATGAGGGTGACATGAGGATTACAGCACTTCTTCGGCTGGTGCATTATTTGAAGTTTGAATTTTCTTCCTCTCTCCTCTCCACCCCACCTCCTCCAAGGGAAAAAAAAATTACCAGAAGACATGAGCATATTGTCTTCTTTCTTCCCAAATAAAGGTAAACTGACAGTGCTTTCAATGAAAGCCTCTGTGTGATTGGAATTAAATGTCAAATATGATTTCCTGTTGGCAATTCGAAGTGTTGGTGTCAAAACCAAAACTGACAGCATGGCTGCAGATTAGTATCTGTCTGGATCACGGCATCACACTGCGGGGAAGGTTTACGATTTAGTAGATTAACACAGCTCTCTTCACGCTAGCACTTAAGAGATAATTTGTTCAAGCAGGAGCCGATTAGATTGCGATGCCCATGAGCAGAAGCTCTGTCCCCTGAAGTTCCGTCAGGCGTTTGATAGCACACCCTGCCCCTGTGGGGTTCTGCCATCATTACTGGGTGACAGGCAGGAGAGGTGAGCGGGCCACAGCTGCCAGCTGCCTGGCTGTCAGTAGCCACCAAGTGATGTCTGCTGGCGATATCTCAGAGGGAAAAAAAATGGAGCTTCTATTGATCCAACCAATATGAAATGGCCTTGCAGGTTGGAGATCTGATTCATTGAACTTTGCTGCCCACATGGGATGGAGGGAAGAGAGACTCCCTGGCAAGTCATTGAATCATCCACTTGACCACTAGGTTTCTCCTCCTAGCTCTAGAAAAAAGAAAGCAAGCAGGGCTCAGAGAGGTTCAGAGACTTGTCCAAGATCACAGAGCTCGGGGGGGGGTGAGAAAAAGATAGTTTATATTGCTCAAGACTTGCAAAGTGGTACAACCTGTGTTAGGCACTTTTATCCCCAATATCTTGTGTGATATTCATAATGACTTTGATGTTTTTATGAGGCAAACTAGGTTAAGAGTGTTAGGGAAATGGCCTAAGCCATAGCAAGTCCATGGCAGTATTAGAACTAGGTCTCTTCTTATTTCTTTTTTTATTTTTTTATTGTTATTATTTTTTGAGACAGGGTCTTACTCTGTCGCCCACGCTGGAGTACAGTGGCATGATCATGGCTCACTGCAGCCTCAATCTCCCAGGCTCAAGTGATCCTCCCACTTCAGTCCTCCATAGGACTACAGGGATGCGCCAGCCACCACACCTGCCTATTTTTTTATTCTTTGTAGTGAGAGGAGCTTGCCATATTACCCAACCTATGTGCTTCTATCTTATGCACCTGACATTTCTGCCAAATGACAGCCGTAGAACCCAGATAATAAAATAAATAAAATGAATGCCCTGTGTCTTGACCAACCATAAATTGTAACGGATTCTTGGCAAGCCAGATTTAAGAGTTTCAACTTGCAGAGACGATGTTTGTTCTTTCTTTTTCCCCTCTTGTCCTCACTGCTGGGGAAGAAGGAAAAACGGTGAAAGTCGTCGGCTCAGGACAGCATTTCTATTATTCAACAATGCTGGGGTGTGACAGCATAGAAGACTCACAAAATAATGTTCAGACTCTGGTTTCAGAATGTTTACTCTCTTCTGGATGAACTCTGACATCCAAATGCATTAATGCAATGCCATTTTCAACTCTCATGCCAATCTCCATCCTTGTACGTATCAGAATTTTAATGCCTGCTTCCCTGTTTGAGTTATGGTAATTTATTGTAATAGTGTATTTTGACCTTTTCAGTATTTTGTATTTTTATTGGATAGCTGTTTCACCTCTTCCCTGGAGGGTTAGCCAGGCTGAAAATGAGAGAGAATGGTAAGAACAACCAATCAAAATACAGAATATTAAAAAGGTCAACACACAAGAGCAAACTACTAATTTGGAAAACACACAAATGCAAAAAGGATGAAAGCACCAAACAGCATGGTGGTCACAGCAAGAGTAAATGGACAAGAGAAGGCTAAGAGGAGCCTCTCAACCCATGGCCCAGCAGTCTGTTCAGCCATTGCATGGAAACAAGGCCCTCATCAGACACCAAAGGGCGGCAGGAATCAATGCAAACTCCAAAGGGCATCACCTGTGCCATTTTTGTTTCTGCCTGGCCAATGAAAATGGCAAGGAGAGGGGTTGAGGTTGAAAGGTCCCAGCTTGGAGATGCCAGGGGACTTTTAAATATGATGTTCAATTGCCAGTTGTGCCAAGAGTATTGGCCAGGCACGGTGGCTCACACCTGTAATCCCAGCACTTTGGGAGGCCGAGGCGGGCTTGAGGTCGGGAGTTCAAGGCCAGCCTGACCAACATGGAGAAACCCCGTCTCTACTAAAAAAAAAAAAAAAATACAAAATTAGCCAGGCGTTGTGGTGCATGCCTATAATTCCAGCTACTCGGGAGGCTGAGGCAGGAGAAGCTCTAGAACCCGGGAGGCGGAGGTTGCAGTGAGCTGAGATCGCAACACTGCACTCCAGCCTGGGCAACAAGAGTGAAACTCCATCTCAAAAAAGAAAAAGAAAACAAAAGGAGTATTACGGACAACCCTCTATCCACAGTCAGATGAACATCTCAGGGGTTTAGAACTGATACTCACCTATTTCTTTTTTCTTTTTAATTTTTTTAGAGAGACAAAATCTGACTGTGTCATCCAAGTTGGAGTGTAGTGCTATGATCATAGCTCACTGCAACCTCAAATTCCTGAGTTCAAGCGATCCTTCCATCTCAGCTTCCTGAGTAGCTGGGACTACAGGCGCACACCACCATGCCTAATTATTTTATTTTTATTTTTATAGAGATAGGGTCTCCCCATCTTACCCAGGTTAGTCTCGAGCTCCTAGCCTCAAATGATCCTCCCACCTCGGCCTCCCAAAGTGCTGGGATTACTGGCATGAGCCCCATGCCCAGCCCTCATCTATTTCTTTGTTGATGATCTCCAGCACAAGAAAGCCCCAAACCTCCTCCACTGACTCTTTCCAGTTGGATTATATAAATTAAAGTATAATAATAAGTGTATCTTGACAATCAACATTAATAGAACCATAGAATTTGAAGCACACTAATTCAAGTGGTCTTTCAGAGCTAGTGCCTTTGAGGTTAGACCCAGTAACTGAAAGCACACTGAACAAGTTACCTGGGTATAATCTCTCACCTACTAAAAACTTATTATTTGTTTTTTGTTGTTTGTTATTTTTTCTTTCTTTTTTTTTTTGAGACAGGCTCTCACTCTGTCACCCAGGCTTGAGTGTAGCGCCGCAATCTCAGCTCACTGCAACCTCTGCCTCCCAGGCTCAAGCAACCCTCCCATCTCAGCCTCCCACGTAGCTGGGACTACAGGTGCACAACACTTTGCCCTGCTAATTTTTTTACTTTTTGTAAAGGCAGGGTCTCACTATATTGCCCAGGCTGGTCTCGATCTCTGGAGCTCAAGTGATCCACCTGGCTCGGCCTCCCAAAGTGTTGGGATTACAGGTGTGAGCCACCGCACCTGGCTAAAGACTTATACTGCATTGGTTGTTAATAACACAGAACAATATGTACAGAAAGGTCCCTGTTATCCTTGGATTTTTGGTATCAGAAAAGGGCCTCTTAAAGAAAATGCACTTAAAACACAGACCAAAATCTCAATGTCAAAAGTAAAAATATTTTGACTGTGACTTCATCTTGTAAAAATAAATGAAAATTCATGAAGCGATGATTATGTTGTATATTAAAAATGTAGGTTAAAACTCCAACCATATTCTTAAAGTCAAAAGGATTTAAAGGTTGACTGGGAAGTTGAGGCACAATTTTTCCAACGAAATTTTATGGTAATATAGATAAATCACCCTTTACAACACCTTTGACACAATCATAAAAAGCATGACTTTTACAAAACATTTAGAGAGCCTTAGGGCTCCTTTTGACGGAGTCTCGCACTGTCGCCTGGACTGGAGTGCAGTGGCACAATCTCGGCTCACTGCAACCTCCACCTCCTGGGTTCAAGCAATCCTCCCACTTCAGCCTCCCAAGTAGCTGTGACTACGGGTGTGCACCACCACACCCAGCTAATTTTTGTATTTTTAATAGAGACAGGGTTTCAGCATGTTGGCCAGGCTGGTCTTGAACCCCAGACCTCAGGTGATCTACCCACCTCAGCCTCCCAAAGTGCTAGATTTAAGGCATGAGCCATCATGCCTGGCCAAAAATATTACCATTTTCTGTGAATGCTGCCACATGCAAAACTTGGGGAGCATTGACTTTGAACCACTCTGGTGGATTGGTGGATTTTCTTTTTTTCTTTGTTTTTGTTTGTTTGTTTGAGACAGGGTCTTGCTCTGTCACCCAGGCTGGAATGCAGTGGCACGATCTCGGCTCACCACAACCTGCACCTCCCAGACTCAAGAGATCCTCCCACTTCAACCTCCCAAGTAGCTGGGACCACAGACGCACATCATCGCACCTGGGTAAATTTTGCATTTTTTGTAGAGACAGGGTCTTGCCATGTTGCCCAGGCTGGTCTCAAACTCCTGAGCTGAAGTGATCCACCCACCTCGGCCTCCCAAAGTGCTGGGATTACAGATGTGAGCCACCGCGCCCAGCACTGGTGGATTTTCTTTGGGCCCATAGACCATCCCCTTGTGACTTGCCCCATCTTAGACCTTCTGAGCTCCTGCTTTGACTCTTAGCAATTTAATTAATTCTAGATAATGGTATTGTTCATCTGCTGTGTGTCAGGCACTCTTCTAATTTTTACACACACATGGCTTTCACATGAGTTACAAGTTCTCTGGCTTTCTTTTGCTTCACCTGCAAAATGGGGGTGTTATGAGTCGAATATTTGTGTCCCCTCCAAAATTCATACATTGAAATCTAATCTCCGATGTGATGGTATGTGGAGGGGAGGCTTTGGGGAGGTAACTAAGTCATGAGAATGAAGCCCTCATGAATGAGACAAGAAGAGGCCAAGCTGGGTGCAGCAGCTCACGCCTGTAATCTCATTGCTTTGGGAGGCTGAGGTGGGAGGATTTCTTGAAGCAAGGAGTTCAAAACCAGCCTGGGCAATATAGTGAGACCCCATCTCTAAAAAAGAATAATTTAAAAATTAGCTGTGCATGGTGGCATGTGCCTTTGATCCCAGCTACTCCGGAGGCTGAGTCAGGAGAATCACTTGAGCCCAGGAGTTCAAAGCTGCAATGAGCTATGATCGCACCACTGCACTCCAGACTGGGTGACAGAGCAAAACCCTGTCTCAAAAGTTTAATTTAAAAAAAAAAAAAAAGAGGCAGGGCGCAGTGGCTTATGCCTGTAATCCCAGCACTTTGGGAGGCCGAGGTGGGGAGATCACCTGAGGTCAGTGGTTTGAGGCTAGCCTAGCCAACATGGTGAAACCCCATCTCTACCAAAAATACAAAACTTAGCTGGGCGTGGTGGTGCATTCCTGTAATTCCAGCTACTTGGGAGGCTGAGGCAGGAGAGTCACTTGAACCGGGCAGGCAGAGGTTGCAGTGAGCTGAGATCACACCATTGCACTCCAGCCTGGGCAACAAGAGTGAAACCATCTCACAAAAAAAAAAAAAAAAAAAGAGAGGGCAGAGAAACAGCTTGCTCTCTTTTAGCCATGTAGGATACAACATGAAGTTGGTCGTCTGTAACCCAGAAGACGACCCTCACCAGAACCTGACCACGCTGGCACCCTGATCTTGGACTTTCAGCCTCCAGAACTGTAAGAAATACATCTCTGTTGTTTCCAAGTCACCCAGTCTGTGGTATTTCTCATAGCAGCTCAAGCTAATTAGAGGAATTAGCACCGGAATTAATGCAGCCACCTCTAAGTACATTCCTTAAGGGCATTTAGAAACAGAACAGTTTCTCTAAAATAATGTTTTCAAACCCTTAACCTGAAAAAGAAGTGTTGGAAGTTCCAGCAGAAACAGAATAAGAGGAGGAAGAGTTGGCACTCGGCTGGGGGAAGCAAGTTTGTGGTAAAATAGAACCCATGAGTGGATGGCTGGAAGCTGCGGAGATGAGCTACTTGGAAAATCAAGCCGAGGGCCGGACACGGTGGCTCATGCCTGAAATCCCAGCACTTTGGGAAACCAAGGTGGGCGGATCACCTGAGGTCAGGAGTTAGAGACCAGCCTGGCCAACATGGTGAAACCCCGTCTCTACTAAAAATACAAAAATTAGCTGGGTGTGGTGGTGCATGCCTGTAATTCCAGCTACCTGGGAGGTTGAGACAGGAGAATCAGTTGAACCCAGGAGGCAGAGGTTGCAGTGAGCCAAGATCACGCCACTGCACTCCAGCCTGGGCAACAGAGTGAGACTCTGTCTCAAAAAAAGAGAAAGAAAATTAAGCCCAACAGTAAGAAATCAACTTCCAGAGAATTTCAGTCCCAGACCTAGGCCCAGAAACATGACTGGGCCTTTCTGAATGGCTCTAACCAAGCACTAATATATATAGTATTTACTCAAGGAAGATGGTTCCAGAGTGACGAATGAGATTTAGTTAGTTGCTGTAACATACAATGTTTCTTGGAGTTTCCAGTTCACCTATGAAAAAATTCATTCTGGCCAAGCGTGGTGGCTCACGCCTATAATCCCAGAACTTGGGGAGGCCGAGGCAGGTGGATCGCCTGAGGTCAGGAGTTCGAGACCAGCCTGGCCAACATGGTGAAACCCCGTCTCTACTAAAAATACAAAAATTAGCCAGGCATGGTGGCCGGCACCTGTAATCCCAGCTATTTGGGAGGCTGAGGCAGGAGAATCACTTGAACCCGGGAGATGGAGGCTGCAGTGAGCCGAGATTGCACCATTGCCTCCAGCCTGGGCGTCACAGTGAGACTCTGACTCAAAAAAAAAAAGAAAGAAAGAAAGAAAAAAGTCATTCTTCTTTTACAATATATGTCTGATTTTTGTAATCTCTCAGGCTACCGTCAAATGACTTCCATTTATTTCAAAAGACATTTCATCTGCCTTGAGCTTTTACCTGCTAGAACTTGGTTCTAGTATCCACTGCTGCTATGTTATAACATGCAGCAAATTATGCACAGAAATGACAGACGAAGGCTCTCATCTTCACGCAAAAGTGGCTTAAAATCCCATGTTCCCCTTTGCAGACGTTGGTAAAACTATCACCAAACTATCACCAAAAACTATCACCAAAAACTATCACCAAAACTATCACAAAAACTATAAACAAAACTATCACCAAAAACTATCACCACTGAGGCCGGGCGTGGTGGCTCAGGCCTGCAACCCCAGTGCTTTGGGAAGCTGAGGCAGGAGTTCAAGACCAGCCTGGCCAACATGGTGAAAACCTGTCTCTACTAAAAACACAAAAATTAGCCGGGCGTGGTGGCAAGGTACCTATAATCCCACCTACTCAGGAGACTGAGGCATGTAAATCACTTGAACCCAAGAGGCGGAGGTTGCAGTGAGCAGAGATCGCACCACTGCACTCCAGCCTGGGCAACAGAGCGAGACTCCGTCTCAAAACTAAAAATAAAAATAAAAAGATGAAAATTAAGAATCTAATCGCTCTTGGTGTTTCATAGAGGCTTTCCTCTTTTTTCCAGGGTAAATCACTTGTGATTATTGTTTCTTTGCCTTGGCTCCTCTGTGTAACAAATCATCAAATCAACTTTTGTTCTAGGAATTTATTTAGTTAATTGATCCTTCCAGGCTCAGAGGTACTGAGCTTGACACCAGAGGCCCTTTTCTCTATAGTAATGTAGCACCTTTCTCTAGAGAGTGCTAAGCATTTGCAAATACCAACTAATTATTCATTGAAGGTATTTCACTGAATTAGAAAGTTGCAAATTATAGAAAAATTGAAATCAACAACTGTTTCTTAATAATTACAGTTCATGAAGAGATTATGCATTTCCATGCATTGGTCATGCTCTAATTACGGTCTGAAGTAACTACTCACTGACTAGCCAATAATTAGTAGCATTATAATTATAGGAGGTTGTTGTTGTTTTGGATTTTTATTTTGAGATGAAATCTGGCTCTGTCTCCCAGGCTGGAGTGCAGTGGTGCTGTCTCAGCTTGCTGCAACCTGGATTCAAGCAATTCTCCTGCCTCGGCCTCCCAAGTAGCTGGGACTACAGGTGTGCACCACCATGCCTGGCTAATTTTTGTATTTTTAGTAGAGACAGCGTTTTACCATGTTGGCCAGGCTGGTCTCAAACTCCTGACCGCAGGTGGTCTGCCTGGCTCAGCCTCCCAAAGTGCTGGAATTACAAGCGTGAGCTGCTGCGCCTGGCCTATAGGAGGTGTTTTGTTTTTTGTTGTTTTTGTTATTGTTGTTGTTGTTGAGATGGAGTCTCACTCTGTAGCCCAGGCTGGAGTGCAATGGTGCGATCTCGGCTCACTGCAACCTCCGCCTCCCGGGTTCAAGCGATTCTCCTGCCTCAGCCTCCCGAGTAGCTGGGATTGCAGTCACACACTGCCACGCCCAGCTAATTTTTTTTGTATTTTAGTAGAGACGGTGTTTCACCATGTTCCCCAGGCTGGTCTCAAACTCCTGAGCTCAGGCAATCCACCCACCTCGGCCTCCCAAAGTGCTAGGATTACAGTCGTGAGCCACCATGCCCAGCCCTTTCATATGTTTTTGAACCCTAGTCCCCGGAGCCCCAAAATCAGAGCATAAACACAATAGGAAATCAATCCATTGCCACTTTATCTGTCTATATTACCATCAATAAATTATGAAGGGGGTCCTTTCTGAAAATCTAAGGGCCCGGGGCATATATTCATGCCAATAGGCTCTTACTTGTACTGTACAACAGATGTCTAAATCTAGACCTATTTTGTCTCGCATTTTGTTCTTATTCCTTTTGTCTCCTTCATTCTGTCTCCTCCCTCTAGTTCCTTCTAAGTGTACTGTCATTAATATTCTTCCTTTCTTTGAAATTCCTCCTTAAAAGATCTCTGTACAAAGATGAAAGATGCAAGAGGAAAATAGTATCACAAAATTGACATGAAATTTGAGATCAGCTGTTCCAGCTGGAGGATGGAAGGAAGAAGGGCCACACATTAAAAGCAGAGATTGTGGCTGGGAATGCTGGCTCACACCTGTAAGCAGTTTGGGAGGCCAAGGCAGGAGGATCGCTTGAGGCCAGGAGTTCAAGACCAGCCTGGGCAACATAGTGAGACCCCCCCCATCTCTACAAAAAATAAAAAATTAGCCAAGCATGGTGGTGTGCACCTGTGGTCCCAGCTACTCAGGAGGCTGAGGTAGGAGAATTGCTTGAGCCCAAGAGGTTGAGGCTGCAGTGAGCCATCATGGGGTGGCTGAGGGACAGAGCAAGACCCTATCTCAAAAAAACAAAAAAAATAGAGGTTGGAGAGAAGGTAACACTAATCTTCTGGCTTCTCCTATCCAGAAGAGCTCTATGTTCTAGCTCTGTCTCCTTCTCACCTAGAAGCAAAGATCACTGAGAATTCTTGAGGACTATGTTTTACTCCTGCCCTACACGGAAAGGTGAGAAGGGAACTCCACCTATTATTTGCTCAGAAAGAATATCTAGAGAATTCTGGGAGGCAGAGGCCAGATAATTGCTTAAGGCCAGAAGTTCAAGACCAGCCTCGACAACATAGTGAGACCATTTCTTAAAAAAAAAAAAAAAAAAAAAAAAAAGTTTTAATTAGCCAGGGTGGGCATGGTGGTGTGTGCCTGTGGTCTCAGCTGCTCGGGAAACTGAAGGAGGAGGATCACTTAAGCCCAGGTGTTCGAGGTTACAGTGAGCTATGATCGTGGCACTGTACTTCAGCCTGGGTGACAGACTAAGACTCTGTCTCTATTTTAAAAAAAGAAAAAAAATCTAGATAATCCTGCATCTGATAGTCTGGTGCCTTAGATATTTCAAAACACCTTTCCACCACAAAACAGTCAGATGATGGGAGAATTACAATAAACATATTGTAAATGCATTGCTGAGCCTACAAGAAGATACGAAAAATCTCCAAGGGCAAAAAAAAAAAAAAAAAATGTTTTATAACACCAGACTTCTAAGCAAACACCAAAGTGGGGTTGTTTGGGGAAAATGCTGACTCTAAGAATCTAGAATTTTGGAGATTAGTAGCCACACCTAAGGGCATAAGGGACTAGGCTTGGAGTCCATGCAAAGTAGAAAAGCAGAACTTAAGAACTGCACATAAAACAGAATATCTTAAAGGACACGTTCTAAGTAAAAGGGAGGGCCACGAAGTAAAAAAGGATATAAAAATATTAACAACCGAGGCTGGGTGCAGTGGCTTACTCCTGTACTCCTAGCACTTTGGGAGGCCAAGGTGGGTGGATCACAAGGTCAGGAGTTCGAGACTAGCCTGGCCAATGTGGTGAAAGCCCATTTCTACTAAAAATACAAAAATTAGCTGGGCGTGGTGTCATATGCCTGTAGTTCCAGCTAGTCGGTAGGCTGAGGCAAGAGAATCACTTGAACCCGGGAGGCGGAGGTTGCAGTGAGCCGAGATCACGCCACTGAACTCTAGCCTGGGCAACAAGAGTAAAACTCCACCTCAAAAAAAAAAAAAAAAAAAAAAAAGTCTATGTTAATGTTTTCTCTGTATTCATTTGGATCAATTCAGAGCAACTGAAGACTATCATTTCACACAGTTTCCTCCCTTTTTTCCTTTCCTCTGAGTCTGCTCAGCCCAGGCCAAAGGAGTGCCTTTGGGGCCTGAGTTTCTTTTTCAGTGCTCTCCCAGACTGGACTATTTCCCATAGGAACATCAACACCTTCAAAATGTGATTACCCCAATTTCTTGAATGTCCAATCTTTCCAGCATTTCAGGGAATTATCAGGAAATACAATACAATAACATGAGGCCCAAATCCACAATATTTAGAAAACTCACTTAATCCCCAAACCAGATATGCTCATTAGAGTAGTTTACAGCCTTAACATTAATTCCCAAGTAGATATCATGTTTCCTAAACCCAATATCCATACATGCGAGATCCAACTTGCTATTATTAGCCATATATAAGAGGTTCATATTCGCTTAGTGAAAGGATTAGCAAAAAAAAATGTAAAAGTGAAACCAACAAGCCAGGTTTCTGTGTGGTTTCTGCTTTTCCAGCCTGTCTATCAACCACACCAGTTGTCCAAAATCATACCAATTGGTATGACTTTGTGCCTGTCCTCCTTTTCTAGATGTATCCCTTTCTCTCTGTAATTCACCAAATCTTCAGGTTTTGTTGTTGTTGCTGTTGTTGTTACGGAGTCTCACTCTGTCTTCTCAGTTCACTGCAACCTCTGCCTCCCGGATTCAAGCAATTCTCCTGCCTCAGCCTCCTGACTAGCTGGGATTACAGGCACATGCCACCACGCCCAGCTAATTTTTATATTTTTAGCAGAGACAGGGTTTCTCCAGGGAGGTCAGTATAAGGGATCAGGTTTGCCTTTTAACATTGCAAATTATTATTGTTTGTTTTAGTGCAAGCTGGGTTAGTCAATGTTGAATGGAAGTCAATCAGTTATTAATTAAATGACTGGGGGTTGGAAATAGCACAGTAGGAAATAAAATGATTAATGTTACTACAGGTAGACCTAGAATTGTTGGGGTAGTAAAAGAGGCGAATAAATTTTCGTTCATTTTAATTCTCGGGGGTTTCATGTTTCTGTGCTTTCATCGTTTTTGGTGTAGGGGGTAGGTGGTAAGTGAAATTTGATACTTTTAACTGGAGAATAGAGTTATAATTATCAGTAGGATAACCATGGACCATGTGGAATGTTGGGAGCAAGCCCCCCAAAATCTGGCCATAAACAAAATCTCTGCAGCACTGTGACATGTTCATAATGGCCCTAACATCCAAGCTGGAAGGTTGTGGGTTTACGGGAACGAGGGCAAGGAACACCTAGCCCGCCCAGGGCAGAAAACCACTTAAAGGCATTCTTAAGCTACAAACAAAAGCCTGAGCGATCTGTGTCTTAAGGGCATGTTCCTGCTGCAGTTAACTAGCCCACCTATTCAATTAATATAGGATAACAATGGACCATGTGGAAGTATCTAGTTGAGGCATTTCACTATAGAGGGGGCTTAGATCTCCTCAGTCTTTAACTTAAAAGGTTGGTGCTAGATTAGCTTTACAGTGATATAGTGTAGATGTTGCTCAGGTTTCAAAGCATTTTAAGGGAACTAATTCTAGGATGATAAGTGTAAAACTGTGGTTGGACCCACAAATTTCTGAGCATTGGCCATAGTAAAGGCCTGGTCTTGTAGCAGTTAAAATGGTTTGATTTAAGCGTCCAGGGATTGCATCTGTTTTGAGGCCCGGTGACGGGATAGTTTGTGAGTGCAGGACGTCTTCAGATGAGATTAATATACGAATAGGGATTTCTGTTGGGAGAATTGTTTGGTTACCAGCTTCAAGGAGTCGAAGTTCTCCTGGTTTTAAGTCTGTTGTTGGAGTCATGTAAGAATCGAAACTTACATCTTCATAGTCTGTATACTCATAGCTTCAGTATCATTGGTGGCCAGTTGTTTTGACAGTGAGGGACGGGCTATTAATTTCATCTGTCAAGTATAGAATACGAAGACAGGGGAGGACAATTAAGATCAGGATAATGGTGGGTAAAATAGCTCACATATTCTCGTTCTCTTGAGCATCTATAGTGCTAGCATGAGTTAATTTTGTTGTCAGCATTAGGGAAATAATATATAGGGCCAGGGAACTAATGAGGAAAAGAATTATAAGAGTGTGGTCATGGAAAGTGAGTAGTTCTTGTATAATAGGGGATGTAGCATCTTGGAGACCTAGCTGAAATAGATGAACTATTAAGATATATGGGGTTTAACCTACGAATTAACTTTGAAAAAGTTATGTAATAATTTTACTAATATCTTTTTTTGTTTTTTGAGATGGAGTCTCACTCTGTCCCCCAGGCTGGAGTGCAGTGGCACCGTCTCGGCTCACTGCAAGCTCCGCCTCCCAGGTTCACGCCATTCTCCTGCCTCAGCCTCCCGAGTAGCTGGGACTACAGGCGCCCGCCACCATGCCCAGCTAATTTTTTGTATTTTTAGTAGAGACGGGGTTTCACCGTGTTAGCCAGGATGGTTTCGATCTCCTGACCTTGTGATCCGCCCACCTCGGCCTCCCAAAGTGCTGGGATTACAGGCGTGAGCCACCGTGCCTGGCTATTTTACTAATATCTTGTAGAGAAAGTCATAGAAGTTATGGGATTGGCTTGAAACCAGTCTCTGGGAGTTCGATTCCTTCCTTTTTCCTCTAGACTTTCACATAAGCTGGTTCCTCAAATGTGTGATAAGTTGGCGGGCAGCTGTAAAGTCACTCTAGGTTAGTAGATGGTTGTTCAATTATTAATACTTCTCGTTTTGAAGCAAAGGCCTCTCAGATTATAAAAATTATTAACATGACTGCTGTTAGTGAGATAAATGAGCCTAGAGACAAGGTAATATTTCATGCAGATATTGCATCAGGATTGTCAGAGTAACATCGAGGTATACCGGAGAGGCCAAAGAAAACTTGTGGGAAGAAAGTTAAATTAACACCTGTAAATATAATAGTGAAGTGGATTTTGGCTTAGGCTGGATTGAGTGTATAGCCTGAAAATAGGGGGAATCTGAGGACTAAGCTGCCTATAATGGCAAACACTGCTCCTATGGATAAGACATAGTGGAAGTGGGCTACAACGTAATATGTGTTGTGTAAGTCAATATCTAGTGATGAGTTAGCTAATACGATGCTGGTCAATCCTCCTACTGTGAAGAGGAAAATAAGCCCTAGGGCTCAGAGTATTGTGGGGGATCATTTGATGTTACCACCATGCAGGGTAGCTAGTCAGCTAAATACTTTAACGCCAGTTGGGATAGCAATAATTATAGTAGCAGATGTGAAGTATGCCCGTGTGTCTATATCTATTCCCACTGTAAATATATGGTGGGCTCATATGATAAACCCTAAGAAGTCAATTGATATTATGGCTCATACTCTGTCCATGTAACCAAATGGCTCCTTTTTTCCAGAATAATATGTTACAACGTGGGAAATTATCCCGAACCCTGGTAGGATGAGGATATAGACCTCAGGGTGACCAAAAAATCAGAATAAATGTTGGTACAAGATAAGGTCACCCCTGCCAGCAGCATCAAAAAAAGAAGTGTTGGCCTGGCACAGTGGCTCATGCCTGTAATCCCAGCACTTTGGGAGGCCGAGGCAGGCGTATCACGAGGTCAGGAGATCGAGACCGTCCTGGCTAACACGGTGAAACCCCATCTCTACTAAAAATGCAAAAAATTAGCCAGGCATGGTGGCAGGCGCCTGTAGCCCCAGCTACTCAGGATGCTGAGGCAGGAGAATCACTTGAACCCAGGAGACGGAGGTTGCAGTGAGCCGAGATCGCTGCCACTGCACTCCAGCCTGGGCGATAGAGTGAGACTCTGTCTCAAAAAAAAAAAAAGAAGTGTTGAGGTTGAGATCAGTTAATAATATAGTAATGCTGGTGGCTAGGACTGGGAGGGATGGAGGGATAGTAGTAGAAGGACTACCGTAATGAGGACGGATCAAACGAAAGGAGGTGTCTGATATTGGGATATTGCTGGGGGGTTTATGTTGATGATTGTGATAATAAAGTTGATGGCCCCTAAGATAGAAGAGACATCTGCCAGGTGGAGCGAGAAGATGGTCAAGTCCACGGAGGCTCCTGCATGCTCTAGGTTCCCTGCTAAAGGGGGATAAACTGCTCAGCCAGTTCCGGTGCCTGCCTCTACCATTGAGGATGCAAGCAGAAGTAGAAAGGATCGGGTGAGAAGTCAGAAACTCATGTTATTTATTCGGAGAAACACCATATCGGGCACACCCACTATCAAGGGAACTAGCCAGTTGCCGAAACTTCCAATTATGATTGGTATAACTATAAAGAAGACGATAACAAATGCGTGGGCGGTAACAATAACATTATAGATTTGATCATCTCCTAGCAGAGTTCCTGGCTGGCTAGGTACTGCTTGAATTAGGAGGCTTAAGGCAGTGCCTATGTGGTTAGTTGAAAATAATCGGCAATTCATGAACATGGGTACAAGGGTAAAATGGCTGAGCAAGCATTAGACTGTAAATCTGAAAACAGAGGTCAAAGGTCTCTTTTTACCAGTCCTGGGGTGATATCTCATATATTGAATTGCAAATTCAAAGGAGCAGCTTCAATCCTCCCCTAAACCGCGGGAGAAGTAGATTGAAGCCAGTTGACTAGAGTATTTAGCTGTTAACTGAATTTTCGTGGGTTTGGTCTCCACCAATCTAGCAAGGGCTTAGCTTAGTTAAAGTGGCTGATTTGCATTCAATCGATGCAGGATAGTCTTGCAATCCCTAGATTTGTTACAGAAATTAAGTATAATTTACTTACTAAGGGCTTTGAAGGCTCTTGGTCTCATGTAACCTAAATTTCCTTTTTTTTTTTTGAGACGGAGTCTCACTCTGTCGCCCAGGATGGAGTGCAGTGGCGCGATCTCAGCTCACTGCAAGCTCCACCTCCCGGGTTCACACCATTCTCCTGCCTCAGCCTCCTGAGTAGCTGGGACAACAGGCACCCGCCACCATGCCCGGCTAATTTTTTTTTTGTATTTTTAGTAGAGACGGGGTTTCACTGTGTTAGCGAGGATGGTCTCGATCTCCTGACCTCGTGATCCGCCCGCCTCGGCCTCCCAAAGTGCTGGGATTACAGGCGTGAGCCACTGCGCCCGGCCGTAACCTAAATTTCTAAGTCATAGTCAGTAGCAGCGGAGAGATAGGTAGGAGGAGGGTGGAAGAGATAATAAGTGAAGATACGAATAGTATAGGTTTTGTGTTTTCAAGCTATCATTTTATTTTCGTGTTACTGGATGTGGGAATAGTTTTATTGGGGTGAAATAAATTAGGCATATATAGAAGTATAGGTTGAGTAAAGCTATAATAGCTATAATAGTTGGGGTAATAAGGCTGTTATTTTTTGTAAATTCTTGAATGATAGCTCATTTAGGCAAAAATCCTGTTAATGGGGATAACATATACTGGTTTCGCCAGGCTGGTCTTGAACTTCTGACCTCAAGTGATCCACCCTTCTCGGCTTCCCAAAGTGCTGGGATTACAGGTGCGAGCCACCGCACCCGGCTTCTGTGAGTTCTTAAGGCTTTTTTTTTTTTTTTTTTCCTGGGCAACATCCCTGTTTCTGTGGCTACTGAATCTTCCTTCCATTCTGGAATGCCTTAGCTTTATCCTGGAACATCTGCCTCCAGGGAAAACTTCCCTCTTTTTCATATTTGCCCCAGCTGGAGAAACGCACTTGAAAGATTTCTGACTTTCAGCTGTTTCCAGCGAATTCCTTAAACTGCTCTCAGCCATAATGTGAGGTCCAAAATCCCATAACTCTTGTCCTGAATTCTCCAGTCTTGACAGCTCAAATTCTACTTTCCCAGGATACAGATTCAGATGACTTTTTGGGTTTTGTTTTGTTTTGTTTTTAATTTTTTTTTTGGAGAAAAGTATCACTCTGTCACCCAGACTAGAGTGCAGTGGCATGATCACAGCTCACTGCAGCCTCAAACGCCTGGGCTCAAGCAATCTTCCTGCCTCAGCCTCCACTGTATCTGGGACCACAGGTGTATGCCACCACATCCAGCTAATTTTTTTGTAGAGATGGGGTCTTGCTATGTTGTCCAGGCTGGTCTCAAACTCCTGGCCTCAAGTGATCCCCCCTCCCTAGGCTCCCCCAAAGCACAAGGATTATAGGCATGAGCCACCATACCTGCCCCACAAGACTTTTTAAACCATCGGCCTGCTTCTAGATGAGAGGTCCTGTTTCTCCCACCCATGTCTGAGATAAACCTGTTTCAGCCTCTCAGCATCTTTCTCTCCTTCCATTCCTCTTCCCAGAGGTCTTTCTAGGCCTAGAAGTTTAAAAACTATTTTAAGCCAATCCCATAAATTGCCTCTGAAGACCTGAGTATTTTCTGCTCACATACCAACAATTCCTGCATTCTCCTCATTCTTTTTTTTTTTTTTTTTTTTTTTTTTGAGATGGAGTTTCGCTCTTGTTGCCCAGGCTGGAGTACAATGCGCGATCTTGGCTCACGACAACCTCCGCTCCCCCAGGTTTAAGTGATTCTCCTGCCTCAGCCTTCCGAGTAGCAGCGATTACAGGCACCCACCATCAGGCCCGGCTAATTTTTGTATTTTTAGCAGAGACAGGGTTTCACCATGTTGGCCAGGCTGGTCTCAAACTCCTGACCTCTGGTGATCCTTCCACCTCAGCCTCTCAAAGTGCTGGGATTACAGGAGTGAGCCACCGCACCCAGCCTCACTTTCCTTTTCAGCCTCCAATGAGCAGACCTGGTTCCTAGCGAAAGAAAATTGTTGTGTGTTGTTGCTGTTGGCTTTCTTCTCAAACACTCACTTTTGGATAATTTCATCAACTGGTTCCATGACTCAGTCTAGGATCACACACCACGTGCCCACGGATCCCTCATCACCATCCTACTTCACCTGTTCTTGTATAAATTCCACCATCTCCTAATGTTTGAGCCCATCTTCTATGTTTTCCTAAGGAACAGCCCCTCCAAATGGGAAAAATGAAACAAGAGAATAAAATGAAATTTGCCTCCATTAATACCAACTCACTCCACAATACAGATGCTAAAACAATTTCACGCAAGAAGTCCACTTATTTGGAAGTCAGCCCTTTCAAGAATCCACTTTTTTCCCCTGCCAAGCCTAGATTAATCAAAAATCAATGCACAAACTCTCTCTCTCTCCCCCGCTCCCTGAGTTTTGCAAATGAAAACCAGAGCTGCCCTTTTTTGTTTTGTTTTGTTTTGAGACAGAGTCTCACTCTTATGGGCCAGGCTGGAGTGCAGTGGCATGGGTCTCAGCTCACTGCAACCTCCGCCTCCTGGGTTCAAGTGATTCTCCTGCCTCAGCCTCTCACGTAGCTGGGATTACAGGCACCTGCCACCACATCCGGCTAATTTTTGTATTTTTAGTAGAGACGGGATTTCACCATGTTGGCCAGGCTGGTCTCAAACTCCTGACCTCAGGTGATCCGCCCACCTCGGCCTCCCAAAGTGCTGGGATTTCAGGTGTGAGCCACTGAGCCACCGAGCCACTGAGCCACTGTGCAGGCCTCAGAGCTGCTCTTAACAAGGCTATACCAAATTCCCTATCTTCTATGCATAAACTCCTCACCTCTGTGCTGAAGGGCAATGCCTGTTAATTATCATAAAGGTAACTTACAATGCCTTTACAAGGGTGGAAAAAATAGATCCTAAATCCTTGACTAGCACTGGCCACGGCCACCATCCACCATCCCCACTGCATTCCCTGGGAATTCCAGGGCTGAGGGTTTTGCTTCAAGTCCCTAATGAGTCACCTAACCTGGTGATCTAGGCTGAGTCCCACATGAGACCCCTCTGGTCTCTTTACCTTGAGGTCCATGAGCAGCCTCTTCATGGCCCCTTCTCCAGGGCCCTGCCACTCGCCTTTTCTAAGGGCAGAGCTGCTTCCCAGCCTGGCTGTCCCAGACTCTATCTTATCATATCATCTGCTTCACATGGCATTGAGAAGAGAACCAGGACACCAAAACAAACCCAGGCAGCAAGCGGGCTTGAATCTTCCTCTTCCCTTGTGTCCTTGGGGTCTAGAGAGGTCATCTTCCACCCACAGCAGAACCACTCCTCCCTGACGTCCCAAATTGCTCTGGAGATAAGACTGTGTGCCCAGCTTACAGGGTTCTCACATGAAGCATTGTGAAAGGAAAATAAATCTTGGGGCCCCCAAATCACTAACTGAAAGGGAAAAGTCAAGCTGGGACCTGCTTAGGGGCAATCTGCCTCCCATTCTATTCAAAGTCACCCCTCTGCTCACTGAGATAGATGCATATCTGATTGCCTTCTTTGGAAAGGCTAGTCAGAAAGTCAGAATGCAACCATTCCTCTCTCCCCTACCTGTGACCTGGAAGTCTTCCTGCCTTTGCTTCAAGTTGTTCCGCCTTTCCAGACCGAACCACTGTACTTCTTACATATATTGATTGCTGTCTCATGTCTTCCTTAAATGTATAAAACTAAACTGTGCCCTGACCACCTCGGGCACATGACGTCAGGACTTTCTGAGGCTGTGTCACAGGCGCACGTCCTCAACCTTGGCAAAATAAACTTTCTTTTTTTTTTTTTTTTTTTTTTTTTGAGCGGAGTCTCGCTCTTTGGCCCAGGCGGGACTGCAGTGGCGCTATCTTGGCTCACTGCAAGCTCCGCCTCCCGGGTTCACGCCATTCTCCTGCCTCAGCCTCCCGAGTAGCTGGGACTACAGGCGCCCGCCACCGTGCTGGGCTAATTTTTTTTGTATTTTTAGTGGAGACGGGGTTTCACCGTGTTAGCCAGGATGGTCCCCATCTCCTGACCTCGTGATCCGCCCTCCTCGGCCTCCCAAAGTGCTGGGATTACAGGCATGAGCCACCGCGCCCGGCGGCAAAATAAACTTTCTAAATTAACTGAGACCTGTCTCAGATTTGGGGGGTTCATGGCACCCAACAGCAAAAATAATGGAATAAAACCCCTGACAGTCTCCCCCTCTCAGGAATTGAAAGGAACTAGAAAGGAGATTTCAGCCACTCGAATCTGCGCAGCTGACTGTTGGTGCTGGTGGTGACATACGGCTGTTTACTGATTTATGGAGTGATAAGTAGCAACGGGATGGAGTCTGACAGGAGTGGGCTATATATATTCCTGAAGCTGTGTTCTCCCAGTGTGGACGCTTGAATCAAGCCATATGCACTGTAGGCTGACTTTGATTCTCAGTAACAACTGTTTAAGAGAGGACAGAGGCAAGGATTCCAGATTTGTTGACTCGTGTTGTTCTTGGGGAGACAGGGGGAGTGAGGGTTCTGTTTCCAGGACTTCCCCTGGGAGGCTGTCTCCAAAGGAACGCAAATCATTCACGGAGGCAGGAGATGTTAGTAGTAGTTTGGAGTTAGACCCAACATATGCCAGGACCTTCAAAGAGGTGTGGGCTGAAACAGAAGGAAGTTTACTTTTTTTTTTTTTACTCATATGCACCCAAAAAAGCCTCCCTCCTCCCAGCTTATAATAAGAACTGACAGCACTCAGATGTGATTCTAACATATTCTGAAAGATTTATAATATCCCGTGAACACAAGAAGAATTTTTAGCAGAGAAATTCCAGAACAGGACCATGATGTTGATCAGCTGAGCAATGATGGATACTTGCATTCTGATGGTTTTTCTTTTTCCCTTTACAGAATCGTATATTCAGACATTTATCCAATAAGTTTTATGGGCTGGGGCTGAGCTAGAGTCTGAGGGTGGGTTGAAGGTAATGGGTTTCAGCAGTGCCCCTCCTCAGAGTACAGGGGTGCTCTGGTCTTCTGAGGGCTCCAGGGCATACATCCCTTCAGATTCTAATTGTTCAAAGAAAGCCCATTCTTCTTGAAGTCAAGAGCTAAACATGGCCAGGGTCAGTGGCTCACACCCATAATCCCAGCATTTTGGGAGGCCGAGGCGGGGGAATCACGAGGTCAGGAGATCGAGACCAACCTGGCGAACACTGTGAAACCCCGTCTGTACTAAAAATACAAAAAAATTAGCCGGGCATGGTGGTGGGCGCCTGTAGTCCCAGCTACTTGGGAGGCTGAGGCAGGAGAATGGCATGAACCCCGGGGGGCGGAGCTTGCAGTGAGCTGAGATCGCACCACTGCACTCCAGCCTGGGCAACAGAGCAAGACTCTGTATCAAAAAAAAAAGAGCCAAACATTACCAAGTTCTTTTAAAGAGCACAAAGGAACATACATCGTTCTAACATAAAGAAACGTGCCCACGAATGTTCATTGCAGCACTATTTAAAATAGCAACATCATGGAATCAACTTAAATGCCCATCGATGATAGACTGGATAAGGAAACTGTGGTACCTATGCACCATGGAATACTATGCAGCCATAAAAAGGAATGAGATCATGTCCTTTGCAGGGACGTGGATGGAGATGGAAGCCATTTCCCTCTGCAAACTAACACAGGAACAGAAAACCTAACACTGCATGTTCTCACTTATAAGTGGGAACTGAATGATAAGAACACATGGACACACGGGGCAGGGGGAGCAACCCACACCGGGTACCTGTTTGTGGAGGGGGGAGAATCAGGAAGAATAGCTAAAGGATGCTGGGTGTAATACCTAGGTAATGGGTTGATCTGTGCAGCAAACCACCATGGCACACGTTTACCTATGTAACAAACCTGCACATCCTGCACATGTACCCAGGAACTTAAAATAAAAGTTGAAGAAAAAAAAAGAATACATGAGTTGGTTACTGCCATTGTAGAATTGCCTCCCACCTCAGCCAAAACTACAGATCATCACGTTTTAACATGAGTAGAGGAATTCTAGTTCAACTACCCACCTAATTGTTGAGTCTCCTCTGCAACATTCCCAGCAGGGCAGCAGAAAGCTGTGCTTGAATGTCTCTGGTGACGGGGAACTTGCTGCCTTTGTAGAAACCCTTCTCAGGTAATCTAGGACTCCCTGGACTCAAGTTGAGCTTAGTTCTTTCTCCCTGCAGCTTTTGCCTGTTGGGTTCTTCCATTTGGAGCCATGTAGAACAAGTCTAATTCCTCTTCCCTGAGATATTAAACAAGTGTCCTAAGTCCTCTGTCTACCTGGCCAGGGACCAGCCATCCTTTGATCAGTTCATCATAGAACCAGCATCAGCTACTGAGGCTTACTGTGCACCATTGCAGCACATTAGATGCTTTACACCATTATTTCATTTAATCCTCATAGCCATTCTTTGAGAATTCTGTGCCCATTTTATGGATAGGAAAACTAAAGATCAAAGAGGTTAAGTAGTTTGCGCAGAGTTACTCTGCAGGTATGGCAGAGTGTGAACTTGAACCCAGGACTGTCCGACTCCAGGGCTGTCAAGTGCTCTCCATCATGGTTGCATATATAGCATGTAGATTTATCCATCAGTCTTTCATTTTCCCTCCCTAAAAGGATATTCACACCTGCCTTGCCATATCCATCTGTTTTGTTTATTTATTTATTTTTTTGAGATGGAGTCTCACTCTGTCACCCAGGCTGGAGTGCAGTGGTGTGATCTTGGCTCACTGCAACCTCCACCTCCTGGATTCAAGTGATTCTCGTGCCTCAGACTCCCAAGTAGCTGGGATTACAGGCATGCACCATCACGCCTAGCTAATTTTTGTTATTTGTGGTAGAGACAGATTTTACCATGTTGGCCAGGCTGGCCTTGAACTCCTGACCTGAGGTGATCTGCCCACCTTGGCCTCCCAAAGTGCTGGGATTACAGGCGTGAGCCACCATGCCCAGCCTGTTTTGTTTCATCATAGCATTTAATTATTGGTAAGTAAGGGACTAGTAGAGTTATAGAGTGGGTACTGATAGTAATCTAGTTGTGTCCCATAGAAGTAGAAGGAGAACTATCACTTAAACTTGTCAATCACCTTTTATTCTGCTTAATAAAAGTTTGAATGCTCCTAGAACAGAACACTGAACTATGCACAAGGGACACAAAGCTGATTACCAATTGATCACTCCTTCAAGGGAGACAAATAAGTAAATGAATAATCCAGAGACACGGGGCGGACCTCTATGCGAAGGGTCCTGTGATCATGGAAAGAAGAGTAGGTCCTACTGGGTGCTGGATTAGAGAAGCAGAAGTCAGAGAAGACTTTACAGAGGCTGGGACTTTCCAGCCCTCTCTTAAGAAGTGAAGCTTTGTAACAGAGAGGTGGAGAGTTAAGTGGGAGGCACCTGAGGCTCATTCCAGAATGAGCGAAGTCATTGTCATGAAGGGAACTGGTATCATCCAAGGTCAAGGAATTTTCTGGTAACACCAATGTATCAGATGCACAGAGGGCAGGTGGTGTAGATGACAAGGCTAAAAATAAGCAGTTGGGACAAGATAGATAAGCTAAGCCTTGAAGTCTTAGCAGGGAGCCAACAAGAGTATTTATGCAACAGAAGCAGAACTACATTTTGGAAAGGTATCTCAGGTGACTTTGCTGTGAACTCTAGAATAAGGTAGGACAGAACCTTTACCAGTAGCCAAGGTCACATTTACTCTTTTTTCAACCATATTGCATAGTTAATTCTCAGCTTTTTTTTTTTTTTTTTTTTTTTTTTTTAGACATAGTCTCACTCTCTCACCCAGGCTGAAGTGCAGCGGCCCTAATCTTGGCTCATTGCAACCTCCACCTCCCAGGATCAAGCCATTCTCATGCCTCAGCCTCCTGAGTAGCTAAGATTACAGGCGCATGCCACCACACCAAGTTAATTTTCATATTTTTAGTGGAAATAGAGTTTTGCCATGTTGGCAAGGCTAGTCTCGAACTCCTGATCTCAAGTGATCTACCCACCTCAGCCTCCCAAAGTTCTGGGATTACAGGTGGGATCCCACCATTTTTTTTGAGACATGGTCTTGGTCTGTCAGCCTGGACAGAGTGCTGCAGTGTGATCATAGCTCCCTGCAGCCTCTAACTTATGGACTCGAGCCATCCTCCTGCCTCAGCCTCCTGAATGGGACTATAAGCATGCACAATCATGCACGGCTAATTTTCTTATATTTTGTAGAAACAGGTCTCACTATGTTGCCCAGGTTGGGCTTGAACTCCTGGCCTCAAGTGATCCTCCTGCCTTGGCCTTTCAAAGTACTGGAAATACAGGCATGAGTCATTGTGCCCAGTCTAACACTCCTTTTCACATGTAATGCCGTTAAGCCGTGTCTCTCCAGCCATGGGCAGTAGGACCTGCACTTATCCCTAATGCATTGCTTTGGTTAAATTTGTCCCCTTCATCCTGCTGTTTACAACTTTCAGGATATTGGTTTTTATCATCCAACATGCTTACCAGGATCCCAGCTTCATGTTGTACAATTATTTAATAAAACTCTTTGTAAGTATTAATGCAAATCACAGATTAGAAAGAAAAAAGTCAGAAGGCAAGGGCAGAGCTCCAAAGCGTGTCACTAGACACTTCCCACTGGATTAGCATTTACTTTTAAATCAATTCCTTTGAAGGGGAGCTCTTTAATCAGTAACTATTTCCATTCACTTGTCCCTTTTTTTGCGAAATACTGTGCTTTCAACATTCCAGATGAAGTTAATCACACAAAACTTGCTCATGGTGGAGCCACGCTGGTTGCTAGTGTCTGCGGCTTCCTTTGCTTAATGCTCACATGCCAGCCCTTAAATCTTTCATTATGCATTCCTTTTTTACAAAAAAAAAGTTGCCGGGCGTGGTGGTGCACGCCTGTAATCCCAGCACTTTGGGAGGCTGAGACAGGCAGATCACGAGGTCAGGAGATTGAGACCATCCTGGCTAATACGGTGAAACCCCGTCTCTACTAAAAATACAAAAAAATTAGCCAGGCGTAGTAGCAGGCGCCTGTAGTCCCAGCTACTCGGGAGGCTGAGGCAGGAGAATGGTGTGAACCTGGGAGGTGGAGCTTGCAGTGAGCCGAGATTGTGCCACTGCAGTCCAGCCTGGGCGACTGAGTGAGACTCCATCTCAAAAAAAAAAAAAAAAGTCAAGGTCTCACTCTGTTGCCCAGGCTGGAGTGCAGTGGTGTGATCATAGCTCACTGCAGCCTCAAATTCCTGGGCTAAAGTGATCCTCCCGCCTTAGCCTCCCAGAGTGTTGAAATTGCACAATTATGCATTCTTGAATGCTATTTAGTCGAGATTCCAGCTTCTTTCTTAGTTGGAAAACCAAACACCAATTGCTTGTCTCCAATTTTCCAAACCACTTATGTTCTTCATAATTCACAAAGGCCACTGTAGCAGCTTGGGTATTCTAGTTTGACAGGTTTGGGGTTTTTTTTCCCCGTAATCTGGGATATAATTTTTCCATCCTAGAATACCACAAATGTCTGTTTCATCATTTATAAAATGGAAATTACCATAGCACTACCCCATGGGGTGGTCTGATAATTAAACAGCATAATATACTGAAAAGACCAGTGTCTAACAAGTATTAAACATTCCAGGTCAATTGGCCTAAAAACCCAACTCTTCTAAAGCCTTTATTTTCTCCTAAGCCTCCTAATTCTGTACATGATACCACTATTCTTGCAGTCACTCAGCTGGACACTCAAAGACATCTTTGATTCATTGCTTGCCTTCACCCTCACATCAATCAATGTTAAGTCTGGTAGAATCTATCCCTGCAATCCTGCAGACACCAGCCCTTTCTTTCAATCCAGTGGTCACTGTTACGGACTGGATGTTTGTGTCTCCCCAAAATTCACTTGCTGAAGCCCTAACCCCCAATGTGACTGTTTGGAGATAGAACCTATGAGGAGGTGATAAAGGTTAAATGAAGTCATAAGAGTGGGGCTCTAATCCAATAGGGCTAGTGCCCTTATAAAAAAAAGAGGAGTCACCAGAGCTCTCTGCCTCTCCTTTCCTCTCCTTGCCATGTGAAGACACAGCAAGAAGGTGGCCATCTGCAAGCCAGGAAAAGAGCCCTCACCAGGAACCTAATTGACCAGCACCTTGATTTTGGACTTCCCGGCCTCCAGAACTATGAAAAATAAATTTCTATTGTTTAAGCTGCCTGGCCTGTGGTATTTTGTTATAGTAGCCCAAGTGAACTAAAATAGCTACCACCTCACTTAAGGCCTTCATCACTTCTTCATCACTTCTTACCTGGACTGCAGCAATAGCCTCCTAATGATTAACCCCTCCCTATCTTTCTCCACTCCAATCTAGCTCTCTTATTGCCACCAACTTAAACTTCCTAAGTTCTTCCCCCAAATCACCAGTAGTTCCCTCCCGTTTACCAAATTGAGCATAAACTCACCACTACATTCAATCTTCCAGATAAGCTTCCCATATAAACCCTACATATGATCTCAATCTATTCCTGAAACCTCATATCCCTGACTCCTTATATACCCTTCATTCCAGCCAAACTTCTCACCAGTTCCTAAGAAACATCTTTGATCATTTGCAATTTTTTTTTTTTTTTTTTTGGAGACAGAGTTTCACTCTGTCACCCAGGCTGAAGTGCAGTGGCAGGCTCTCAGCTCACTGCAACCTCCACCTCCCGGGTTCAAGTTATTCTCCTGCCTCAGCTTCCCAAGCAGCTGGGATTAACGGCATACACCACTGCATCCAGCTAATTTTTGTATTTTTACTAGAGATGGGGTTTCACCATGTTGGCCAGGCTGGTCTCGAACTCCTGGCCTCAAGTGATCCACCTATCTCGGCCTCCCAAAGTGCTGGGATTGCAAGTGTGAGCCACCACACCTGGCCCCCATTTGCATTTATTTAAATCTCTCCACTAGTGTGTTCTTCAGGAACATATTCAGCTTCAAGAAACAGAGTAACTGACTAATAGTGACATAAACAACTGGGGGTTATTATTTTCATATAACAAACCTGGGGATGGAAAGTTGCTACTGTCAGCTTAGTTGCTCCATAATGCCATCAGAGAGATTGAAACTCCTTTTACTCTCTTTTAGCTCAAGATTAAAATATGGCTGCCAGAGCTCCAGACATCGAATAGATGTTCAACGCATGACAATAGGAGAAAGGGTTTAGCAGCCAAGAAAGTCCCATTTTTTTTTCTTTTTTTTCTGAGACAGTGTCACTCTGTCGCCAGGCTGGAGTGCAGAGGCACGATCTCAGCTCACTGCAACCTCCACCTCCCGGGTTCAACCGATTCTCCTGCCTCAACCTCCCAAGTAGCTGGGACTACAGGCGCACACCACCATGCCCAGCTAATTTTTGTATTTTTAGTAGAGACGAGGTTTCACCACGTTGGCCAGGATGGTCTCGATCTCTTGACCTCGTGATCCGCCCGCCTTGGCCTCCCAAAGTGCTGGGATTACAGGAGTGAGCCACCACGCCCAGCCAGAAAGCCCCTTTTACTGGAAAACTCAGAACACTTCATGTTCAATGCAATAAGTTGTATTACCAATTTATTATTGCCTACAAATGGCTCCACAATCAATAAGTATTGACTAGTTTCTGTTAGGTATATTGGAGGAAAAAAGGAGTGAAGGAAGTTGTATTTGTTCTCAAGTTAGAGAGAGAGAGATACAAAGTGACTGCTCCTAAACCGCTTTGAAAAAAATGCAGTTGGTTTCAGATCAATTTCAGATCCCTGGCACCAACACTCATCTTTGCTCAACAAAACCTGTCTTCACAGGATAATACACATAGAATCCTCAGCCCAACTTGGTCAACTTACTATGATGTCTGCATTTCTCTGGCTTGATTTTTACTATAGCTATACCTTTGTTATAAGAAATAAAATTAAACATTATTGCATAAAGAACATTAAAAGGGAGGAGGCAATCATTAAAGTTGATGCTACAGAATAATTTATGATTAAAATAAATATTTTAAGAAAATCCAAACTATAGAGTGGAGTGTGTGGGACCCATAATTACTGACAAGATATATTGTGTGCAAGGGTGCATTTATATATAGACATAGAAGGGTCTGGAGTCGGGAGAAATAGAAACAAATGCAGAGAGATTTTTAAAACATATTTACGCCGGTCGCGGTGACTCATGCCTATAATCCCAGCACTTTGGGAGGCCAAGGTGGGCAGATCACTTGAGGTCAGGAGTTCAAGACCAATCCTGGCAAACAAGGTGAAACACCATCTTTACTAAAATACAAAAATTACCAGCACTTTGGGAGGCCAAGGTAGGCGGATCACAAGGTCAGGAGTCCGAGACCAACTTGGTCAACATGGTGAAACCCCATCTCTACTAAAAATACAAAAATTAGCTGGGTGTGGGTGGTGGGTGCCTGTAATCCCAGCTACTCGGGAGGCTGAGGCAGGAGAATCACTTGAACCCGGGAGGCGGAGGTTGCAGTGACCCAAGATAGATGCCATTGCACTCCAGCCTGAGTGAGAAAAGCAAAACTCTGTCTCCAAAAAAACAAAAACAGAAAACAAAAATTAGCCGGGCGTGGTGATATGGTGCCTGTAATCCTAACTACTCAGGAGGCTGAGGCTGAGAATCGGTTGAACCTGGGAGGCAGAGGTTGCAGTGAGCTGAGATTGCACCACTGCACTCCAGCCTGTGCGACAGAGAGAGACTCCCTCTCAAACAAACAAACAAACAAAAAATATTTACCAAAATGTTGGCAGTGGTAATCTCTGGGTGCTGCATTACAGATGGCTTTTATTTTCTGTTTTTGCTTGTCAGTACAGACATACCTTGGAGAGACTGTAGGTTCAGTTACAGACCATGGCACTAAAACAAATTATACAAATTTTTTCGTCTCCTAGTGCATGCAAACACGATGTTTACACTACACTCCCGTCTATTCAGTGTGCAATAGCATCGTGTCTAAAAAAAATATGCATACCTTAATTTGGAAATACTTTATTGCTAAAAAAATGCTAACAATCGTCTGAGTCTTTAGCAAGTCGTAACCTTTTTGCTGGCAGAGGGTTTTGCCTCAGTGTTAAGGGGCTTCCTTTAAATTAGGCTTTGGTATAAGGGAATGCTGTGGCTGGTTTGATCTTCTATCCAGACCAGTAAAACTGTCTCCATATCTGCAACAGGGCTGCTTTGCTTTCTTATCATTTCTATGTTCACTGAAGTAGCACTTTTAATTTCCTTCAAGAATTTTTCCCCTGCATTCACAACTTGGCTGTTTGGTGCAAGGGGCCTAGCTTTTGGCCACTCTCAGCTTTTGACATGCTTTCATCACTAAGCTTAATCATTTCTAGCTTTTGATTTAACCTGGACTGACAGAGTATCTCATGCCTGTCATCCCAGCACTTCAGGAGGCCAAGGCAGAAGGATTGCTTGAGGCCAGGACACCCTTTCTCTACAAAAAACTTAAAAATTAGCCAGGCATGGTGGCATGCACCCTGCTACTCAGGAGGCTGAGGTCAGAGGATCACTTGAGCCCAGGAGATTGAGACTGCAGTGAGCTGCGATAGTGCCATTGCACTCCAGCCTGGATGGCAGAGAGAGACCTTGTCTCAAAAGAAAATTTAATAAAGACACATGCACACATGAGTATGTTCACTGCAGCACTATTGACAATAGCAAAGTCATGGAATCAACCTAAATGCCCATCAATGATAGACTGGATAAAGAAAATATGGTACATATACACCATGAAATATTACACAGCCATTAAAGAAGAATGAGATCATGTCCTGTGCAGGAACATGGATGGAGCTGAAGGCCGTTATCCTTAGCAAACTAACGCAGGAACAGAAAACCAAATACCACATGTTCTCACTCATAAGTGGTCACTAAATGATGAGAACACATGGACACACAGAAGGGAACAACACACACTAGGGCCTTTCCGAGGATGGAGAGTAGGAGGAGGGAGAGGATCCGGAAAAACAACTAATGTGTACTAGGCTTAATACCTGGGTGATGAAATGATCTGTACAGCAAACCCCCATGACACAGGTTTACCTGTGTAACAAACCTGCACATGCACCCCTAAACTTAAATAAAAGTTAAGAAGGCCGGGCGCAGTGGGGGCGCGGTGGCTCATGCCTGTAATCCCAGCACTTTGGGAGGCGGAGGTCAGGAGATCGAGACCATCCTGGTTAACGTGGTGAAACCCCACCTCTACTAAAAATACAAAAAAATTAGCTGGGCGTGGTGGCGGGCACCTGTAGTCCCAGCTACCCGGGAGGCTGAGGCAGAAGAATGGCGTGAACCCGGGAGGTGGAGCTTGCAGCGAGCTGAAATCGCGCCACTGCACTCCAGCCTGGGCAACAGAGCGAGACTCCCTCTCAAAAATAAATAAATGCATAAATAAATAAATATAAAATAAATAAAAGTTAAAAAGAAATAAATTTAATTTACATTTAAAAGAATAAAGTGAAAGACTGGGGGTTCTCCTTTTCACTCTTAGAATTATTAATTGGCCTAATTTCAATATTGCTGTGTCTCAGAGGCTGAAGGGCCAGAGGAGAGGTAGAGAGACAGGGAATGGCCGATAAATACACACAACATTTATCAATTAAGTTTGCTGTCTTATATGGGAGTGGTTCATGGTGCCCCAAAACAAGTACAATAATTAACACCAAAATCACCGATCACAGCTTACAATAACATAATAATAATGGAAAAGTTTGAAATATTGTGAAAATACCCAACATATATCACAGAGACACGAAGTAAGTGCATGCTGTTGGAAAAATGGCAGAGACTTGCTCGATGCAAAGTTGCCACAAACCCTCAATTTGTAAGAAAAACATAATATCTGCAAAGCACGATAAAGTGAGGCACAATACAACTGTACTCTCCAATTTTTCTAAAATGAACCTGCATTATTTTTGCAATAAAAAAGAAGTGTTGTATGGTTTGGTTTTGTTTTTTAACTTCCTGGTTTTAGGTGACACACCGGCCTTCTCACGCTTTAAGAGATGATCCAAATTGGATAAAGGCTGGAGAACCTAAGTGGCCACAAATTTGAAAGAGGTACTATTTATGACACCAAAATCATTTGCAAAGCAGGAGTGAGTCACTAACTCTTATTTGCAGCTTTAAAACACAAGGAGCAAAATATAAAGACAGTTTGAACCTGGAGGTAGGTGATGCGCAGCTGAAATTAATTTTCCACGGAGGTTTACTTATGCATTTCGTATCTTCACAGGTTCCCATTCACTGCAGAAGTGTAACCCCAAAACAATGAAATCAATCAGCACGGAAGCACTATCTTCAGCGTTCTGAATGCTGCCACTTGTACTTCAAGGCTCCTTGAATAAATAAACACTGGAAAGCTCATGGCTTTTTTCCCTTTTGTTTTAGTAATGGAAAGCCTTTACAGAGGATGGACTCAGATCGATTTGATGACAATGGCCACGACATTCAAGTGATTCCTATTTTACATGCAGTGCTAAACCTGAGTGCCTTTTTATCTTCCTGTTCACATGACAAAGCAGCCACTTATCAGTTACAACTGCAGCAGAAAAGGCTGGAAAGTCCTAGAGAGCCTGGGCTAATGGCACCTTTGGGGAAGCAATCTGGGGTCACTCCAGAGATTAACCCTTGAAATCTCAACAAAACCATGACCTGCCTCGAAGACTCTGGTTTCAACAAGTTACTCTCCCTCCACCTGTGAGGTGGTGTGATGAAGATTTATGTGATATGTTACTAGAAAAGGGAAAGTATAGCATTTTACATTGAGATAAGAAATGAAAAATGACCAAAAAACATAATTCTGGCCTAAGAATATATGTGACAGTGTCAGAGCCCAAGCAGTAAGGGAAAGAAGACTTCGGCCGGGCACGGTAGCTCACACCTGTAATCCCAGCACTTTGGGAGGTCAAGGTGGGTAGATCATCTGAGGTCAGGAGTTCGAGACCAGCCTAGCCAACATAGTGAAACCCCGCCTCTACAAAAAATACAAAAATTAGCCAGGCGTGGTGGCAGGTGCCTGTAATCCCTGCTACTCGGGAGGGTGAGGCAGGAGAATCACTTGAACCCGGGAGGCAGAGGCTGCAGTGAGCCAAGATTGTGCCACTTGTACTCCAGCCTGGGCAACAGAGTGAGACTGTCTCAAAAAAAAAAAAAAATAGAGAGAGAGAGAGATAATAAATGAATAATAGAAATTTTAATAGCTTAACATAGTAATTCAAGAAACATTCCAAAGTAATATGTGATTGACTGCCAGGAAGGAATGCTGGCCATAAAACAATAGAAGTTAAGAGATGGTACCAATACTGCTTGAATATTCATCATCTTGGAAAACCTCAGGCACTTCCAGGATGACCAGACAGTGAGAGTGAGCTGAGAAAATGGAAAACTCTGTTCCTCAACCTTCTCCTCCAGAATCTTTTACATCTAATGGGATTCTCCAGGTTGAATGGAGCCAGATCTCTAAGTGGATTAATTGTTATTTATAACAACATTCTGAACCATGACGCATGGTGGCCTCCCATCACTCTCTCTCCACTAGATAAATTGTCCAACAGTAATAAACAAATAGATGGAACTTGCCTCCCTGCCAAGGATGTGCTGCTGTCATCTTTCTGCCATGGTCATCAATTAAAGGATTAAATAATGAATCAATTGTCAGAGTTCAACTCTAATCTTTAGACTCAAACTCTGAAGATGCTCCAGGAATAGCAGGATTGGATTTATGCCCTTTATTTTCCTTCACCTCACCCTATGAGGGTGCAAGCAGCCATAAACACACTTATGTGCACAGTCTCACACACGTTCACACGCTACACCCCACACATGTTCTCTCCCACAGCTTCTCTTGCCATTTAAGTAATTTTTTCTTTCTTTCTTTCTTTCTTTCTTTTTTTTTTTTTTTTGAGACAGGGTATATTAGTCCGTTTTCACACTGCTGATAAAGACATACCTGAGACTGGGTAATTTATAAAGAAAAAGAGGGTTAATGGACTCACAGTTCCATGGGGCTGGAGAGGCCTCACAATCATGGCAGAAGGTGAAAGGCACATCTTACATGGCAGCAGACAAGAGAAAATGAGAACCAAGCGAAACGGGTTTCCCCTTATATAACCATCACATCTCATGAGACTTATTCACTACCAGAAGAACACTATGGGGGAAACTGCCCCAATGATTCAATTATCTCCCACTGGGTCCTTCCCACAACATGTAGGAATTATGGGAGCTACAATTCAAGATGAAATTTGGGTGGAGACATAGCCAAACCACATCACAGGGTCTCACTCTGTCACCCAGGCTACAGTGCAGTGGTACAATCATAGCTCACTGCAGCCTCAACCTCCAGGTCTCAGGCGATCCTCCTCCCTCAGCCTTCCAAGTAGCTAAGACTACAGGCACATGCCACCATTCCCAGCTAATTTTTGTGTTGTGTAGAGATGGGGTTTCGCCACGTTTCCCAGGTTGGTCTCAAACTCCTGGAATCAAGAAATCCTCCCACCTTTGCACCCCAAAGTGCTGGGATTACAGGCATGAGCCACCTCACCCAGCCCTGAGTGGCTTTTTCAATTAGGTAATGAACTTATTTAAATCATGGAGAGAAATGCATTCATGTTGGAGGAAAGTGGTTTTAAGCCTTTAGAAAAGGAGAGCTCTAGTAACGTTTACCAGCAGCCCCTACCTACAGCGAGGCCAGGAAAGAAGGACAGGCACTCAAACCACCAGGCCAGGAGACATTCAGCCAGACATGTGGAACAGTGGCTTCCAGCTGCCCAAGAACACCCACCTGGAGGGGCATTTTCCCCAAAGGATGGTGAAGCTACGAGTATGCATGAGTTCAGCAAAGATTTAGGTAAAGACATGATGCCCATCTATAATGACATACTGAGAGGTCGTTAGAGATATTGATTAATCATGGTAGTAACTTACATTTATAAATCCTTTACAATAGGCCAGGTGTAGTGGTTCATACCCGTAATCCCAGCACTTTGGGAGGCCGAGGCTGCAGTGAGCTATGATCACGCCACTGCACTCCAGCCTGGGTGACAGAGCAAGACCTTGTCTCAAATTAATAAATAAAATCCTTTACAATAAATAGGCACTGGGCCAAAGTCTTTATTTATTTTTAATTTTTATTTTTATTTTTTTTGAGACAGAGTTTTACTCTGTTGCCCAGGCTAGAGTGCAGTGGCACAATCCCGGCTCCCTGCCACCTCTGCCTCCCAGGTTCAAGCAATTCTCCTGCCTCAGCCCCCCGAGTAGCTGAGATTACAAGTGCCTGCCACCACGCCTGACTAATTTTTGTATTTTTTAGTAGAGACGGGGTTTTGCCATGTTGGTCAAGCTGGTCTTGAACTCCTGACCTCAGGTGATCCGCCTGCTTTGGCCCCCCAAAGTGCTGGGATTACAGGCATGAGTCACCATGCCTGGCTGGCCAAACTCTTTCATGGATCAACTCATGTAAGCCTGATCACAGCCCCATAATGTAAAAATAATGATTTGCCTGATTTTTGAAATGAGAAATCTGGGGCTCAGGGAAGTTCAATAACCGAACAAAAATCACACAGCTGGAAAGTGAATTGGAGTTGGGATTCAAACCAGTCAGATGGATTCCAGAGCCCGCTTCATATCATAGCCACATGCCTAACTTCTTTCATTTTTTGTTAACATTCCTAAACTTTTGAGATTCATTTTATAAAGGAAAACACCCATTACCATATTCTCCATGAATTCTTCTGTAATACCATGATGAGAAACAGACTTAGCATATACCTAGACATACACACATGCACACACACACACACACACATACACACACACATATCTAGCCAAGGAAGGTAACTAAGGGGTGTATAGAAAATACCATTATTTCTCTCTCTCCACCTACCAGGCAATTGATTCTGGCAAGTGCAAAGAGAGAGAGACTTGAGTCAAACTCTCAGGCACAGTCTTTATCACCCCTTCTACCTACCACCCCAAAGCATCAAAGGAGTATTACGGGATTGTAGCTGCCCCAGTGCTAGACAGGTAACCTCACCTGAGAGTCCTTAGTACCTTAGGAACTTGAAACTAACACAAGAACTTGACATAACATGAAACTACAGATAGCCCAAAAGAAGGCAGAAAAAGGTCAATCTGAGCACACAGATGAGTTACCCATCAGCAGCCTCTTCTAGAACTACCCCAAGGGAAGGAAGATTAGGGTCTATGCTTGGCCAATGCAAAGCAGAGTCTTATAAGGAAGACGAAGGTAATTCGCTCAGGCCACATTGAGTCTGTTACCACCCTCAGCCCATGCCCTTCCACGCTGGTGCCAGGACACAGCATAGAGAAGCCTGATTTGCCTCCTTTCCTATGCTTCCCGCCTGCTGTCTTCCTGAGACATCAGTTCTTCCTGATTTGTTTTTGTTGGCAGTGTTGACTGCGGGTGGTCCTTGGCATAGAGGGACAGAGAGGGGCTCAATCCCTTCTCAGGAATGATCTTCGCTCTCAAGGCCCGGGGCAACCTTGTTGCCTACAGCTCCTTGCAGAACTTGGCCTTTGCCTTTCGACAGCACACGTGGCTTCTGGAAACATTCCTGTGCCTTGAGAGCCCCATCTGCTCCCTCATGGAAGCTGCCCACGCGAAGGCTAAACTTCCCTCTGTTGTTGTATAAAGAACAGAGCCTCCTTCTCAAGTCTTCAAATAAACTTCCTCCTCTCCCAAACACAAACACTGACACCCAAATGTCTGGCTTTATTGGGTCTCTTATTTCCATCCACTCGCTAGGAGAGCTGAGTCCAACACCATGTTTTATCAGCTTAAAAGGATCACAAATCCCAGCACTTTGGGAGGCCAATGTGGGAGGATTGCTTGAGGCCAGGAATTCGAGGCTGCATGAGCTATGATCATGCCACTGCACTCTAGCCTGGGCAACAAAGCAAGACCCTGTCTCTAAAAGAAAAAAAAGATAAAAGGAGCACAGTCTGCAGCCCTCCTCACTGCCTGTGGTGCAGTGAGGTCAAGAGAATCAAGGAGAATGGTAACCCCTCCCAGAAGACGGCCCAGTCTGCAGGGAAGGAGAGCACAGGAAAACTTACCAGTCATGCAAATGCTAATACATTAATGCAACTGGGTGTGTGGGCAGAGATGGGCCTGATCTGGAGCTCATAAAGGCAGGAATACATCTTCCTTCCAATCTACTAGTGATTTCCATCTCAACATTGAAAAATCATTGTCGGCCGGGCACAGTGGCTCACGCCTATAATCCTAGTACTTTGGGAGGCTGAGGCAGGCGGATCACTTGAGGTCAGGAGTTCAAAAGCAGCCTGGTCAACATGGTGAAACCCTGTCTCTACTAAAAATACAAAAACTTAGTGGGGCATGGTGGCGGGCGCCTGTAATCCCAGCTACTTGGGAGGCTGAGGCAGAAGAGTTGCTTGAATCCGGGAGGTGGAGGCTGCACTGAGCCGAGGTAACGCCACTGCACTCCAACCTCGGCGACAGAGGGAGATACTGTCTCAAAAAAAAAAGAAAAGAAAAGAAAAGTCATTGTCTTTTTTCAAATGTCTAAATTGCTGGGTGCAGTGGCTCATGCCTGTAATCCCAACACTTTGGGAGGAGGATTGCTTGAGGCCAGAAAGTCAAGATTAGCCTGAGAAACACAGCGAGATCCCATCTGTACAAATACATACATATATATATATATATTTGTTTATTTTTTTTTTAAGACGGAGTCTTGCTCTGTTGCCCAGGCTGGAGTGCAGCGGCGCGATCCCGGCTCACTGCAACCCCCACCTCCTGGGTTCAAGTGATTCTCCTGCCTCAGTCTCCCGAGTAGCTGGGACTACAGATGTGTACCACCATGCCAGGCTGATTTTTGTATTTTTAGTAGAGACGGGGTTTCACCGTGTTAGCTAGGATGGTCTCGATCTCCTGACCTCGTGATCTGCCCACCTCAACCTCTCAAAGTACTGGGATTACAAGCATGACCAACTGTGCCCGGCCTACAAATAATTTTTTTTAATGGCCTAGGCGTGGTGGCACATGCCTGTAGTCCAAGCTACTCGAGAGGCCAAGGAAGGAGGATCACTTGAACCTGGGAGTTCAAGGCTGCAGTGAGCCACAATCACACCACCGCATTCCAGCCTGGGCAACAGAGTGAGACCCTGTCAATAAACAAATAAATACATGTCGAAATTATAAGTCTCTGCTGAAGTTTGAATCCCTTGGATAAGACAGGATGGAACATTCTCCCTGGAAAAGGCAGAAGGCTGGTTTGGAGCAAGCTTGATTGGAGGCAGGGGAGGAAGAGTCCATGGCCCCTGGGATCCAGAGGTACTTGAAACATCAGATTGGCCTGCTCTATTTGGCAAGACTTTTGTCAACACCAGCTCTGGCTGGAGGTCATTACCTGGGCAGAGGAGCCTCAGAGACCCCTCTTCCCCACTGTCCTAAATCCTTGGTATGCTAAAGATGAACAATATTTCCTCCCTCACCCACATTTTCTTTCTTTTTTTTTTTTTTTTGAGATGGAGTCTCACTCTGTCACCCAGGCTGGCGTACAGTGGCGAGATCTCTGTTCGCTGCAACCTCCGACTCCTGGGTTCAAGCAATTCTCCTGCCTCGGTCTCCCAAGTAGCTGAGATTACAGGCGTGCACCACCACGCCTGGCTAATTTTTGTATTTTTAGTAGGGACGGGGTTTCACCATGTTGACCAGGCTGATCTCGAACTCCTGACCTCAAGCAATCCACCCACCTCAGCCTCCCAAAGTGCTGGGATTACAGGCGTGAGCCACTGCACCCGGACTGGCTGGGCAAGTCTCATTTGGGGCCTCTCACATAGTAGGGATCAGGCGTCAGCTGTGCTGTGGTCATCTGGGGGCTCAGCTACACTGGATGCTCTAGGTGGCTCACAGATGGCAGGCACTGGATGCCACTGTCTGCTGGTTGCTCAACAGTGTCTGAAGACGTGGCCTCTTCAGGGTAACCACTTCATTTCATCCTACATGGTGGTGTCTCCACCCAGAATAAGTATCCCAAGATACTAGGAAGAGACTGGGTGGCTGTATGACCTAGCCCCAGAAACAACTCAGCCTCACATCTGCCATGTTCCATTGACTGGAATATCTAAGAGACCCACCAGATTCGAGAAAAAGAAGACATCGACTCCCACCTTTCAATGGAAGAAGTAGCAAAGAAGTTTGGGCCAGTTTTTAATTACTTCAATTTAAAGTTGAGGAAACTCAAACAAGGTAACTAAATTGTCAAAAATCACATTCCTGGCCTGGTGCAATGGCTCACACTTCTAATTCCAACACTTTGGGAGACCAAAGTGGGTGATTGCTTGAACCCAGGAGTTCAAGACCAGCCTAGGCAACATTGCAAGACCCTATCTTTATTTTAAAAAAAAATAAAAAAAGGCCGGGCACGGTGGCTTACACTTGTAATCCCAGCACTTTGGGAGGCCGAGGGGGGTGGATCACTTGAGATCAGGAGTTTGAGAATACCCTGGCCAACATGGTGAAACCCTGTCTCTACTAAAAATACAAAAATTAGCCAGGCGTGGTAGCATGCACCTGTGATCCCAGCTACTTGGGAGGCTGAGGCAGGAGAATTGCTTGAAGCCAGAGGGTGGAGGTTGCAGTGAGCCAAGACTGTACCACGGCACTCCAGCCTGGGCGACAGAGCGAGATTCCATCTCAAAAAAAAAAAAATTAGCCAGATGTGATGGCATGAGCTTGTAGTCCCAGCTACCCAGGACGCTGAGGCAGGAGGATCACCTGAGCCCAGGGGGTTGAGGCTGCAGTGAGCCATGATTGCCCCACTGCACTCCAGCCTGAGTGACAGAGTGAGACCCTGTCTCAAATTAATATAAATAAGTAAAAAAATTTAAATTAAATTTTTTAAAAATTACATTTCTAAAAAATTTAAATTAAATTTTTTAAAAATTACATTTCTAAAAAATTTAAATTAAATTTTTTAAAAATTACATTTCTAAAAATTAACATAATAGAAATGCAAGCTGGGCACAGTGGCATGTGCACCTGTAGCCCCAGCTACTAGGGAGGCTGAGGCAGGAGGATCACTTTACCCCAGGAGTTCAAGACCAGCCTGGCCAACATAGCAAGACTCTATCTCTATTTTTTTAAAAGAAGAATGGGAATTCAAACCCAGCCTTGTCCAATTCGAAATTGAGCACCCCTCTGGCAATGTCAAAACTGCCCAGTAAGCTGGGGCATTCTTGCTTTTTGCCTTGGTAGTCAAGGTGGGGGTGGCTATAGGCTCACTCTAGCTACAGAAATGTTAGGCCCTTCCTTCATTCCTTCCTTGTTTCCTTTCTCTTCTTTCCTTCTTTCCTTCCAGCTGACTGCCTTCCTGAGTTATTTCTAAACCAAGAGTCAAATTCTACCACCCCAAGGCGGGAGAATCGCTTGAACCTGGGAGGCAGAGGTTGCAGTGAGTCGAGATCGCGCCACTGCACTCCAGCCTGGGTGACAGAGTGAGACTTCATCTAAAAAAAAATGTGTTCCCCCACCCGCAGGGCCATACATCTTAAGGCAGAGAGAAGTGATGTCACCATGCTGAGGGCCTCAATAGAAGGGAATCTCCAACTTGTCACCATTCTGCCTGTAAATAGTGTCTTCCCAAAGGCTGAAATCGCATTACATTCTTGCCCTAAAAAGATGAACACAGCTATTGAATTAGAAGCTCTAGCATGTGCAAGAGACCTACACTTTGAGAGGCTGAAGCATCAACCAGCCTCTTCCAATCTTTCATGAGTATTTTGAAGACACTTAGAGATATTTTCTCCTCATCCATCTGGAATGACAAGCAGAGGCATTATGCGTATCAAACATGAACACCTACATAATCCGGACTGCTCATTGGAAAGAGTTCTCATTTCCAAATGTTCCTCAGATGATCATAAGAGAATATAGACTTAATTGCAACCTGTTATTAGCCACCAAATGTTTCAACTGAATGGGTTCTCTTGCCAATGTTTCCCCCTTTCAGATGAAGAGTCCAGGCCCTCAGTGCCCATAACAACTGTCCCCTCCAAGTCCCCAGACCAGGTAGTACTGAATGAGTGTTTTGACACAACGGCTAAGCACTGGTTTTGAAGTCTTATAGTCCTGGATTCAAATTCTAGTTCTGTCACTTATCAGCCCAAGTTTCTCAACCTCTTCAAGCCTCATGTACCTGACTATCAGATGCAGATCATAAAAGCATCTTCCTCATTTGGGTTGTTGTGAGATTAATGTAAGGAATTACATGTAGATTAAAGGGCAGTTTATGCAGAAACTAGGAAAACACTAGGAAAAAGGTGGTACCTTTTAGGTCTTTTGGGTCTTTCATTACCATGGAAAGGGGCAGTAACTCCTGGGTGTTGCCATGGCAACAGTAAACTGACATGGCACCCTGATGGGCTTGTCTCATGGGAAGCTGCTTCCATCCTGTCCCTGTTTTACCTACTCCTCCATTTTGTCCAGTGTCCAAGCCCCACCTCTCCAGTTGAGTCCCACCTCCTACCTCAAGGTCAGGCTAAGTGAGGCTAAGTGAGATCATGCCCTTATTAGCACAATACCTAACATCTGGTAAGCATTAAATAAATATTGGCTACTACAATCCCAGAAGTAACTGGACAGTGTTGGAGTAATGCTAAAGCCCAGGCTGGAAGAAAAACGAGCTAGTCAGTAGTTCAGAGAGATAGAACAAGTTCAGCAGTTGTCAGCAGGCAAGGAGACAGATCCCAGATCAACTAAGGGGAGGGAGATGCCGAAAAGCATACAGGATCTGGTATCTGGAAGATGAGAGGGTGAACAGAATCCACACGTATGCAAAAGCCCTTAGTACTCTGCCAGGGGTTCTTATCTCTCTTTCAAACAGCATTCTGGGAATGGGCAACCCAACATTCACATACAAAAAGACAGACTTGTAAGATCAAGTAATATCTAATGTCTTTAATATATGCAGTTACAGACATTTAGGAGAAGTAATGCTTATTGTACACCTACCATGTGCAAAGTACAGCACAATCACTTTTGCATGCTTGATGTCATGGATTCTTGACATTATGCTGCAGAATTAGAAGGTTTATCCCCAGTTTTTGAAAGGTAAAGAAAACGAGGCTTGGAAATGTTAACATAACCAGGGTCATGGGGTCAGGGTGTGGGTGGGCTGGAAGTTGAAGCCCAGATGACTCTGAAATTTGCAGTCTTTCCACTCCACCTACCAATGATGTTTCAGAGGAGACAAGCATGAGTTGAGTGGCTTTGAGAGATGATTCCTCTGCAGTGAGGAAACAGAAGAAAGTTGTCAAAGATTCTTAGCCACAAATGAAATACCATCTTCTCTTCTAATTTTTTCCTCCAGAATTTATCAGGCTGGGCAGGGTGACTCACACACGTAATCCCAGAGCTTTGGGAGGCTGAGGCTAGAAGATCACTTGAGCCCATGAATTCAAGACCAGCCTGGGCAAAAAAGTGGAACTCCATCTACACACACAAAAAAACTTAATTAGCCGTGTGCAATAGTGTGTGCTTGTAGTCTCAGCTACTTGGGAGGGCGGAGGTGGGAGGATGGCTTGAGCCCAAGAGTTTGAGGCTGCAGTGAGCCATGATCACACCACTGTATTCCAGCCTGCTGGATGACAGATTGAGACCCTGTCTCTAAAACAAATGAAGAAGAAGAGGAAGAAGAGGAAGGGAAAGGGGAAGGGGAAGAAGAAGCAGAAAGAGAAAGAGAAGGCAGATTCAAAGTCAAGTCTTAACATTTTTGCCTTTCTGGCAGGAAATGATAACTGAAATCAGACAATGGATTTTGTTGGGGTTTTTTTTGTTCATTTGTTTTTGTTTGTTTGTTTGTTTTTGAAATGGAGTCTTGCTCTGTTGCCCAGGCTGGAGTGCAGTGGCACAATCTTGGCTCACTGCAACCTCCACCTCCCAGGTTCAAGCAATTCTCCTGCTTCAGCCTCCTGAGGATTACAGTTGCACACCACCATGGCCGATTAATTTTTGTATTGTTGTTGTTGTTGTTTTTGTTTTTGAGACGGAGTCTGGCTCTGTCACCCAGGCTGGAGTGCAGTGGTGCAATCTTGGCTCACTAAAGGCTCCACCTCCCGGGTTCATGCCATTCTCCTGCCTCAGCCTCCCAAGTAGCTGGGACTACAGGTGCCTACCACCATGCCTGGCTAATTTTTTGTATTTTTAGTAGAGACAGGGTTTCACTGTGTTAGCCAGGCTGGTCTCAAACTCCCGACCTTGTGATCCATCCGCCTCAGACTCTGAAAGTGCTGGAATTACAGGCATGAGCCACCGTGCCCAGCCTGGATTTGGTTTTTTAAGACAGGGTCTCGCTGTGTCACTCAGGCTGGCGTGCAGTGGCTCAATTATAGCTCATTGCAGCCTCAACCTCCCAGGTTCAAGCAATCCTCCCACCCCCACCTCTCAAGTAGCTGGGACTACAGGTGCGTGACAACACACCCTGCTAAGTTTTAAAATTTTTGTGGAGATGGGGTCTTCACTGTTGCCCAGGCTGGTGTACTCTTAATTTTCATACTTCCATTCAGGCACATTAAGTAGTTGTCTGATCTTATTTTAAGCAGTTTTTTCTCAGAAGATAGTGTTGCTTTGCTGTACTTTGCACATGGTAGGTGTACAATGAGCATTACTTCTCCTAAATGTCTGTAACTGCATATATTAAAGACATTAGATATTACTTGATCTTAGAAGTCTGTCTTTTTGTATGTGAATGTGGGGTTGCCCATTCCCAGAATGCTGTTTGAAAGAGAGATAAGAACCCCTTTTTTGGCAACACCCAAAGCAGAAGCCCTGGTAAATTAAGAAAGAAAGTTGGCGACTGTTGGGGGGATTTGGACAAATGGAAACCCAAATACAAATTGCTCTTCCAGGTCGTAACTTGCACACAGTAAAATATACACCAATTCAGTGCATTGAATAATGAAAACTAGGTTGCAGTAATGATGTAGAAACGACCTAAAAATATGGTGTCTTCACCACCACGCTGAGAAGCCAATGGTGATTTTCTGTTTCAAGAAAGTGGCATTGTTCCATATTATGTTTAGAACTGTGGTTTGTCTGATAGAATGCAGCTGAACATTTTGTCCCCTGTACCAAAGGCACACGGTGACAATGTTTGTGTACACTCTCCAGCATGCCCCATACATGGAATCAATCTGGAATTATTTTTTAAAGAGGATTGGAGTTTAGCATTTCATGGGAAATGCCTGTGTCAGGAATTCAGTAACACGTTAGTACGCTATGTCAAAACAACTGTACTAGTAAAACACTTCACATTGCACCATCTGAGAACAATAGTATTGCATGAGGCACAAAACTCTCACCCCGAAATGAGTGTCAGCCTGTGTCACTTGATAAAGTTGTCAGAAAATATTTTGATCAGTGTACCTGTAGTTATTGTGTTTGCTTTCCTTTGTGAAAGATTGGAGTCACTAGCATCCTGGATTAACTACCAACGTTTTTTGTTCTTTCTTCATCTTTACCCAAGGAAACTGAAAAATATCTGCTTCTGGTATGATCACTGATATGGTTTGACCGTGTCCCCATCCAAATCTCATCTTGAACTGTAGCTCCCATAATTCCCACGTGTTGTGGGAGGAACCCGGTGAGAGATAATTCAGTCATGGAGTGGGTCTTTCCCATGCTATTCTCGTGATGGTGAATAAGTCTCACGAGATGTGATGGGGTGTTTTGTTTTGTTTTGTTTTGTTTTTGAGACAGAGTTTCTCTCTTGTTGCCCAGGCTGGAGTGCAATGGTGTGATCTCAAATCACTGCAACCTCTGCCTCCCCGGTTCAAGCGATTCTCCTGCCTCAGCCTCCCAAGTAGTTGGGATTACAGGCATGCACCACCACACCTGGCTAATTTTTCCACTTTTAGTAGAAATGGAGTTTCACCGTGTTGGACAGGCTGGTCATGAACTCCTGACCTCAGGTGATCCATCCACCTCAGCCTCCCAAAGTGCTGAGATTACAGGCATGAGCCACTGTGCCAGGCCGATCTGATGGTTTTATAAGGAGAAACCCCTTTCACTTGTCTCATTCTCTGTCTTGCCTCCTGCCATGTAAGATGTGCCTTTCACCTTCTTCCATGATTGTGAGGCCTCCTCCACCATGTGGAACTCTGAGCCCATGAAACCTCTTTTTCTTTAAAAATTACCTAGTCTTGGGTATGTCTTTATCAGCAGCGTGAAAATGGACTAATACAATCATCAAATGCCAGAAAGAAATCTACCTATCTAAGGTAGATTTCTACCTATCTGAGGACTGCCTTCTTCAAATAATGAAATGGAATGGAAGCCCATAGAGTATAAGCAATGTGTATAAGCTCACCTAATAGTGGCAGAACCAAGCTTAGAACCTACTGAGAGACAGGTACGTTATGGGGAAGCATATGTTGATAAGACAGAACATAATTCCAAAGGAGGACGTAAAATACATTTTCATCTGGTTTAATTTGAGTGAAAAAAAAATCCCCACAGTTTCTCATATTTAAAAATAAAACTTTTTAAGTAGGCAAGAAAATTAGTATGCTCTTGAGGATGAGATTTCATATGAAATTTCAGATTTAAATATGATGCAACATTGAGCAGTATATAATTACCAAAAAGGTCACATCTGTAAAATTTTAAATATCTAAATAACAAATTATAAAGGGTATCAATATCATTCCATTTTGAGCATCTTATATGTATTCTGAAAACAAATAATGTCGTGGCACTTGCTGTGACGTAAAAGGCTCTGCAATAGAACTTAACAGACTTTGGTTTGAGTCAGTTAACCGAAGTGGGCCTCTTAAAGAAGTCATTATATGAAAAACACTTTCACACGCATGTTTATAGCAGCACAATTCACAACTGCAAAAATATGGAACCAACCTACATGCCCATCAACCAATGAGTGGATAAAGAAAATGTGGTATATATACACCATGGAATACTACTCAGCCATAAAAAGAAATGAAATATAATGGCATTTGCAGCAACTTGGATGGTGTTGGAAACGATTATTCTTTTTTTTTTTTTTTTTGAGACGGAGTCTTGCTCTGTCACACAGGCTGGAGTGCAGTGGCACCATCTTGACTCACTGCAACCTCCACCTCCTGAGTTCAAGTGATTCCCCTGTCTCAGCCTCCCGAGTAACTAGGACTACAGGCACACGCCACCAGGCCCAGCTAATGTTTGTATTTTTAGCAGAGATGGAGCTTTACTATATTGGTCAGGCTGGTCTCGAACTCCTGACCTCAGGTGATCCACCCGCCTAGGCCTCCTACAGGCAATGAGCCACCGTGCCCGGCCTGGAAACCATTGTTCTAAGTGAAGCAACTCAGGAATGTAAAACCGAATATTGTACGTTCTCACTTATGAGTAAGAGCTAAGCTATGAGGATGCAAAGGCATAAGAATGGCATGATGGACTTTGAGGACTCAGGGGAATGGTGGAAGGGGAACGAGGGATAAAAGACTACACTGGGTACAGTGTACACTGCTCAGGTGATGAGTGCACCAAAATCTCAGAATTCACCACTAAAGAACTCATTCATGTAACCAAAACCCACCTGTACCCCAAAAACTATTGAAATATATTTTTAAAAAATAATGGGTCTCCTTGCTGTTGGTGTCTTCCTTTGAAAGAAGGTTTCTAGTTAATTTTAGGGCAATGGTCATATCCATTATTGTCTCACTATCTTTCATCTCAGTCTTTTGGAGAAAAGAAAAATTGAATTATGCAACTTTGATCAAGAAAGGGCCATCATGATTATACAGTCAAACATTTTTATTTTACAGTTGAAGAAACTGAGATCTAGAAATATTAAATGACTCTCTCATGGCCCCTTGGAAAAAAAAAAAGACACCCTGAGAGTCAGTTTGCTTTCCATTCTCCTTCCCTTTTTCTTTCCCATCACCTTCATCCCTTTTTGGAATGTCATGCATTGTGGAAATTAAAAGACAGTACCTGATTGGAAACCTGGGTTCCCCTTTGAAAAGTCTGTGCTTGGCCAGGTGCCGTGGCTCACGCCTGTAATCTCAACACTTCGGGAGGCCGAGGCCAGCGGACCACCTGAGGTCAGGAGTTCGAGACCAGCCTGGCCAACGTGGTGAAACCCCGTCTCTACTAAAAATACAAAAATTAGCCAGATGTGGTGGTGCGTGCCTGTAACCTCAGCTATTCAGGAGGCTGAGGCAGGAGAATCACTTGAACCCGGGAGGCGGAAGTTGCAGTGAGCCGAGATCGTGCCACTGCACTCCAGCCTGGGCGACAGAGTGAGACTCTGTCTTAAAAAAATAAAAATAAAAAGGAGGCCTGGCGCAGTGGCTCACGCCTATAATCCCAGCACTTTGGGAGGCCGAGGCGGACGGATCACGAGGTCAGGAGATTGAGACCATCCGGGCTAATACGGTGAAACCCCGTCTCTACTAAAAATACAAAAAATTAGCCGTGCGTGGTGGCGGGCGCCTGTAGTCCCAGCTACTCGGGAGGCTGAGGCAGGAGAATGGTGTGAACCCGGGAGGCAGAGCTTGCAGTGAGCCGAGATCGTGCCACTGCACTCCAGCCTGGGGGACAGAGCGAGACTCCGTCTCAAAAAAAAAAAAAAAGGAAAGAAAAGTCTGTGCTCTTTCCCAGAGGCTTTTCTTCCGTTTTTCTCTACAAACTACACTGTGTCTCTGCTTTCACTGGTGGTAATTTCTGGAACAACTTAGCATAAACACCTTTGGGGAGAGCAGACATTCCGTGTTGCAAAAGGAGAAAAGTGGAAAATAAAGATTCCAGAATCAAAATTTCACTTTATGAAAATGTTATAAAGTTTCAGGGAAAAATTGAAAATTCAGCTAAAAGTTGAGAAAAGGGGTAGGTTGCCAATATCTGATCACCGCCACCCTGCCCGTGGTTTGGAATGGGGGACCAGGCAGGGTGTTCTATTCTGCTTTTAGGGGGTCCCAGCTCTCACACCAGCATCTGACATGCATCCAGCCATCTAGATTAGGAATTTGATGACTATAAAAACATAGTTTTAGCTTCTTCTTAAATGGATGTGTATCTTGGGTTGGTTGGCTATACTTTGTTTTCCCTATTTCTTAAGTGGGCTGTCCCTGTCTCTCCCCCAATATATTCTTTTTCCTACCACTTCATCACTCCCAACCACTTTTCAATGCTTTTGACATTTATTGCTAATAAAAATAATAACACTTATCATCTAAAACTTAGTATTTCAGTTTGAAAGTTTTATGTACGTTATTTTTACTTGGATTTATGTCACTCCTCCAAGCAAAGAATAAATAAAAGCACTTTATCAAATTTATAACCTACTCAAATTCAGAGATTTCTGAATAGGAAACAGACCAGGGACACTTAGCCAAGATTAGTTTAAAGAGAAACCAAAATTTTGCATACGGGTCTCTGAAGAAAGATGTTCGTCTTTAAAGGTCGTGTCCACACGTGAAACGGGAAGTGGATAATGAGGGTAATTACCTCTGCACCAGAGGCCTTCCCGCTTACCTGTTCCCTGAAATGCCCAGGTAACTAACAAAGGCAAACATGTTTTCTGGTCTCAATTATATCCTAATAATTGTTTCAATTCTCTGCTTCCTTTTGAGTGTAAAGATCTGGGCTAAAAGGCTTTAAAAAACAGGCTGAAAAGGTTTCCCAGACGTAAAGTAGATTTTACAAAAGAAACTTCTGGCAAGTTGAATGTAAGTAAATCAGAAACATATGGACTATGTTTGCCTCAAAATACCCATGGGTTTGAAAGCCCAGAAAACACATAAAAAGTAAAGGGAAACTATTTTCCAAAGCTGAGCTTATTTGAGAAACTGCACGCTGGAACAGAAAGCCTGGCTCAACCCACCCAGCGCAGGGGATGGAGCTGGTGGTCAGGCAGCCACCAGCGCCTACCCCAGAGCTGATGCCGACAGTCTTCATTTCTGAAGATGACGTGATTGATGGAGTCTTGACCTGTACACATGGGCGTGACTGAGAAAACATCACTCGGTACTTCCCATACTGAAGACATGACTTCATAGCTCCTTTGCAACCATCTGTAGTGAATGTTTACACAGCCTGTTTCTCTTCTTGAGGGCCTCTCATGCTAAACCATCAGGCTGCTGTCAGGCATGCATTTACTGAGCATTTAGCACGCGCCCCGTAGAGAAGGATCACAGAGAAAGAGACGATCCTATGCCGGCCCAGAAGGTGAATTACAGACTCCGAATTGGAAGGTCCTTAAAGATACCTGAGTTTCTCTTTCCACCCTGTGCGGGATTCTGGTTGCAGTTTGCAGTCTAGATCATGGAAAGAATGGTCACAAAATAACTCAAATGGTGACCAGCACAGCATAGATTCCTTGTTGACAGGCAAGGTCCTTAAACAGTAGCAAGTGGTGCTCGTGTTGGTGGGTGATGCTGGTGTTGGCGGGTGAGGCTTGGGAGAACAAATTGAAGGTTGATGGAGGGTAACCGGGCCAGAGCCCAAGCTCTCAGTCTGTCCGTCAAAGTCAGGCTTACTTATGCTTTGGAGTGCAGTACTGAGGCCACTAACTTACACATAAGCTTTTTTTTTTTTTTTTGAGACAGAGTCTCGATCTGTCACCCAGGCCGGAGTGCAGTGGCACGATCTCGGCTCACCGCAAGCTCTGCCTCCCGGGTTCATGCCATTCTCCTGCCTCAGCCTCCCGAGTAGCTGGGACTACAAGCGCATGCCACCACGCCTTGCTGATTTTTTATATTTTCTGTAGAGATGGGATTTCGCCAGGTTGCTCAGGCTGGTGTCAAACTCCTGGGCTAAAACAATCTGCCCACCTCTGCCTCTCAAAATGCTGGGATTACAGGCATGGGCCACTGTGCCCGGCCACATTCCATGCTCTTATCACAGCAAAACTTGTGTTACTAATATAGCAAATTATGTGTCTGGAATCCTTTCAAAGCTCAGTAACACATATTGAGTCCAGATTATTTTAGAAGACTATTATTATCCCATAATCTATATACGTGTTAACATTGTGTTCAATCTTGCATTCAAATTTACAAGACAGATCTGTCCTTATGTCAGTGTTCACCCAGTGTTACATTATGTCAGACTTGCTTCCTTAATTCTGAATGATCTTTTTCTGAATTAAAGTACTATGTTTAAGAAGGAAAAAAAAAAAACCTCAAATGGAAAGAACACAGTTTGGAGAGTCAGACGTCCTGATATCAGGTCTCAGAAACACTCTGCCTGTAGACCTGTTGTTTGACCACTCAGAGCATCAGTTTCCTCTTCAATTAAATGGGAATAAAAGTCAAATTACCTATTGGCGGGCGAATCATCTGAGGTTGGGAGTTCAAGACCAGCCTGACCAACATGGAGAAACCCTGTCTCTACTAAAAATACAAAATTAGCGAGGCGTGGTGGCGCATGCCTGTAATCCCAGCTACTCAGGAGACTGAGATAGGAGAATCACTTGAACCTGGGAGGCAGAGGTTGCAGTGAGCTGAGATTGTGCCATTGCACTCCAGCCTGGGCAACAAGAGCGAAACTCCATCTCAAAATAAAAAATGTATACATATATATATACACACATAATGTCTCTTCCCCACCCAGGCTGTAAATAAATAGAAAAACAAAATGAAGAGTAAGATGGAGGCCAGAGTTTTCACCTTTATTCCTGAAAGAGGCCCAGTTGTAAGGCAGAGTAGAATGAGAGAGAAATGGACCTGAAACCCAGATAAAGGCGGAAGACTTGTTCAATCCCAGGCCATGCCGGGCTGACACAGGCTTCCACACGCCAGAGGGGATTGCTGAATTAGAGCCTGGAAAGTCGAAGGAGAATTCAGAGCCTTGATGAGCAGCTCATCCCAAAAAGAAACCACAGAGCTGAGTATACCTGAGCTCATCCAGATTATTCTTCCACATCTGCCAGACAGATCCTGCCGCTCCCAAGAGAAGGAGTGATTAATGCGTAGAGAACAGCCAGAAGTGACTCATAAGATGTCACCTCAATGGAAATACCAGGAGTAGAGAAGTGAGCTAAGTAGGACAACGCATGGGAAAGTCCTCTTGTGATCTGCAAAACGTCGTGTACATTTCAGGCTTTTGCTCAATCTGCCTGCACGTATGATACGTCTACTATTTGCTCAGTTCCCAACACTAGCTTCCAGAAAATTTAGGTTGAACAAGACATTGTTCCTGTAATTAAGATTACAGTCTAGTAGAAGAAAACAGACAAGGAATCCCCAAATTACGGTATACAGTAAGTTTGCAACTTATTATGCAGACACTGAAGTCTGTGCGAGATGTAACAGGCATGCAGAGAAGGGGTCGCTGATTCGTTGCATGGCCAGGTAAAGCTTGTTGTGGAAATGACATTGGATTGCTGAGACTGGAAGAACACAAAGTAGCTGGGAATAAGAAAAAGTGGGGCTGGCTGTGGTGAGTTAAGCCTATAGTCCCAGCTACTTGGGAGGCTGAGATGGGAGGATCACTTGAGGCCCTGAGTTCAAGACCAGCCTGGCCAACATGGTGACAGCTCATCTCTACTAAAAATACAAACATTTGCCAGGTGTGGTGGTGCATGACTGTAATCCCAGCTACTCGGGAGGCTGAGGCAGGAGAATCGCTTGAACCGGGGAGGCAGAGCTTGCAGTGAGCCAAGAGGTTGCACTGCAGCCTGGGTGACAGAAAGAGACTCCATCTCAAAAAAACAAAAAACAAAAAAAACAAGCGAGAATTGGAGTGGCTTTCAAGGCAGAAGAAAGAAGGCACAAAGGGAAGGGATGGGACATTTAAGGGAACTGAAAGTCATTCCGCATAGCTGTAGGAGAAATCATCTTAATGTTATGCAGAATAATCAGAAAAAGCATTACAATCTAAAACAATACAGTAGCATGCAAGAGTAAGAAAACTCGAGGCCGGGCGCGGTGGCTCAGGCCTGTAATCCCAGCACTTTGGGAGGCCAAAACGGGTGGATCACGAGGTCGGGAGTTCAAGACCAGCCTGGCCAACATGGTGAAACTCCGAATCTACTAAAAATACAAAAATTAGCCGGGTGTGGTGGCACGCGCCTGTAATCCCAGCTACTCGGGAGGCTGAGGCAGGAGAATTGCTTGAATACCCGGGAGGCGGAGGTTGCAGTGAGCCGAGATTGCACCACTGCACTCCAGCCTGTACGGAAGAACGAGACTCCATCTCAAAAAAAAAAGAACAAGAGAAGAAAAGAAAACTCGGTACAGACATGGCAGATACAAGATGAGCATTCTATCACTTCTGAAATGTGGCTAAGTATAAGGGTAGAAATGAGACCAAGCAAGGAGGGAAAATTTTAACTGACTTGAATAATTCTACTTTTGTTTTTTATAAAACAGAAAGTGGGCTGGGCATACTGGCTCATGTCTGTAATCCTAGCATTTTGGGAGGCCAAGGTGGGAGGATCACTTGAGCCTAGGAGTTTGAGACCAACCTGGGCAACATAGCAAGACCCTGTCTCTCCAAAATTATTTTTTTTTAATTAGATAGGCATGATGGCATGACCCTGAAGTTGTAGTTACTCAGGAGGCTGAGGTAGAAAGATCACTTTAGCCCAGGAATTTGAGGCTGTAGTGAGGTCTGATCCTGCCACTGCACCCCAGCCTGGGTGACAGAGTGTCTCTAAAAAAAAAAAAATTAAATTATTTAAGAAAAGCCTCTGTGTGTGTGTGTGTGTGTGTGTGTGTGTTATAGTGTGTGCCATAAGTGAGGTCTGGAAAGTTGCATCCCAAAATGTTAGCAGTGACTATATCTGGCTAGTAGAATTGCTAATTATTTTTTGCTTATCTTCATTTTCTATCATAAATATTTACCATTTTTACAAAAGAACCAATAAAACTGACCTGGCCGCAGAAGGTTTTCTATGTAAATTACACTTTCAAATTCATACCACGCATGGGGTTGTATAATATTGCTAGCTCTTTCTAGCAATTAATAAGCAGGTCACATGGCCCCAGGTTATCTGAGTCCTAGTTCTGCTTCTCCCCCATCTCAGTTATGAACTTCCAGAACATTTGCAGTGAACATTAGGTAAGTACAGTGATACAATAGCTCCCTAGTTCCTGCTGGCAGGATTCATTCAATTGTGAGCTCAGAAAAGAGGTCAAGTTCCATCTCATCCTTCCTTCATTTATTCATTCAACTGTGTTTACTGAGGCAGGCCCCATCCTAGGTGCTGAGAGCAAAAGCGCGAGCAAACAGACCCGGCTTGACCTCATGTCACTTACTGAAGCAGAGCTCTGCAAGGCCCATGTTTCACACCTACAGAGAAGACTAAATATTATTACATACTCTTGCAAGCACTGTGGCCCCATTTTGTTTCCTTTGAGTTTCCACAGTTAAAAATGTCTGGGTCAACCCAAAATATTCTTTTTTGGATACGTGAATTTTTTTCTTTTTATTTAACATAAATACTACATACACAAGGCAAGCGACACACATTCTGCTGGACTTTTCATCTTTCACTTAAAAATCTACCTTGGCCAAGTGCAGTGGCTCATGCCTGTAATCCTGGCACTTTTGGGAGGCCAAGGCGGGAGGATCATTTGGGTCCAGGAGTTCAAGACCAGCCTAGGCAACATAGCAAGACCCTGTCTCTAAAAAATGTGTATTAAAATATTAGCTGAGTGTGGTGTTATGTGCCTATAGTTCCAGCTACTAGGGAGGCTGAGGCAGGAGGATTGTTTGAGCCCAGAAGTTCGAGGCTGCAGTGAGCTGTGACTGTACCACTGCACTCCAGCCTAGGTGACCCAGAGTAAGACCCTGTCTCTAAACAAAACAAAACAAAACAAAATTCTTAAAAATCATATTATGTCAGTAAACACTCTCTTTTGCATATCAGCAAGTATAAATACTTTTCTAAAAGTGAAATGTACATTTGTGATTGTGATAGACATTGCTAAATTGCTCTCCATGAACACTGTTCCAATTTACACTTCTGCCATGCCTGCTGTCCAATCCCACCCCTAACCCAGCATGGTATCAAACTCTTGATCTTTCCCCAACCCATAGGTAAAAAATGATATCTCGGCCAGGTGTGGTGGCTCACACCTGTAATCCCAGCACTTTGGGAAGCCACGGCGGGTGGATCACCTGAGGTCAGGAGTTCAAGACCAGCCTGGCCAACGTAGTGAAACTAAAAATACAAACTAAAATACAAACAAGTACCCGCGGTGATAGGAGGCACCTGTAATCCCAGCTACTCAGGAGGCTGAAGCAGGAGAATCACTTGAACCCGAGAGATGGAGGTTGCAGTGAGCCGAGATCTTGCTACTGCACTCCCGCCTGGGCAACAGAACAAGACTCTGTCTCAAAAAAAAATAAAGGATATCTCATTTTAGTTTTCATTTTCATTTCTATTGTAAGTGCAGAACATTCTTGAATGGGATTAAAGAGCCGTTTTGCTAAAAGCCTGTTTACTGCTACCAAACACAATCTCTTTAAAAGACAAGGACTGCAGACTCTCCAGAAAAAAAAAAAAAAAAAACACCATGCAACAGCAGGCAGTATCAATCTGTTCTGAACCACCACTGTGAAGCAATTGACTGTGCTTTCCACCTATAACCTGAGGATTCAAAAGCTGCTTTCTGGACCACAGCGGAGAAATCTCAGAGGAGAACAAAACCAACATTTGAGTGCTTGCTATACACCAGGCACCAAGCTCTCCAGGGATTCTCGTTCAATCCTCCTAACATGTTTAATCCAGGAGGCTCTGAGAGGTTAAGTGCCTGCTCAAGCTCACATAAACAGGAAATGGCAGAGGAGGACTTGAACCCAGCCCTAGACCCAGGTGTTTGTGCACTACACCACACAAAAGCTACGTGCGTGGGATGATATCATAGCTCACTCTGGAAGGCTCACTGGATGCCTCCTGCGATGCTGAGATGGTTAATGTCCATTCAGCTGCATCCTGAGATTCATCGGCTAAGTGGCCATCTCTGGAATTTAGTCATGACCTTCTAAGTAGAAGTATACTACAGGATTGCCCATCTATGGAGCCCAAATGAATATAGGCCTCAAGATTTCTTATGATGTCAGCTTCCCTTAAGACACACCCATCACATAAGATTCAACATTGCATTAACTTGTACAATTATTGAAGACACGCTTGTCACAAGCACCTAGAACTGTTCAGAGATTTAAATATTGTTGTCAGGCGTGGTGGCTCATGCCTGTAATCCTAACACTTTGGGAGGCTGAGGCAGAAGAGGGGCTTGAGTCCAGGAGTTCCAGACCAGCCTGAGCAACACAGCAAAACCTTGTCTCTACAAAAAATAAAATTAGCTGGGCTTTGAGGTACATGCCTGGAGTCCCAGCTAGTTAGGAGGCTGAGGCAGGAGGATTGCTTGAGCCCAGGAATTGGAGGCTGCACTGGGCTATGATGGCACCATTGCACTCCAGCCTGGGCAACGAAGAGAGACTTGTCTCTAAATAAATAAATGAATACAGTTAGTAAGACCCAAAAAAAGGGCTAGGAATTGGTGCACCCAGTGTCTGGGTAATAGAGATTTGTTCAGGCAAACCAATCTACTCCCATGGTATGAGGAAGTAAAGGGTCAGTAAGAGGAAATGTTGTCTTTGTTTTTTGAGACTGCGTCTTACTCTGTCACCCAGGCTGGAGTGCAGTGGCGCGATCTTGGCTCACTGCGACCTCTGCCTCCTGGGTTCAAGCAATTCTTCTGTCTCAGCCTCCCTAGTAGCTGGCATTACAGATGCCCACCACCAAAACCAGCTAATTTTTGTATTTTTAGTAGAGATTGGGTTTCACCATGTTGACCAGGCTGGTCTCAAGCTCTTGACCTCAAGTGATCCGCTGGCCTTGGCCTCCCAAAATACTGGGATTACAGGCATGAGCCACTGTGCTCGGCCGGAAACATTGTCTTGAGGGAACATATCTTTCAAAAATGTTATTAAAGTAAGCCCTAGCTGGCAAAGTGGCTCATACCTGTAATCTTAGCACTTTGGGAGGCCAAGGTGGGAGGACTGCTTGAGCCCAGAGGTTTGAGGCCAGCCTGGGCAATATAGTGAGCCCCCATGTCTACAAAAAAGTTTTTTTTTTAATTAGCCAGGTGTGGTGATGTGCGCCTGTAGTCCCAGCTACTTGGGAGGCCAGGGTGGGAGGATGGCTTGAGCTCAGGAGTTTGAGGCTGTGGTGAGCTATGATTGCACCACTGCATTCCAGCCTTAGTGGCAGAGGAAGTCCCTGTCTCTTACATGAAGAAAAAAGAAGGGAAGAAGAAAGAAGAAAGAAGAAGGAGGAGGAGGAGAAGAAGAAGAAGGAGAAGAGGTAGAAGAAGGAGAAGAAGGAGGAAGAGGAGGAGGAAGAGGAAGTGAGGAGGGAGGGGGGAGGAAAAGGAGAAGAACAAGAGGAGGAGGAAGAGGAGGAAGAAAGAAGAAGAGGAAGAAGAAGGAGGAGGAGTAGGAGGAGGAGAAGATTGTAGAGGAAGTAAATGCCAAAGGTCAGGTGAGTACAGACTCAAAGTCAGGTCAACATTTCTGCTTGAGCCCAGGAAGTCGAGGCTGCAGTGCACCATTGCACTCCAGCCTGAGCAACAGAGCAAGACCTTATCTCTCAAACTAACATAAAGTGAACTTCCAAGCAACCCTCCTCCTCACATGTGGTGCTACCTACAGCAGAGCTACTCAGGGTGTGGTGTGAGAACCCTTTGCTACTGAGCCACAAGATAATCACAGAAATCAGGAATAAGCATTTAGAAACTTTTATAGCAGTTTGGCAGAGTAATTTTATGCCTGTTGAATCTGATAATGAAAAAATGGGGGCTTGTAAAAATTTTTTATTAAAGCCATTAAAATGAAGAAGTGTTTTAACACGTGACAAGTGCTCACACCACAGGGGTTGTAATGACTCAGGATAAGGAAGCTCAGGCATCTATTGCATGATGAAGAATTTCCGGGGCCTCTATGTGCCAAGCCATGCACGGCACAAAGCACCTTCGCAGTGGATTGGCACTGCCATCTGCCACATTTTCTCTGAAAAACGTCTTTGGCAAATGTGGAACTACCATCTCACAACTGTTGCTATGGGAGGTTGTACTAAAAATGTGCAAAATGGGTTTTTTGGATAGAAACTTCGTTCATCATCTCAAGAAGGGGCAGAGTCTCTGAGAAAATAATTGAAGATTTATGTCACATACTCCAGAAATCTGTATCCAAAACATCGGAGCGGCCAAATTCCAGAGAGCTGTCAAGAATTCCTAAGGATATGCTAAGTGAAATAAACCAGACACAAAAGGCCAGGATTGTATAATTCTGCATGCAGAGCCCAGGATAGCGGGGAACATAGGGAGCAAATGTTTACTGCATACAGAGTTTCTGTTTGGGACGATGAAAAAGAACTGGAAATGGATAATGGTAACAGTTGCACAACATTGCACATGTATTAAATGCACTTAAAATGCTTAAAATAGCAAATCTGTATGTATACTTTACCACAATGAATAACTAAATAAGAATTCGCGAGGTATTTTCTGAGAACTCATTGCTTATTAAAAAGAGGGCCGAGTGCAGTGGCTTACACCTGTAATCGCAGCACTTTGGGAGGCTGAGGCAGGAGGCTTACTTGAGCCCAGGAGTTCGAGCCCACTCTGGGCAACAAAGCAAGACTCCCGTTTCTACAAAAAAAATTAAAAATTAGCTAGGCATGATGGCACACATCTGCAGTCCCAACTACACCAGAGGCTGAGGTGAGAGAATCGCTTGAGCTTGGGAAGTCGAGACTGCAGTGAGCCATGTTCACACCACTGCACTCCAGTCTGGATGACAGAGCAAGACCCTGTCTCCAAAAAAAAAAAAAAAAAAAAAAAAAGAGAGACCAGGTGCAGGGCTCACACCTGTAATCCCAACACTTTGGGAAGACAAGGCAGGCGCGCAACCTTGAGGCCAGGAGTTCAAGACTAGCCTGGGCAATATAGCAAGACCTCATCTCTACAAAAAAATTAATTAGGGAATTAGGGATGCTGGCATGTATCTGTACTCCCAGATACTCAGGAGGCTGAGGCAGGATTGCTTGAGCCCAGGAGTTAGAGGCTGCAGTGAGCTATGATCGTGCCACTGCACTCTCAGCCTGGGTAAGAGCAAGATCCTGTCTTTAAAAAATAAAAAAAAAACCCAAATTTTCTTAATCCAGTCTATCGTTGTTGGACATTTGGGTTGGTGCCAAGTCTTTGCTATTGTGAATAGTGCCGCAATAAACATATGTGTGCATGTGTCTTTATAGCGGCATGATTTATAATCCTTTGGGTATATACCCAGTAATGGGATGGCTGGGTCAAATGGTATTTCTAGCTCTAGATCCCTGAAGAATTGCCACACTGACTTCCACAATGGTTGAACCAGTTTACAGTCCCACCAGCAGTGTAAAAGTGTTCCTATTTCTCCACATCCTCTCCAGCACCTGCTGTTTCCTGACTTTTTAATGATTGCCATTCTAACTGGTGTGAGATGGTATCTCATTTGGTTTTGATTTGCATTTCTCTGATGGCCAGTGATGACGAGCATTTTTTCATGTGTTTTTTGGCTGCATAAATGTCTTCTTTTGAGAAGTGTCTGTTCATATCCTTCGCCTACTTTTCGATGGGGTTGTTTGTTTTTTTCTTGTAAATTTGTTTGAGTTCATTGTAGATTCTGGATATTAGCCCTTTGTCAGATAAGTAGGTTGCAAAAATTTTCTCCCATTCTGTAGGTTTCCTGTTCACTCTGATGGTAGTTTCTTTTGCTGTGCAGAAGCTCTTTAGTTTAATTAGATCCCATTTGTCAATTTTGGCTTTTGTTGCCATTGCTTCTGGTGTTTTAGACATGAAGTCCTTGCCCATGCCTATGTCCTGAATGGTACTGCCTAGGTTTTCTTCTAGGGTTTTTATGGTTTTAGGTCTAACATGTAAGTCTTTAATCCATCTTGAATTAATTTTTGTATAAGGTGTAAGGAAGGGATCCAGTTTCAGCTTTCTACCTATGGCTAGCCAGTTTTCCCAGCACCATTTATTAAATAAGGAGTCCTTTCCCCATTGCTTGTTTTTGTCAGGTTTGTCAAAGATCAGATAGTTGTAGATATGTGGCATTATTTCTGAGGGCTCTGTTCTTTTCCATTGGTCTATATCTCTGTTTTGGGCACATATACACCATGGAATACTATGCAGCCATAAAAAATGATGAGTTCATGCCCTTTGTAGGGACATGGATGAAGCTGGAAACCATCATTCTCAGCAAACTATCGCAAGGACAAAAAACCAAACACTGCATGTTCTCACTCATAGGTGGGAATTGAACAATGAGATCACATGAACACAGGAAGAGGAACATCACACACCAGGGACTGTTGTGGGGTGGGGGGAGCGGGGAGGGATAGCATTAGGAGATATACCTAATGCTAAATGACAAGTTAATGGGTGCAGCACACCAACATGACACATGTATACATATGTAACAAACCTGCACGTTGTGCACATGTACCCTAAAACTTAAAGTATAATAATAATAAAAATTAAAAAAAAAAACCCACACGGGTCATCCTGTCTGGATCTAGTTACTGTACTTGTAAACCAGAAATATACCTTTTGCTCATGGGGAAAAACCATGGGGTAAAGAAAGCAGATTGTTTCAAACTTAAAAAACAAAAAAAGCAGTCAGGAATTCTACCAGCATTAAAACTCCAGTGATTCTTAGTGTCATCTAACATTCCCATTGATCATCGAAATCTTACTGAAATTTTCCTCGCTCCCAAGCAAAATCCGTCTCCTCACTGATTGCCTGAGCTGATTCAGCAGATCAGATTGGCTGGGTGAGACCCTATCTTCGTGTGCAAGCTCCAAACACCCTGCATATAGTGGAGGAGGGTGTCATTCAATTCTATTTTCCACTTAAGATATATAAGCAAAAGTTTCCTTTCATGGAGTCTGCAAACAAGCTCTCCACAAACTCTTCTCCATAAATCTCAGCAGTTTTATATTCTTCTGAGACTCCTACATCTTTCTGCATCTCTTTAGCTCATTGTTAGAATAGATGTTCTCCAAATATCCATTTACTAGCTTCTTTTGTCTCTCTGTATTCTTTCCTGGAAAGCCCATGCTCCCCCTTAGCTGCAGTAAGCCACATCTTTCTCACTATGATTCTGATTTTTTTTCTTTCCAGCCTGAAACCCACATTTCTGACTGCTCACAAGCGCTTCAAGCTCTGCATGATCGAACATATATTTCTTCCTCAATCGGATCTTGTGCTGGGCACTTCTGTAGAAGTGCCTTTTGTAAAAGGCACCAAGATGTATCTTCTCAGTAGCCCAAGCTTAGGAGCTCCTGCACTCCTGTGATATCCCTCCAAGTCCTTCCCCTGCCCTCTGGTTTTCCTTCCCTCCATCCATCTGGCACGTATCTGATTAGATCACTCCCTGGCCCATGTGAAGTGTCGAGAACCAGGGTAATAATTGTTCAGCCTTTGCAAACATTAGAATATCGTAGTTCCAAGAACCTCAAATCATCACAAATCAGAGGTTAGGGAAAGCTCCAGTATGGGAAGCTGGAACTTGCCTGGAATTCAATAAGGGGCATCTGGAAGCTGGAAATATCTCACCTTTTTTTTTTTTTTTTTCTAGAGACAAGGTCTTACTCTGTCACCCAAGCTGGAGTGCAGTGGCACGATCACAGCTCACTACAGGCTCAAATTCCTGGGCTCAAGCAATCCTCCTACCTCAGCCTCCCGAGTAGCTGGGACTAGAGATGTGTGCCACCACACTCAGCCAATTTTTATTTTTTTGTAGAGATGGGGTCTCACTATGTTGTTCAAACTGGTCCCTAACTACTGGACTCAAGCCATCCTCCTGCCTCAGCCTCCCAAAATGCTGGGGTTACAGCTGTGAGCCACCTCACCCAGCCTCTGAAATGCCAAACCTAAAGACACCATTCCAGTGCTTAGGGAGCAGTGGCGATTACAATACATCCTCCCAGCATTGTAAGATGGAGGTCAGCACCAGCATCAGAAAAAGTGGAAGGAGTTGGAGCCTTGGTAGATAGGATGGGGGCAGCTATTCAGGCTCTCCTCATGTACTGAGCATCATTTATGTGCCAAGCATTATGCTAGGGAGCTAGAGACAGAAAACCAAGTCCCAGCCCTTCAAGGAATTCCCATTCCAAGGAAGAAACATAAAGTTGCAATACAGGGGCCATGAGCAGTGGCTTACACCTGCAATCCCAGCTACTCAGGAGGCAGAAGTGGATGTATCACTTGAGTTCAGAAGTTCAAGACCCCCAGCACTTTGGGAGGCTGAGGCAGGTGGATCACTTGAGGTCAGGAGTTCAAGACCAGCCTGGCCAACATGGTGAAACCCTGTAACTACTAAAAATACAAAAATTAGCTGGGCGTGGTGGTGTGTGCCTGTAATCCCAGCTACTTGAGAGGCTGAGGCACGAGAATCACTTGAACTTGGGAGGCAGAAGTTGCAGTGAGCCGAGATCCCGCCACTGCACTCCAGCCTGGGCAACAGTGGCTCTGTCTTAAAAAAATAATTTTTTTTAAAAAAGAAGTTCAAGGCCATCCTGGGCAACATAGAGAGACCCCATCTCTACAAAAAATAAATAAAATTAGCCATGCTTGGTTGCATGCACCTGTAGTCCCAGCTACTCAGGAAACTGAGGCAGGAGTATCACTTGAGCCCAGGAGATTGAGGCTGCAGTGAGCTGTGAAAGCACCACCACACTCCAGCCTGGGTGACATAGTGAGACACCCCTGTCTCTCAAAAAGAAAAGTACAATATAGGATGATCTTGCTTCACTAGAAATAAACACAGGACACCAAAGAGCAGACAGCAGAGGCCCCAACACTGGGAACTTGGGAGGGGTGGTAGAGACTGTGGATGACTTCACAGAGGCTGCCACCTCCAAGGTTTGAGCTGGGATTGAAAGGATAAGGGAAGAGCCTTCCAGGAAGAGGAACCACACGGGCCAAGTGGTGACGGGAGCATGGGATCTTAGCAAGTATCTGGTGTGACAGCGTGGTCATGAAGGGGAGTAGCAGGAAATGAAGCTAGAGAGGTACTGGGAGCCAGGACCACACAAAACTTTGTATAGCAAGCTAACCCAGACCCTTAACCTTCACCTGTGATCTCTCGAGCAAGGATTATAAATCATCAACAATTAACCTTTAGGATGGATGTCAATGTAGACACCATCAAGTCCAGTTCTCTCATTCCAAAGGCTGGGAAGGGAGTTACAGTGAGAGGAAGGCGTTCTCCCTGTACCTTCCAATAATCCTTGCATATTCCACTACATTATGGAATTAAAAACCCCCACACACAGAGTCTCCATGAAGAGCTAACCGTAGGCCAGGCATGGTGGCTCATGCCTGTAATCCCAGCACTTTGCAAGGCCATGGTGGAAAGATTGCTTAAAACCAAGAGTTTAAGACCAGCCTAGGCAACATAGTGAGTTCCCGTTCTAGAAAATTTAAAAAAACTAATCAATTGAGAATGATGGTGCATGCCTGTAGTCTCAGCTACTAGGGAGACTGAGGTGGGAGGATCGTTTGAGCCTAGGAGTTCAAGGCTGCAGTGGGCTACGATTGTGTCACTGCACCCCAACCTGGACACCAGAGAGATACCCTGTCTTAAAAAAAAAAAAAAAAAAGAGTTAACCATGCAAAATAGACTCGATGACAGGAGACGGGTGGGGAGGCTCCAAGGCATCTGCTCCAGGTACTGCTCTCGAAAGCAAGCCTTATGGAAGAAATTATCAATTGCAGAAAGAATAGATTGCCCAAAGGCTTAACGAGGAAAAATAAACACCTTTCAAAGACAAGCCTAGCACTATCTGTGAGCCATCCCCAGGCACAGGCACCCAATGCCAGAATGTGTTAACAGCACTTAATACTTTCATAGCCCTAGCCAGCCCGAAGATAAACAAGTAGCCTTAGTCATAATCAGAACAAATGGTCAAATACAGGCATATAACCTCTAAATTCAAAATTTTAAATGGTGGGCCAGGCTCCGTGGCTCACGCCCGTAATCCCAGCACTTTGGGAGGCCAAGGCAGGCGGATCGCTTGAGGTCAGGAGTTTAAGACCAGCCTGGCCAACATGGCAAAATCCCGTCTCCAATAAAAATGCAAAAATTAGCCAGGCATCGTGGCACGCGCCTGTAATCCCAACTACTCCGGAGGCTGAGGCACGAAAATCATTTGAATCCAGGAGGCGGAGGTTGCAGTGAGCCGAGATCACACCACTGCACTCCAGCCTGGGTGACAGAGCGAGACTCCACATAAAAAAAAAAAAAAAAAAAAAAAAAAAATATATATATATATATATATATATATATATATATATATATATATAATGGTCACTTTACTCTTTTTATTGTTTGTATATTTATTTCTGCAGCAGTAAAAGGGATTCTTAGCACAGTATGAGGGCTAGAGGATACAAGAAGGTTGTACTAACTAGCTAGAGATGGTGGGGGTGTGATTAAGCACTAACTTCACTTGTTTGGGTTTTTTTGTTTGTTTTTCGTTGCTTTTTGTTTGTTTGTTTTTAAGAGACAGGGTCTCACTCTGTTGCCCAGGCTGCAATGCACTGGTGCAATCATAGCTCACTGCAGCCTCCAATTTCTGGATTCAGGTAATCCTCTTGCCTCAGCCTCCCAGGTAGCTGGGATTACAGGTGAATGCCAACATGCCTGGTTAATTTTTTTTTAATTTTTTTAGTGATGACAACTCCCTGTGTTGCCCAAGCTGGACTCCTGGGCTTAAGTGATCCTCCCACCTCAGCCTCCCAAAGTGCTGGGATTACAGGCATGAGCCACCACTCCTGACTTAACCACTAACTTTGGATCTAGATGTAGAGAGATTCAAATCACAGCTCTTTCACTTAGAAAGTGTGACTTTGAGCTGATTTCTTACCTTTTTTTTTTTTTTTTTTTTTTTTGAGACAGTCTTGCTCTGTCACCCAGGCTGGAGTGCAGTGGCACAATCCTGGCTCACTGCAACTTCTGTCTCCCGGGTTCTAGCAATTCTCCTTCCTCAGCCTCCCAAGTAGCTGGGACTACAGGCATATGCCACCATGCCCAGCTAATTTTTATATTTTTAGTAAAAACGGGGTTTCACCATGTTGGCCAGACTGGTCTCGAACTCCTGACCTCAAGTGATCTGCCCTCCTCAGCCTCCCAAAGTGCTGGGATTACAGGCGTGAGCTACCATGCCTGGCCTGATTTCTTACCTCTATAAGTTTCCCTGAATTGCCCAGCACACTACCAGGCACTCAGGGTGTTTGTAGGCTCCCTAACCATGAGTCATACCTCTGTGGGAAAGTGATTGCAAAAATAGCCACAATGACTCACATTTCTGAATCTAGGTGCCTTTCCACACCTGCTCTGGGCTTGCCAGGTGACTTGTTTTGACAAATAGCACATGGCAAATGTGACACAAGCAGACCCCCACAGAGGGCTTCTGTATTGAAGTTTTTCCCTCTTTGGTTATTCTTGTGAATCCTCCACCATAGGAATGAGCCTGGGCTAGCCTGTTGGATGATGAGAGACACATGGCCAAGTCATCTTACTGCCCCCTAGCTGACATGGAGCCAACCCCAGACATGTGAGAGTGGTCATCCTAGGTCATTCGACCTCAGCTGAGCCAGCTGGGCCACTCTAAGAACCACCCAGCCAAACCACAGAATCATAATGGTATGGTTTGGCTCTGTGTCCCCACCTAAATCTCATCTTGAATTGTAATATCCACATATTGAGGGAGGGACCTGGTGGGAGGTGATTGGATCATGGGGGCAGATGTCCCCCCTTGCTGTTCTCTTGATAGCGAGTGAGTTTTCACAAGATCTGATGGTTAAAAGTGGCAGCTTCCCCTACACTCTCTCTCTCTCTTCTGTCATTATGTAAGACATGCCTTGCTTCCCCTTCACTTTCCACCATGGTTGTAGGTTTCCTGAGACTCCCCAGCCATGCAGAATTGTGAGTCAATTAAACCTCTTTTCTTCATAAATTACCAAGTCTCCGTATCTTTATAGCAGTGTGAAAATGGACTAATACACATGAGAAATCACAAATGTTTGTTGTCTTAAGGCCCTACATTTGCAGTGGTTATGCAGGAAAAGCTAACAAAATTACTGCTTAGATGTTAGGAATTCCTGTTTTATGGCCTCAGGTCTCTCCTTATTCAACATGAGAGATCAATAGAGTAACATCCAAATGAGGACTCTGAAAGCTGTACGCCTCAGAGAGGTCTCTCTTAACTACTGGAAAATTTCATAATCTATCTTTTAGATACCTCGAGTCAGGGCCAACATGAAACTCATTATATTCCCCACAAAACCAAACAAAAATTTTTCTTCTTGGTGCTCTGTTCCCAATATGTGAAACAGGAGCATTCTTGTCAACTCTTTCCTCTTATTTACCCTCTTAACCAATCAGCCACCAGGTCCTGTCAATTTCACCTCTTAAACATTGATATGGTTTGGATTTGTGTACCCACCCAAATTTCATGTTGAATTGTCATCTCCAATGTTGGAGGAGGGGACTGATAGGAGGTGATTGGATCATGGGGTGGATTTCCACCTTGCTCTTCTCATGATAGTGAATGAGTTCTCCGAAGATCTGATTGTTGGTATTTTTGTTGGATGAGGAGGGGTGTTTTGTTTTTTTTGTTTGTTTGTTTGTTTTGAGACAGAGACTCGCTCTGTCACCAAGGCTGGAGTGCAGTGGTGCAATCTCGACTCACTGCAACCTCCACCTCCTAGGTTCAAATGATTCTCCTGCCTCATCCTCCTAAGTAGCTGGGATTACAGACGTGCACCACCACACCTGACTAATTTTTGTATGTTTAATAGAGACAAGATTTCGCCATGTTGGCTAGACTGGTCTCGAACTCCTGACCTAAAGTGACCCACCCATCTCAGCCTCCCAAAGTGCTGGGATTACAGGTGTAAGCCACTGCGCATAGCAAGATCTGGTTGTTTGTAAGTGTGTAGTACCTCCCCTTTCACCCTGTTCCTCCTGCTCCAGCCATGTAAGATGTGCCTACTTCCCCTTTGCCTTCCTCCGTGATTGAAGGTTTCCTGAGGCCTCCCCAGCCATGCTTCCTGCACAGCCTGTGGAACCATGAGCCAATTCAACCTCATTTCGTTATAAATTACCCAGTCTTAGGTAGTTCTTTATAGCAATGTGAGAACTGACTAATATTGTAGTATTTCCTTCACTTCTCTGTGCTTCAGTTTCCTTAATTATAAAATGGGAATACTCAAACGTGAATGCCCCTTCCCCCTTATCCTCATTATTTCTACCCCATGGAAGTATCTTATTCTGTCCAATCAACACTATTGCAACAGCCCCTCAGCAATCTCCTGCCTTCAGAATGTTCCCCCTACAATGCAGCTTTCCCCTGAGCCAGCTACTTCCCTGTGAAAACGCTTCAGCACATCCTGTTGTCTATGGGATAATGACCAAATGCCTTAATAGATCACATAAATAGATCTTAATAGATCACCCCTTCCTGATACAGTTTGGATGTATGTCCCTCCCCCCGCCACAAACCTCATATTGAAATGTAATCCCCAATGTTGAAAGTGGGGCCTGGTAGGAGGTGACTGGGTTATGGGGGCGATTTCTCATGAATGGTCTAGCACCATCTGCCTTGGTTCTGTCCTCATGATAGTGAGGGCGTTCTCCTGAGATCTGGTCATTTAAAAGTGTGTAATGCCTCCCACTTCAGGCTCTTGCTCCTGCTCTGGCCATGAGATGAGCCTACTCCCCCATTGGCTTCCGCCATGATTGTAAGTTTCCTGAGGCCTCCCCAGAAGCTGAGCAGATGCCAGCATCATGCTTCCTGTACACCTGCAGAAACATGAGGCAATAAAATTTCTTTTCTTTATAAATCACCCAGTCTCAAGTATTTCTTTATAGCAATGTGAGAATAGACCCATACGATTCCCAAGCCAGCCTCCTCTCCACTGCCATTTCCATTTCTATCATGTTCCATATCTCACTGAGAGTTCCCCCATCATGCCAGGCTGCTTCATGCCCCAGGGCCTTTGCACATGTGATTTCACAGACACAGAATGTCTGTCTCCTTTGTTCCCTTTTTGAGTTTCTATTCACCATAAAGCTCAACTCAGAAGTCACATTCTGGCCGGGCACGGTGGTGCATGCCCACAATCCCAGCACTTCGGTAGGCTGAGGCAGGATAATTGCTTGAGTCTAGGAGTTCAAGGCTGCAGCGAGCTATGATCATGCCACTGCACTCCAGCCTGGGTGACAGAGCAAGACCCTGTCTCTTTAAAAAAAATCCATAAAGGGCAAAAATTGATGAAACTTTATGCACCCTGTGTGAAAGAAAAAGAAGTTCCATCCTTATATAAAGCACCCTCCCAACTCTACCCCAGAAGTTAATCCCTTCCCCCACAAAATCACTGTGCTTTGCACATTCCTTGAATTTTGCAGTTATCACACTATATTACAGTGGCCTGTTAATACTTCTGTCTCCCCCACCTTCCCAAAACCTTCCTACAAGCTTCCTTATTGCAGAATCTGCAACAGTAATGAGTATATAATAAGCATTCAAAACAAAAATTTGTCTAAAGTGAATGAAATCTTAGCATCTTCCCTTTTTCCTTACAATAAGGAAGCTTTGTGGATCTGTCATTAGTGACTTCTTAATGCAAATAAGCTCATTTTACAGAGTTTTGAACAAAATTGTGAATGCAGAATGTATAAAGTCTTTAGAGTTGAGATTTCTGTTTGAGATGCATCCTTTTCGATATTCGTACCCCCTGGTGAATTGTGTTAGTCTAGTTCTATAAAGCAATGTACATCTTCGACCCTCAGGAAGGAGTTCTAAGAATAAGGAATTTGATAACTCCCACAGAAAATTTTACATTCTGATAAATGTTCTGATAAAATAAAGGAATAGGAGATATGAAGACAAGCAGCAGATTCCAAGTTCGGAAGAGATTGTAACACTGTGGATGCACCACATAAAATCTCCTAAATCCCTTTCTGAGTGGGTTGATGTATTGGCAAGAGCACAAGTATCAGAGATGAGAGGACTGAAGTCAAGTCTTTGCTACTATGTAGCTCTGTGACCACTAGAAACTCTCATAACTTCAGCACTATCCACAACAGCAAAGACATGGAATCAACCCAAATGCCCATCAATGATAGACTAGATAAAGAAAATGTGGTACATATACACCATGTACTATGGAATATGGAATATGTACTATGTATTATGGAATACAGAATACTATGCAGCCATAAAAAGGTGTAAGAGCATGTCCTTTTCAGGGACATGGATGGAGCTGGAAGCCATTATCCTCAGCAAATGAATGCAGGAATGAAAAATCCAATACCACATGTTCTCCCTTATAAGTGGGAGCTAAATGATGAGAACACATGGACACATGAGGGGGAACAACACACACTGTGGCCTGTTGAGAGGGGGCAGGGGGAGGGAGAGCATCAAGAAGAATAGCTAATGGATGCGGGGCTTAATATCTAGGTGATGTGCTGGTCTGTGCAGCCAACCATCATGGCACCCGTTTACCTATGTAACAAACCTGCACATCCTGCACATGTACCCTGGAACTTAAAATAAAAGTTGAAGAAAATAATAATAATAATAAAGTATACAGGATTCCTGAAAAAAAAAAAAAGAATGAAAGTCTCATAACTTCTCTTTCCTCCTCTTTAAAATGAAAGTGTTGGATCAAATTATTTCGAAGTCCTATTAAATTCCTATGGGTCTGACACTTTGACAATGATTCCTAAATCTGCCTAGGCATCAGCATCAGGTGGGAAGCTTTATAAATCCACAGCTTCCCAGTCTCCTTCTCGAAGGTTATGATTGCACTGATTTGAAGAGAAGTCTGGGAATCTCATAGTTTTAGAAAGCCCCAAAGGGTGATTCTAATGCAAAGCCCGGTTTGGAAGCTTAGCCACCATATAAAAACTTTGCTGACTTTTTTCAGCTCCATCTACCACCTACAGAAGAATGTTGTCCAGTGGGAATATATCTCTGATTTCATAATAATGGCTAAAAGGAAACATAGGATTCACTTTACATGAAGTCTCCTTAGGGGCACTTTACTGGAACGTATCTATTGCTCAAATATGGAAAGTACCTCTATGGACTTGTATTTCGATACCTGTATGATCACCATTTTAAGCATGTGATGTGGTATCATCGTCAGCAAAATGTTTTTCTTTTAAACCCATCTTAGTTTTTTCATGAAAATCAGTGCAAAAACAATTATTTCACTAGACATTTACAGCCACCACCCAGGAATGTGTCTACATTGTAAAGAAAGATATATATTTGTAGCATAAACAAATAGCAGGATTAAAACATATTATCTATACTTAGATGGTACACTGTATAGATGATAGATAACATATCGTCTATACAGCGCACCTTGAGGAAGTCTGTAGCAGACACCATACCTGCCTAACCAACTTCACCATCTTCTTTAGGGCCTACTCATTCCAGTCAATGCATCATGGTGGGTCTAAGTTAATTTTGAAAATTCTATTTCCCCATACAAGATACTAACTGTCGTTTTTAAGAGACAGGGTCTCATTCTGTCTTCCAGGCTGGTGTGCAGTGGTGCGATCATAGCTCACTACGGCCTTGACCTCCTGGGCTCAATCAATCCTCCCGCCTCAGCCTCCCAAGGAGGTGCAACCACAGGTGTGCACCACCACGCTGGGCTAATTTTTCTTTATTTTTTGTAAAGATGGGGTCTCACTATGTTGCCAAGGCTGGTCTCGAACTCCTGGTCTCAAGCGATTCTCCCACCTTAGCATCCCAAAGTGCTGGAACAAGATCCTAATTCTGCAGCCCCTCTTGCAGCTGGGGACAACCATGTGATCTGTCTACAGACAATGAGACTCAAGAACCAGTCTGTTAGTGCACTCCTGGGAAATAACTTTTCCCACCTTGATAAAAAGCAGATACTTTTTGTTACCCGCATCACTGCTTCCTTCCTTAAATGCAAAGGGCCAATAGTTGATGACCATGAGGCACTAAGCCAAAGGCCCACATCTCCATACCCAGAGATGGCAGAGTAGCAAATGAAGTCACAGCTCCACAGATTTTTTGTCATGTGAGACAATTAAGAATCTTTATCGGGCCAGGCATGGTGGCTCATGCCTGTAATCCCAGCACTTTGGGAAGCTGAGGCAGGAAGATCACTTGAGCCCATGAGTTTAAGACCAGCCTGGGCAACATAGCAAGATAACACTCTACAAAAAAAATATATAAATTAGCTTGGCATGAAAGCATGCACCTGTAATCCCAGCTATTGAGGAGGCTAAGGCAAGAGGATCACTTGAGCCCAGAAGTTGGAGGCTGCAGTGAGTTATGATCATGCCGCTGCGCTCCAACCTGGGTGACAGAGCAGGACCTTATCTCTTAAAATATAAATGAATATGTGAATATATATAGCCATGTTGCTACCATTAAAAATACATCTTAACTAAATCCATTTCTGGTCAGGGTTAAGTACCATCAGCAGGAAGCAACAGGCATATTTGGGGTCATTTCAAGAACTGCTTTTCAAGAACTGCTTGAAGGATGGGAAAAGGGTGGAAGGATGGGGCAAGATGGGGGCTGTATAGCATTTATGGATAATGCTTGAAAGTTACAGGAAGGAATAAAAATGGCTTTGAGTTTATCAACTGCCAAGATTCTCAAGTAGGAGAATCTTTACGATGAAAATGTGTAAGGATTTTTTTTCCAAAAATCTAAGTTAAAAAGTGTAGGAGTCACACATTCAAATATTTTTATTGCTCTTACTCGCTCACCATCTTTTGTTTTTGTTTTTGTTTTTTTGAGACGGAGTCTCACTCTGTTGCCCAGGCTGAAGTGCAGTGGTGCAATCTCAGCTCACTGCAACCTCTACCTCCCAGGTTCAAGTGATTTTCCTGCCTCAGCCTCCCAAGTAGCTGGGATTACAGGCAGGCGTCACCACATCCAGCTAATTCTTCGTATTTTTAGTAAAAACGGGATTTCACCATGTTGGCCAGGCTGGTCTTGAACTCCTGACCTTAGGTGATCCAACCGCCTTGGCCTCCCAAAGTGTTGGGATTACAGGCGTGAGCCCCCACACCTGTCCTCACTCCGCATCTTGAAGGCTCTGTTATCATGAGTTCTGCCCAATGATTCTACCTCAGGAGATGCTGCATTTCAAGACTTATGAACTTCTTCTGGCACCAAGGTGTGTTCTTGGCCCCTGGACCTCGGCCCTTCTGACTCCAGTGATGCTCTCTACAAGTCGAGTCCTCTGGGATCCTGGAAGCCATATTGGAATAAAACTCTCACGTCTGGAACCAGTTTCTGGAAAACATCAAGAAAGGCAACACACGCTCTATCTCCTGTCTCTCTCTCCCTCTCTCTCTCTCTCTAACACTTAAGGAAATTAAAAAGAACCCATCAGCACATTGGCACATCACACTCCACAAAGGAAAATATTTGAATTTTTTCCATCTATTTTCCTCTCTGGTTCTTTATGCATCTCGAGGAGAAAAAAGGTAGAGCTTACATTTTATGTCAACACAAAAGGCCTCCGTTTGTGTGCATTACTTATTAAAGTATTCAGTGATTCAATGTCAAGGTATGTATTATACATACTTTTTTTTTCTAGGCCATTATTAGCTTTCTTACAACACTATTATTCTTCAGCCCAGCTAATGCTTCTGTCAAAGATTTAGCAACAAGCATGGAAAATGTCAAACAGTAGGGAAGAAACCTAGCTGTTTCCACAACTACACAAAAAGCCATGTTGTCTTTTATGGAAAAGCCACATAATTCCGTGAAGAACGCCAGTGGATGTTTTATCAGGGGACAGAGTCATGGGACGGTGTATTTGTTTTCCTCTGCACACCTGAGTCCATCTCCTCTGAATAAGTTTCCTTTCTTCTCTTGCCAATACACTTAATAAAACAGGGCCTACGTCGTTATCATCTCACCCTCTCCCCAGGAGGTACCCAGCTTAGAATGCGACAGAAATCAGCCAAGAGAGTCAGTCTTGTTCTGTCTGCAGAGTAGTGTGATAAGATTTAAGGAGCACTAAAAGGTTCCTCTGGAGAAAAATATTTTCCCAACCTGCTTACCAGGGTGCCTGAAATTACAACCCTTCTGCTTTAAGGCATTGAAAGCCTCCATTAAAATGCAAATATGTTAGGTGAGTTGTTTTATCAAACTATCACATCTTAGCTTGAATTAGTTTATGGCTTAATCCAAAATCCTGAAGTGACAGGGACACAGGGCCGTTAAGTTTGGATGTGAGCAAAGATCATACAAAGATTTAGGGTTTAAAAATACATTGCCTAAGGTGCAGATCCAGGTAATAGAACAGAATAGAATAGTCTAACAGCACCAAGAATGAGGTCCAGAGTTCACATGCACAGACAGAGACGCTCCACCCTCCTGGCAGAGCAACAGGCGAGTCCATGTCATTGAGAAGTTGTCATTCTTACCTTTCAAAGATAAATTTTAAGGCCAGGCGCTGTGGCTCACACCTGTAATTCTAACAATTTGGGAAGCCAATCTGGGAGGATCATTTGGGGCCAGGAGTTTGAGACCAGCCTGGGCAACATAGCAAAACCTCATCTCTACAAAAAAAATTTTTTTCATTAGCAGAGCGTGGTGGCGTGCGTTTGTGGTCCCAGCTATTGGGAAGGCTGAGGTGGGGTAGGAGAATTGCTTGAGCCCAGGAGGTTGAGACTGCAGTGAGCTATGATGGCGCCACTGTACTCCAGCCTGGGTGACAGAGTGAGATCCTGTACCTTAAAAAAAAATAAAATAAAAAAAAAAAGATAAATTATAAGAAGCATCAGTGCACAAATGCCTTCTGTTCTTCCCACTTGAATCCACATCCTCAGTTGGGTTTATTTACCATTTCTTCCCTGCGTAAGCCTTCCATGGACTCTTCCCCACTCTCTCTCCAGCAGTTTCGGAGGCAGTATAGATCCTGTGGTCGACACGACCATCTTCTCTATATTTCCATTTCTCCTCTCCTTCCACTCCCTTGAAGTTAGTCATGGCCATTTCACTGGCTTTGGTCAATGAATTGTAAGCAAAAAAAATGACATGTGTCACTTCCAGGGAGAGGTATTTCAGAGCTGGTTTATGATTCCTCATGCTCTCTTCCTCTGCCATGGTGAACTCAGAAGCATGATGAACTTGAGATAAAAATGCTACAAGGGGCCGGGCGCGGTGGCTCATGCCTGTAATCCCAGCACTTTGAGAGGTCGAAGCAGATGGATCACCTGAGGCTGGGAGATCGAGACCAGCCTGGCCAACATGGTGAAACCCCATCTCTACTAAAAATACAAAAATTAGCCAGGCATGGTTGCGGGCACCTGTAATCCCAGCCACTCAGGAGGCTGAGGCAGGAGAATTGCTTGAACTCAGGAGGCGGAGGTTGCAGTGAGCTGAGATTGTGCCATTGCACTCCAGCCTGGGCAACAAGAGTGAAACTCTGTCTCAAAAACAAACAAACAAAAAATATTACAAGGTCAAAACAACCAACAAGAAAGGACCCAGAGAACATCTACTTGGAAAGCTGCTTAGATCTGCAGATGACTGAAACTGAACAGGAATGAACGTCTGCTGTGTCAGGCTATTGATGTCTTGGTGTTACTACTTTCGCATAACATCGCCTACCCTGGCTGATCCATTTCCCATAAATAGCACCTCAAGAAATCTCACCAGGCCCGCTCTACTACCATACACTCATCATTCAGCAAATATTCACCAAGCTCCTACTATGTGCCCGATAGTAGCATAGATCCCAGAATTTCGTGCTAACAGTAAAGATAAAGTCCTTGGAATCATGAAGGTTACAACCTAGTCAAGGAAGAAAGATTATAAATAAGTTTTTGTTTTGTTTTATTTTAAGACAGAGTCTCACTCTGTCGCCCAGGCTAGAATTCAGTGGCACAGTCCAGTGGCTCAGTGTAAGGACTGAGAGTAAACTGTGGGCTCAAATCCAAGCTCCTCCACCTTCCAGCTGTATCCCAGCACACAATACTTAACCTTTTTTGTGCCCCAATGTGTTCATCTGTAAAATTAGGACATTAATAAGACCAACCTTATAAGGCTATTGTGAAAATCAAATGAATTGGTAAAAGGGACGCTGAAGAGTACCTAGCACACAGTAAAACTCTCCTTATCCAATGTTGTTATTTATTTATTTATTTATTTATTTATTTATTTATTGAGACAGAGTTTCACTCTTATTGCCCAGGCTGGAGTGCAATGGCACAATCTCGGCTCACCGCAACCTCTGACTTGTGGGTTCAAGCAATTCTCCTGCCCCAGCCTCCCAAGTAGCTGGGATTACAGGCATGTGCCATCACGCCCAGCTAATTTTGTATTTTTAGTAGAGAAAGAGTTACTCCATGTTAGTCAGGCTGGTCTCAAACGCCCGACCTCAGGTCACCTGCCCGCCTTGGCCTCCCAAAGTGCTGGGATTACAGGCATAAGCCACCGCACCAGGCCCCAGTGTTGTTATTTTTGTTTGTTTGTTTTGAGACGCAGTCTCACACTGATGCTCAGGCTGGAGTGCAGTGGTGAAATCTCAGCTCACTGCAACCTCCACCTCCTGGGCTGAAGTGATTCTCTCACCTCAGCCTCCCAAGTAGCTGGGACCACAGGTATGCACCACCACACCTGGCTAATTTTTTGTGTCTTTAGTAGAGACAGGGTTTCACCATATTGCCCAGGCTGTTCTCGAACTCTGGAGCTCAAGCGATCTGCCCACCTCAGCCTCCCAAAGTGCTGGTATTACAGGCGTGAGCCACCACTCCTGGCCCCAATGTTGTTATTTTATTATCATCTTTCTGCATTACTCAGATTGAATCTCACTCCCTCCTCAAGTCTCCCACCTCATCCCAGCCTTCATTTATCTCCTTTTCCTAACTCATTTTATACTTGCTATTCATAACACATAATCCACATCTTACAACATGCTGCCCTGTTCTCTAATTGTTGGAATCACTCAATTTGGCACTTGGATCTATGGTAATTACTGTATGCTAATATGTAAAATCACACTTTGCCCTAATTCTTCATGTATGTGCCTTAGCTCTTCTCTCCAACTGTACTGACTTTCCCACAAATCAATCGTATACTTCTCTCACACCTTCACGATAGAGAGCGCAATGCTAAATACAAAATGGGGGTTTGCTACGTACAGATGCTCCTTGGCTTACAGTGAAGTTACACCCCAATACACCCATCATAAGTTGAAAATATCATGAGCCGAAATGCACTTAATACACCTAAGCTACCGAACATCATAGTTTAGCAGAGTCTTACCTTAAACGTGCAGCTGGGCATGGTGGCTCACGCCTGTAATCCCAGCACTTTGGGAGGCCGAGGCAGGTGGATCACCTGAGGTCAGGAGTTCGAGACCAGCCTAGCCAACATGGTGAAACTCCGTCTCCACTAAAAAATACAAAAATTAGCCAGGTGTGTTGGCGGGCACCAGTAATCCCAGCTACTTGGGAGGCTGAGGCAGGAGAATTGCTGGAACCCAGGAGGCAGAGGTTGCAATGAGCCAAGACTGCATTATTGCACTCCAGCCTGGGCGACAAGAGCAAAACTCCATCTCTAAAATAAAATAAAAACAACATGCTCAGAATACCTACATTAGCCTACAGCTGGGCAAAATCATTTAACATCATGCCTATTTTCTTTTCTCTTCTTTTCTTTTTGACACAGAGTCTCGCTCTGTTGCCCAGGCTGGAGTGCAGTGGCACAATCTCGGCTCACTATAACCTCTGCCTCCCAGGTTCAAGCAATTCTCCTGCCTCAGGCTCCTGAGTAGCTGGAATTACAGGCACACACCACCAGGCCTGGCTACTTTTTGTATTTTTTTTTTAGTAGAGATGGGGTTTCACCATGTTGCCCAGGCTGGTCTCGCAAACTCCTGGCCTCAGGTGGTCCACCTGCCTCGGCCTCCCAAAGTGCTGGGATTACAGGGATGAGCCACCGTGCCCGGCCTTACATCATGCCGATTTTCTAATAAAGTGTGGAATACTGTACACAGGCCTTTTGCAGACATGATGGGGGTCAAAAACACAAAGTACAATACGCAAAACAATGTGAGCAACACAGAACGCCGTATTGGTTGTTTAGTCTCATGATCACGTAGCAGATGGGGAGCTGTGGCTGGCTTCCACTGCCCAGCATTGCAAGACAGCAGCAAACCTGCAGATTACTAGCCCTGGAAAAGATCAAAATTCAAAAATCAGGCCAGGAACAGTGACTCACACCTATAATCCCAGCACTTTGGGAGGCTGAAGAGGATCGCTTGAGACTAGGAGTTCAAGACCAGTCTGAGCAATATAGTGAGTACCCTGTCCCTCCAAAAAAAAATTTAAAATTCTCTAGGCACAGTGGTGCACACCTGTAGTCCCAGCTACTGGGGAGGCTGAGGCAGGAAGATCACCTGAGCCCAGGAATTGAAGGCTGCAGTGAGCCTGTGATAGTGCCACTGCACTCCAGCCTGGGTGACAGAGCAAGACCCTGTGCTTTAAAAAACAAACAAACAAAAATCACAATCTGGAGTATGGTTTCTACTGAATGCATATTGTTTTTGCACCATCGTAAACTTGAAAAATTGTAAATCTTACCATCCTAATGAGAGGTGACAGCGTGCTGGCAGTCCTCACATCCCTCGCTCGCTCTCAGCGCCTCCTCTGCCTGGGCTCTTATTTTGGTGGCACTTGAGGAGCCCTTCAGCCCACCGCTGCACGGTGGGAGCCCCTTTCTGGGCTGGCCAAGGCCGGAGCCCACTCCCTCAGCTTGCGGGGAGGTGTGGAGGGAGAGGCGCGAGAGGGAACCGGGGCTGCGCGCGGCTCTTGCGGGCCAGCTGGAGTTCCGGGTGGGCGTGGGCTTGGCGGGCCGCACTCAGAGCAGCCGGCCGGCCCTGCTGGCCTCGGGCAATGAGGGGCTTAGCACCCGGGCCAGCGGCTGCGGAGGGTGTACTGGGTCCCCCAGCAGTGCTAGCCCACCGGCGCTGCGCTCAATTTCTCGCCAGGCCTTAGCTGCCTTCCCGCAGGGCAGGCCTCGGGACTGCAGCCTGCCATGCCTGAGCCTTACCCCGCCTCCATGGGCTCCTGCGCAGCCTGAGCCTCCCCGACGAGCGCCGCCCCCTGCTCCACGGCGTCCAGTCCCATCCACCAACCAAGGGCTGAGGAGTGCGACCGCATGGTGCGGGACTGGCAGGCAGCTCCACCTGCAGCCCCGGTGCGGGATCCACTCGGTGAAACCAGCTGGGCTCCCGCGTCTGGTGGGGCCTCGGAGAACCTTTATGTCTAGCTCAGGGATTGTAAACACACCAATCAGCACCCTGTGTTTAGCTCGGGGGTTTGTGAGTGCACCAATCGACACTCTATCTAGCTGCTCTGGTGGGACCTTGGAGAACCTTTGTGTGGATACTCTGTACCTAACTAATCTGATGGGGACGTGGAGAACCTTTGTATCTAGCTCAGGGATTGTAAAGGCACCAATCAGCGCCCTGTCAAAACAGACCACTCGGCTCTACCAATCAGCAGGATGTGGGTGGGGCCAGATAAGAGATTAAAAGCAGGCTGCCCCAGCCAGCAGTAGCAACCTGCTGGTGTCCTTTTCCACAGTGTGGGGACTTTGTTCTTTTGCTCTTTGCAATAAATCTTGCTACTGCTCAGTCTTTGGGTCCACACTGCTTTTATGAGCTGTAACACTCACTGCCAAGGTCTGCAGCTTCACTCCTGAAGCCAGCGACACCAGGAGCCCACCAGGAGGAACGAACAACTCCAGACGCGCTGCCTTAACAGCTGTAACATTCACCGCGAAGATCTGCAGCTTCACTCCTGAGCCAGCGAGACTACGAACCCACCAGAAGAAACTCCGAACACATCCGAACATCAGAAGAAACAAACTCCAGACGCGCCACCTTAAGAGCTGTAACACTCACCGCGAGAGTCCGCGGCTTTATTCTTGAAGTCAGTGAGACCAAGAACCCACCAATTCTGGACACACCAAGTTGACATTGCAAGTCAGAGACCCTCTGTACTTGGGTATTAAAACAGGGCCTTTTGTTTGGAGAACTCCAGAAATCCTCTGCTTTGGAAAACCAAGTGGAAGTGGGGGGGTGAATGTTTCAGACATGGAATTCACTTACATAAATCTCCAAGTAAGCCAAGCAATCTCTGGGCAGGGCCCATGCTATCCTGGGGAGAATACTGTCATGCATTTTTTTCTTAAAGGTCTCAAAAATCCTTCCAAGAGATAGTCTGACTCATTCAAGACTGAAAACCACAACTTGAGCAGGCGCCTGAGACCTCCTGGAGTGAGGAGAGAGATTGCTGGCCCTCAAAGCAAGTAAAGCTCTTCCTGAAAATTAGCCCAGGGCTTCTGCAGCTATAGGAAAACAAATGCTAAGCAGAAATCGTGAGCCTGTTGACAGCCACCCTGACCTGAACCCACTCCATGGCTTTGGAGGCCACATAAGCTGGAGAAACAGCCACGCACAGTGCCACGGAGAACTTCTGCAATGGAGAATGGTACAGTTTGCCCATTCTACAGCCCCTCTGCGCACGCTTTTAACATGGTTCATGCTGCAGAGAGGCAATGTGGAATCAGGATCGACAGCCTCAAATCTGCGGCCAAAGTGTCAGAATCCAAACCACAGCTCTGCCACTCACCCTCTGCATGGCTGTGAGTTACACTAACCTTTCTCTGCCTCAATTTCTTCATCTGGAAAGTGGTTATTATAGTTGTCCCCAATGCTTATGGTTTCTATTAGGATTAAGAATTGTTTTTTTCTTTTTTGAGACAGGGTCTCACTCTGTTGCCCCAGCTGGAATGCAGTGGCATGATCTTGGCTCACTGCAACCTCCACCTCCTGGGTGCAACAATTCTTGTGCCTCAGCCTTCTGAGTAGCTGGGAATACAGGCATGCACTGCCATGCCTGGCTAACTTTTTTGTATTTTTAGTAGAGTAGTAGAGACAGGATTTCATCATGTTGGCCAGGCTAGTCTCAAACTCCTGGCCTCAAGTGATCTGCCCGCTTCAGCCTTCCAAAGTGCTGGGATGACAGACGTGAGCCACCGTGCCCTGCCAGGATTAAGAATTTTGAAATTTTTACAGTGTTCAGGACAGTACCTGGCTGTCAGCATTATGTAGTGTTTGTTGAATTTTTATTTATTGTATTTATTCACAGGTGCATTTGTGTGTGTTTGTGTGTGTGTGTGCATGTGTGTATGTACGAACTCTGAGCATTTCCCAGGAAAATGCATTTCCTAGAAATTTCTAGGAACTCAGAAAATAAAGATGAATGAGATACAGCCTTTTCTTTTGAAGAACTCAAAGTCTATTTTAATACACAGACTAGTTTGTTTTGTTTTTAGAGATGGGGGTCTCATTCTGTCACCCAGGCTGGAGTGCAGTGGCACAATCATAGCTCACTGAAGCCTGGAATTCCTGGGCTCAAGAGATCCTCCCACCATAGCCTCCCAAGTAGTTGGGACTACAAATACGTGACATCGTGTCCAGCTAATTTTTATTGTTTATTTTTGTAGAGACAGGGACTCGCCATGTTGTTCAGGCTGGTCTTGAACTCCTGGTCTCAAGCCATAATCCCACCTCAGCCTCCCAACAGCGTTGGGATTACAGCCGTGAGCCACCTCGCCCTGCCAACTGGTTTTTAACAGCTCTAGTAGAGACATTGGTAAAGTGCTGGGAGAAAATCCAGGAGGGGGCAAGTAACTCCATCCAGGGGTAACAGGAATGGCTACACAGAGCTCCCATCTGCAATTGAGCAGAATTCAAGGTGTAAGAGGAGTTTCCTTATAATAGTGACTCCTCAACCTTCCCTTGAATTTAAATCTTCTAGGGGGCTTTTTTAAAACCCAGATTCCCAAGCCCCAGGCCAAAAGTTCTGATTCAGTAGGTCTGGGTAGGACCCGAGAATTTGCCTTTCTAACAGGTTCCCACGTGATGATGTTGCTGATGCTGGTCCAGGGATCCCATTGTGAGAACTGCTGCCTTACACAGGACCCAGAGAAAGCAGCAAGTGCCTAGGTTCAGGAAAACAAAAGAAACTGGCCTTCTCAGGGGAGCAAACGTAGTCTGGCAGGATTGGACCAGACAGCAGTGTAGAAAATGACAAAAGATGAAGTGGGAAGAGTGCAGAGGCTGAGGCAAATCCTGAACACTTGGGGGACCTTTGGAATTTGTGGCCTTAAATAACTTGATCCAACTTGTATTTCCAAAATGATTGCTGTGGTGTCAGTGGAGAATGGAATGAGACGGGGAGACTGGAGGAAAGGAGACTGGCTTGGAGGTTGCTGTTAGAGGCCAGAGGAGAAATAATGAGGTCAGAGCTGGTGCAGGTGCAGTAGAAATAAGAAGAAACAGGCCAGGCACAGTGGCTCATGCCTGTAATCCCAGCACTTTGGGAGGCAACAGTGGTAGGATTGCTTGAGGCCAGGATATCGAGACCAGCCTGGGCAACACAGCAAGACTATAATAAAAAATTAATTAATGGCCAGCACAGTGGCTCATGCCTGTAATCCCAGCACTTTGGGAGGCTGAGGTGGGTGGATCGCTTGAGGCCAGGAGTTCAAGACCAGCCTGATCAACATGGTGAAACCCCATCTCTACTAAAAATACAAAAATTAGCCAGGCGTGATGGTGCACACTTGTAATCCCCACAACTCAGGAGGCTGAGGCAGGAGAATCACTTAAACCCAGGAGGCAGAGATTGCAGTGAGCTAAGATCATGCCACTGCACTCCAGCCTGGACGACAGAGTGAGACTCCATCTCAAAAATATATATATAGGCCAGGCGCAGTGGCTTACGCCTGTAATCCCAGCACTTTGGGAGGCCGAGGCAGGCAGATCACGACGTCAGGAGATAGAGAACATCCTGGCTAACACGGTGAAACCCCATCTCACTAAAAATACAAAAAATTAGCCAGGCATGGTAGCGGGTGCCTGTAGTCCCAGCTACTCGGGAGGCTGAGGCAGGAGAATGGCGTGAACCCGGGAGGTGGAGCTTGCAGTGAGCCAAGATCACACCACTGCACTCCAGCCTGGGTGACAGAGCAAGAATCTGTCTCAAAAAAAAAAAAAAAAAATATATATATATATATATATAAGCTAGGCATGGTGGTATGTGCCTGTAGTCCCAGCTACTGGGGAGGCTGAGGTAGGAGGATTGCTTGAGCCCAGGAATTCTAGACTGTGGTGAGCTATGATTGCACCACTGCACAGCCTGGGCAACAGAGTAAGACCCTGTCTTTAAAGAAATAAAAGAAGAAATACATGGACATCTTAGGGCATAGAATTAGGTAGTTCTGTGGACGCCCATACAGAATGTAAGAAAGAAGGAAGGGTTAAGGCTTGATCCATCCTTAGCCAGCTCTGATGTCTGAATGGAGGCGTTTCTATCAACTGAGAAAAGAATGAAGGAAACAAAACAGATTGGGGAGAAGAGAAGATCAAAAATTCAATTTGCAGCAATTTTGAGGCATCACTGACATCCAGCAAGCCATTAGAAATACAGGGCCAGAGCCAAGGAAAGAAGCCAAGACTAGAGATAAAGACCTGGGCATCCCTGAGCACAGGGTCAGGTTAAAATCAAGGCTTTTAACCTTGATGGCCAAAGGAAACAGAGCTGACTGGAGGAAGAACCAGCACAAAAACCTGACTTACCCCTTTTAAATGGCTTAGCTTAGCAGTCTCAAAGAAGAAGAGAAAAGGGAGAATAAGGAAGGAGTCCAGAAGCTAGGACCCAGCAGGACTTAGCGAAGATGTTTACAGCATCCTGGTGCTAGCTCTGTCGTCTGTGAATTCTATGGTTTGGATGTGTCTCCTCCAAAATTCATGTGTTGGAAACTTCATCCCCAATGCAACAGTGTTGGGAGGTGGGGCCCTTTGGGAGGCATTTAGGTCATGAGGGATCTGCCCTTGTAAATGGATTAATGCCACTGTAAAAAGGGCTTGCCGGAGTGGGTCTACTCTCAATTTCCCTTCTGCTTTCTGCCATGTGTGAACACAACAAGAAAGCCCACACCAGATGCCAGCACATTGATCTTGGACTTCCCAGCCTCCAGAGCTGTGAGAAATAAATTTCTGCTCTTTGTAAATTACCCAATCTGTTGTAATCTGTTACCGCAGCACAAGCAGACTAAGACAGTGGAGCATCACAAGCCCTTCTGACCTAACCTGCATTTAAATGCAAAGTGCCTGCTAGTCATTATCTATTCTCAGGCCCATGGGCTGCCTGCTTTTCCTGGTTCTGCTCCTGTCACAGGGGCCTGGCCCGTGGAAATTACGTTTCTCAGGCTCCTTGATCAACTGGCTTCTGGTGAATTTCCACCAAAGAGTGGCACTGGCAGGAGACTGCAGGGAGAGGAGTAGTAAAAGTTATTCCTCCCCACCCCTTTTCTTCCCCAACCCTTTCCCCATCTATCCCTTCTGGAGTGTCTCATGAGAGCTGTGCTGGGTCTCAGCACATATCCCAGCTCCTGGAATCTGGTGACATTCCCTCTGTCTTCTGTCCCTCCAGCTGTGTGTGGGTGGGGAGTCACAGCTTGCTGCTGTTGCTCATCTCTGCAATGACTCACTAGCTCATTTGACTTTCAACTCTTCCAGCATCTGACAACTAGTTCCCTGTATTTTAATTTCTTCTATTGAATTAGCTGGTGTGGGCCCTATTGTTGTCCTCACTGGTGCCTGACTGATAAACATACAATGATAATCCATCAGCTTCTCCCCCCACCAGTGTGTCAGGCATCAGAATCTTATTCAGGCTGGGATTATCCAAACTGATATTAACAAAGCCTGTCATTTAAAAGTTAAGCAGAAAAGCAATTTTTAAAGAGGTGGTAAATAAAGATAAAACCTGAAATAAATACTTTGTACAACATAAAGCAGTAAAATGATAAATGAGTTCAAAAGCTGGTTTTTTTTGATAAGGTGACTAAAATAAACCTCTGACAAATTTAATTAAGGGAATATTTTTAATTAGAAATGAGAAAGGAGATAGGACAATTTATAGAAAATAGATTTTCCCCAAAATCCAAAGAGAATGTTATGCATTCTTCTAGACTAATAAACTGAAATCCTCAATGAAATAATTTCTAGAAAGATATAGATTACTAAAAATAATCTAAGTATAAATCCAAACAGAATAACAACTAAGAAAAAAATTGAGAAAATCATCCAATAACAATCCCAAAACTGCAGTTGGTCCCATTATTTCCACCAGGGCAATTTTTATATGTTTAAGAAACAGATAATTTTAATGTTGTATAAAGCATACAGAGTGGGCCTGGTGTGGTGGCTCATACCTATAATCCTAGCACTTTGGGAGGCCCAGGTAGGCGGATTGCTTGAGCTCAGGCATTTGAGACCAGCCTGGGCAACATGGCAAAACCCCATCTCTACTAAAAATACAAAAATTAACCGGACATAGGGTATGTGTGCCTGTAGTCTCAGATACTTGGGAGGCTGAGATAGGAGGATCACTTGAGCCTGAAAGGTTGAGGCTGCAGTGAGCTGTGTTTGCACCACTGCACTCCAGCCTGGGTAACAGAGTGAGACCCTGTCTAAAAAAAAAAAAAAATAATAATGTGTGCAAAAAGAGATGAGTTCCTTTATGTCTATTTGGCAAGCATGAACTTCTTCTCAGACCCTGATAAAGATAAAACACACAAAAAGAAAATTATAGGCACAGATAACATGAATATGGATAGGAAAAGCTTAAAGAGAATTCTCACCTCTAAAAAGAAACTTGTTTTACTGTACTGCTTCAAATCTTCAGAGGGATGATAAGTTTTTTTGTGGGGAGGAGGGTGTTGTAACAGCTTCACTCAGATATAATTCTTTTTTTCTTTCTTTTTTTAGACGGAATTTCGCTCTTGTTGCCCAGGCTGGAGTGCAACAGCACGATCTTGGCTCACTGCAACCTCCTCCTCCCAGGTTCAAGCGATTCTCTCGCCTCAGCCTCCCGAGTAGCTGGGATTACAGGCGCCCACCACCACGCCCAGCTCATTTTTGTATTTTTAGTAGAGACGGAGTTTCACGATGTTGGCCAGGCTGGTCTCAAACTGCTGACCTCAGGTGATCCACCAGCCTCGGCATCCTAAAGTGCTGGGATTACAAGCGTGAGCCACCAAGCCTGGTCTATATTCTTATACTACAAAAAATATGGACTTTATAAATCTATGTCATCCTGATGCAAGGGCCATGCAAATTTCCACTGTACTGTTGCAACTTCAGTATATGTGCTGCTAACGCAAGCACAAAGGGTGGTAACTTTACAAGTTAAGTTGAAAGAAATCACAGAGGATGGATGGTTTGTATGTTATCAAAGTAAACAACCACTTGACAAAACTTCCAAAGCTAAAATCAAAGGGAAGCTATCTGGAGCAAATGTTCACGGCAAATATAACAAAAAGTTCTGTGTTATGTGAACAGCTTACGCATGTTGGTCTGGGCACAGTGGCTCATGCTTGTAATCTCAGCATTTTGGGAGGCTGAGGCAGGTGGATCACTTGAGATCAGGAGTTGGAGACCAGCCTGGCCAACGTAGTGAAACCCCGTCTCTACTTAAAATACAAAAAAATTAGCCCGGTGTTGTGGAGGGCACCTGTAATCCCAGCTACTTGGGAGGCTGAGGCAGGATAATCGCTTGAACCCGGGAGGCAGAGATTGCAGTGAGCCAAGCCAAGATCACGCCATTGCACTCTAGCCCAGGCAACAAGAGTGAAACTCCATCTCAAAAAAAAAGAACTTAACGCATGTTGGAACAAAAAAAATAAGGACTTACACATGTCGATACCAAAAAAAAAAAAAAAAATTAAGTCTCCAATATGTAAACTGGCAAAGAACTTGAGAAGACAATTCATGAAAAAAGAGATACTATTAGCAAACAAGTGTGTGAAAAAATGTTCAATTTTGCTGTGATCAAAGAAATAGAACAGTGTGGGAGCATCTTACACTCACTACATTAAGATAGTTGGGTTGTTTTTTGAGACAGAGTCTCTCGCTCTGTCACCCAGGCTGGAGTGCAGTGGTGCAATCTCAGCTCACTTCAGCCTCCGCCTCCCAGGGTCCAGTGATTCTCATGTCTCAGCCTCCCAAGTAGCTGGGATTACCGATATGTGCCACCACGCCCGGCAAATTTTTGTATTTTTAGTAGAGACGGTGTCTTGCCATGCTGGCCAGGCTGGTCTCAAACTCCTCGCCTCAAGTGATCCACTCCCCTCAAGTGATCCTCCCGCCTCAACCTCTTGAAGTTCTGGGACTACAGGCAATGAGCCACCATGCCCAGGCCCCTACATTAGGAGAATTTTAAGAGTTACCTAGTATTACAACACTGTGGTAAAGCGAGTTGACTCATACGAGATTGGACATCAGGGATCATCTTAAAATTTCATAATATCCCTTTATCCTAAGGAATTTTTAAAGATTAAAAAAATAAAACTACATGAGATGTTTTTTGCAATGTCATTTCTAACAAGAAAAATAAATTTACATATATGTGTATATATGTATTTGTGTGTGTCGGTATACATATGTATATATGTACACGTATACATATATACATATATGTGTATATATGTGTGTGTGTGTGTGTATATATATATATATATATATATGCCTCATTTTCCTTATCTGTAAAATGGGGCTAATGACAATATCTAAAGAGTGATTATGAGGATTAAGTAAAGCTCTTCAGGCTGGACGCAGTGGCTCATGCATATAATCCCAGCATTTTGAGAGACCAAGGCAGGCAGATCACCTGAGACCAGCCTGGGCAACATGGTATAACCCTATCTCTACAAAAATATGAAGACAAGCTGGGTATGGTGGCACATGCCTGTTGTGCCATCTGGTGGGAGGGATGATTGAGCCCAGGAGATCGAGGCTGCAGTAAGCAGAGCTCACACCACCACTGCACTGCAGCCTGGGTGACACAGCAAGACCCTGTCTCAAAAAAAAAAAAAATGAATAATGATAATACAAAATTGTATCACTTCAAATGCATATACACAATGACTTACAACAATGTAAACATGATGAGAATGGACAAAGACATAGAAGGAGAAAGGAACAATGAAAATCGCCACTGCATGAACAAGGGAGGTGTATAAATCACTTTTCTTTTTGGAATTATTTTGGTTTTAGTACAAGTAGCGATCTGGTGAGAAACAAAATTAAAATATACTGAAAGCTACTCTAATGAATTGGCACCTTCTGGGGAGCCTAATATTACATCTGGGAACTCTGCATCTAAGATATTTGAAATAATAAACTCAGCATACATCCCCCCTGGGGACACCATGTGGTGTGTGGGACCAGCCAGCTGATGGCACTGCTTCACTTGCCCAGAGGACCAAAGAGGCATTTATTGGCCTCAGTAATATACCCCTGCTGGTTATTCGATCTTCCTTAAAGATGAAGTCTTTCCCTTGGCCAGGCATGGTGGTGCATGCCTGTAGTCCCAACTACTGGGGAGGCTGAGATGGAAGGATTGCTTAAGCCCAGGAGTTCTAGGTTGCACTGAACTATGATTGTGCCACTGCACTCAAGCAAGACTCTGTCTCAAAAAAAAAAAAAAAAAAAAAGAAGTATTTTTCTTAAACCCAATACTCAAAACACAAAACAAATCTCTGCATAGTTGGGAAATGGACTCAAGTTTCATCTGGATGAACAGTAACCTTCCAGAAATAGTATGGAGAATCCTTAAAGAACTAAATGTAGAACTACCATTTGATCCAGCAATCCCACTACTGGGCATCTACCCAGAGGAAAAAAAGTCATTATACAAAAAAGATACTTGCACATGCATGTTTATAGCAGCACAATTTGCAATTGCAAAAACGTGGAACCAACCCAAATGCCCATCAATCAATGAGTGGATAAAGACACTGTAGTACATATATACGATGGAATACTACTCAGCCATAAAAAGGCATGAATTAATGGCATTTGCAGCAATTTGGATGGAATTGGAGACTATTATACTAAGTGAAGTAACTCAGGAATGGAAAACCAAACATCGTATGTTCTCACTCATAAGCGGGAGCTAAGCTATGAGGATGCAAAGGCATAAGAATGACACAATGGACTTTGGGAACTCAGGGGGAAAGGATGGGAAAGGGGTGAGGGACAAAAGACTACAAATTGGGTTCAGTGTATACTGCTCAGGTGATGTGTGCACCAAAATCTCCCAAATCACTACTAAAGGACTTATGTAACCAAATACCAGCTGTTCCCCAATAACCTATGGAAATAGAAAATTTAAAAAAATAAATATTAAAAAAAAAAGAAAAAAAAAAGCCGGTAACCTTCCACGTAGCTTCTTTGACCTGCAGGACCGAGGACTAGGTGGTTATGCCTCCCTTTTGTGATTTGGTCAATAGGCAGGAAGAGTTGGACAGCAGACAGCATTATCCTCAGATTCATTTAAATCTACAAATGGAGAAAAATGCAAATCACCAGAGGGACAGGCTTCAGGATAATGAGAGACGGACCTAGAGGCAGCCTTAGGCTTTTTCTTCCCAAAAGTCAGCAAGGCTTGAAAATCTCTACCCAGTCCAAAGCCATGCGTGGAAAGTGACTTCACTCACGGCTCCTGCATTGTCACGGGCTTGTGAAGGACAAATCGGCATATGAGTTGATGAGAGACAGAAACATAGCTGATCCAAGTTGAGCTCGAGTCCTGAACAACTGCCTACATGACTCAGAATGTGTGCAGTTAGTAAGTATATGGCTCCAATAAAGGAAGTGACAAGTTCAGCGGAGGATATAAATCCAGAAGAGGAATACCAGAAGATAACATAGAACCTAGCATGACCAGAGGCTGAATCACAGTGAGCCTAGACTCATATGTCCAAACACCTATTCCACTTGGGATGTCAACAGGCATCTCAAACCTAATAGGTCAAACATGGGGCTCCACGTCTTTGCCCTCACCTGTTCTGCCACTGCCTTGCAGTCTCATGTAAGGGTAAAACCACCCTTCCGGCCCTTCTGCTGGAGTCTCTTTGCTTTCTCTCCTTGTTTTACATCTCACATCCAATCCATCAGAAAATCCCATTGGTCCTAGATTCAGCATAGCCCCAAATCCCTCGTCTTCTCATCACCTCCACTACAACCACCCTGGTCCAAGCCATCATCATCCCTTGCCTGATTTCTTTCTTTTTTTTTTTTTTTAAGACACGGTCTCACTCTGTCGTCCAGGCTGGAGTGCAGTGGTGCGATCTCGGCTCACTGCAACCTCCGCCCCCTGGGTTCAAGTGATTCTCCTGCCTCAGCCTCCTGAGTAGCTGGGATTACAGGCATGCACCACCACACCAGGCTAATTTTTGTATTTTTAGTAGAGATGGGGTTTCACCATGTTGGCCAGGTTGGTCTCCAACTCCTGACCTCAGGTGATCCGCCCGCCTCGGCCTCCCAAAGTGCTGGGATTGCCGGCGTGAGCCACCGCGCCCAGGCTTGCCTGATTTCTTGTTATCGCCTCTTAACTGGTCTCCCCACAGCCACCTCCAACTCTCTTCTCAATAGTGGCCAGAGAGATCCTCTTAAAACCTTAAGTGGGACCACACCATAAAAGAACAAACCTATAAAAAGAACTGACAGGCCAGACGTGGTGGCTCACACCTGTAATCCCAGCACTTTGGGAGGCTGAGGTGGGTGGATTACTTGAGGTCAGGTGTTCAAGACCAGCCTTGTCAACATGGTGAAACCCTGTCTCTACTAAAAATAAAACTTAACCTGGGCATGGTGGCATGTGCCTGTAGTCCCAGCTACTTGGGAGGCTGGGGCATGAGAATCACTTGAACCTGGGAGGCAGAGGTTGCAATGAGCCGAGATGGTGCCACTGCACTCCAGCCTGGGTGACAAAGTGAGACGCGGTCTCAAAAAAAAAAAAAAAAGCTGACAAATTAGACTTTGTCAAAATTAAAATCTGCTCTTCAAATGATGCTGTTAAAAACTATAAAAAGACAAGTCACAGACTAGAGGAGAATATTTGCAAAACCGGTATCTGACAAAGGACTTGGATCCAGAGTAAACTGTAAAACACTCAAAATTCAATAATTAGAAGATAAGCAATCCAAATTTTAAAAACTGGCAAACACTTTAAACAGACACTTTACTGAAGAAGAGATATGCACATGAAAAGATGCTCAACGTGAATAATCCCAGCACTTTGAAAGCCCAAGACAAGAAGATCACTTGAGGCCAGGAGTTCAAGCCCAGCCTGGGCAACATAGTAAGACCTCATCTGTACAGAAAATAAAATAATAAGCTGGCATGATAGTGTGTGCCTGTAGTCTCAGCTACTCAGGAGGCTGAGGCGGGAGGATCCCCTGGGCCAGGAGTTTGAGGTTACTGTGAGCTATGCTCATACCACTGCACTCCAGCCTGGGTGACAGAGTGAGACCCTGTTTCTAAAACACACACACACGCACACACACACAATAAGGTACCACCACCCAGCTATTAGAAATACTAAAATTAAAATAACTGATCATACCATATGTTGGCAAGAGTGTGAAGGAATTAGATCTCTCATACTGGTAGTGGGGATATGAAATAGTGCAATCACATTGGGAAAAAGTTTGACAATATCTTAAGAAGTTAAACCTATGCCCACCATAAGATCCAGCCATTCCCCTCCTACATATCTGTTGCAGAGAAGAGAAAGCATATGTCTTTACAAAGACTTGTACCTGAATGTTCATAGCAACTTCATTTTTTTTTTTTTTTTTTGAGATGGAGTTTCACTCTGACGCCCAGGCTGGAGTGCAGTGGCGCTATCTGGGCTCACTGCAAGCTCCGCCTCCCAGGTTCATGCCATTCTCCTGCCTCAGCCTCCCGAGTAGCTGGGACTACAGGTGCCCGCCACCAGGCCCAGCTAATTTTTTGTATTTTTAGTAGAGACAGGGTTACACCGTGTTAGGCAGGATGGTCTCGATCTCCTGACCTCGTGATCCGCCCGCCTCAGCCTCCCAAAGTGCTGGGATTACAGGCTTGAGCCACCGCGCCTGGCCTTTGGCAACTTCGTTTTTACTAACCCAAAACTACAAACAACCCAGATATCCAGATAATTAGATAAACAAATTTTGATGGGTGTATGGTGATAAAATGGAAAGGAGTGAATTATTGATACAAAATGAATGAATCTCAAAATAATTATGCTGTGGAAAAAGAAATCAGACCAAAAAAAAAAAAAAAGAGTACATGCTGTATGATTCCATTTATATAAAATTCTAGAAAAAAAATAACCTGTAATGACTAAAAAACAGATCAGTGGCTACCTGGGGACAAGTGATGAAGGAGAGGAGAAGATGAGGAAGGAGAAATTGCAAAGAGGCATGAGGACACATTTTCTGGGAATGCTGGACGAGCTTACTATCTTGATTGTGGCAATGGTTTCACAGGTGTGTATACGTGTAAAAACTTATCAAGTTACCATAGGCAATGAAAGTAAAAATAGATAAATTGGACTACATCAAAATTAAAAACATCTGTGCAACAAAGGACCCAATCAACAGAGTAAAAAGGTAACCTACTGAATTGGAGCGAATATTTGCAAATAATATACCTAATGAGGGACTGATGTCCAGAATATAAAAATGAACACCTGCATCTCAACAACAAATAATAATAATAAACGATCCCATGAAAAAAACGGACAAAAGGCCGGCCACAGTGGCTCATGCCCGTAAGCGCAGCACTTTGGGAGACCAAAAGCAGGTAGATCATTTGAACCCGGGAGTTCAAGACCAGCCTGGGCAACATGACAAAACACCATCTCTACCAAAAATACAAAAAATTAGCCAGGCATAGTGGCATGCACCTGTAATCCCAGCTACTCAGGAGGCTAAGGTGGGAAGGTCACCTGAACCCGGGAGGCGGAGGTTGCAATGAGCAGAGATAGTGCCACTGCACTCCAGCACTCCAGCCTGGGTGACAGAGTGAGATCCTGGCAAAAAAAAAAAAAAAAAAAAAAAGAAAGAAAGAAAAAATGGGCAAAGCACTTGAATAGATATTTTTAAAAAGAAGATACACAAATGGCCAATAAGCATATGAAGAGATGCTCAACTTCAGACATCATTAGGGAAATACAAATCGAAACCACAAAGAGATACCACCTCACACACTTAGGATGGTTACTATGAAAGAAAGAAAAGAGGCCGGGTGCAGTGGCTCACACCTGTAATCCCAGCACTTTGGGAAGCCAAGGTGGGCAGATCACGAGGTCAAGAGATCGAGACCATCCTGGTCAACATGGTGAAACCCTGTCTCTACTAAAAATACAAAAATTAGCTGGGCATGGTGGCAGGCACCTGTAGTCCCAGCTACTTGGGAGGCTGAGGTGGGATAATTGCTTGAACCTGGGAGACACAGGTTGCAGTGAGCCAAGACTGCACCACTGCACTCCAGCCTGGTGACAGAGCAAGACTGTGTCAAAAAGCAAAAAACAAAACAAAACAAAACAAAAAGCCGAAAGAAAGAAAAGACAAGAAAGAAAATAACAAGTGTTGGCAAAGATGTGAAGAAACTGGGACCCTTGCACCTCTTGGTGGGAATATAAAATGGTGCAGCTGCTATAGAAAACAGTATGGCCACTCCTCAAAAACTTTAAAATAGCGTCACCATATGATCCAGCAATTCTATTTCTGGGTATATACCCAAAAGAATTGACAGCAGGATCTCCAAGAGATATTTATACACCCATATTCATAGTAGCGCTATTCATAATTGCCAAAAAGCTGAAGCAACCTAAGGTCTATTGACAGATAAATGGATTTTTAAATGTGGCATATATATTATAATGGAAGGAAAATCCTGTCACGTGATACAACATAGATGAACTTTGAGGACATTATGTTTTGTGATATAAGCCAGTCATCAAAAGACAAGTATTGGGCCCAGCATGGTGGCTCACGCCTGTAATCCCAGCACTTTGGGAGGCTGAGGCGGGTGGATCACTTGAGGTGAGGAGTTGGAGACCAGCCTGGGCAACATGGTGAAACCCCATCTTTACTAAAAATACAAAAACTAGCTGGTCATAGTGGCGCGTGCCTGTAATCCCAGCTACTCAGGAGGCTGAGGAAGGAGAATTGCTTGAGCCTGGGAGGCAGAGGTTGCAGTGAGCTGAGACCACACCACTGCACTCCAGCCTGGGCAACAGAGCAAGACTTTGTCTAAAAAAAAAAAAAAAAAATCATAGAGACAGAAAGTTACATGGTGTTTGCCAGGGGCTCGGGGAGGGGACAATGGGGAATTGTTTAATGAGTGTAGAGTTTCTATTTTGCAAAATGAAGTTCTGCAGATTGGTTACTCAAGAATGTGAATGGTCTTAATGCTAATGAACTACACACTACACTATGGCAAAGATGGTAAATTTTATGTTATGTGTATTTTACCACAATTAAATTTTTTGTGTTGTTTTTGTTTTGAGACAGAGTCTCACTCTATCGCCCAGGCTGGAGTGCAGTGGTGAGATCTCGGCTCCCTGCAGCCTCCACCTCCAGGGTTCAAGTAATTCTCCTGCCTCAGCCTCCCAAGTAGCTGGGATTACAGCCATGTGCCACCAGGCCCAGCTAATTTTTATATATTTTTTTAGTAGAGATGGGGTTTCACCATGTTGCCCAGACTGGTCTTAAACTCCTGGCCTCAAGTGATCCGCCCACCTTGGCCTCCCAAAGTGCTGAGATTACAGGCATGAGCCATCACAACCAGCCTACACTTTTTTTAAATTACCACATTGCACACTTGAAATGTGTATAGCCTACAGTGGGGCAGAGCAGGGAAGGGGAGGTGAGGGAAACGTACTGGAAGTGATAGATACATTGAACAGCATTGTGATGATGGTTTCATGGCTTCAGAGGTGTAAACTTTTCTCCAAACACATCAAGTTATATCCATTAAATCTACAGCTTAAAAAAGATCTACAACTTAAAAAAGCAATAAATAAGTGTCATTTACCCTATGTCACTTTTATCTCAATAAAGCTGTTTTTAATTTTTTTTTTTTTTTTTTTTGAGAACAGAGTCTCACTCTGTTGCCAGGCTGGAGTGCAATAGCATGATCTCGGCTCACTGCAACCTCTGCCTCCCGGGTTCAAGCGATTCTCCTGCCTCAGCCTCCCGAGTAGCTGGGACTATAGGTGCCCGCCACCACGCCTGGCTAATTTTTGTATTTTTAGTAGAGACAGGGTTTCACCATGTTGGCCAGGATGGTCTCGACCTCTTGACCTCATGATCCACCCGCCTCGGCCTCCCAACATGGTGTGTTTTTAATTTTTTTAATTCAGTTTTTACAAATTCAATGGGATCCTATCCCTCTGCTGCTCTAAACCTTCCATGGGCTTCCCATTTCACTCAGAGTAAAAGCCACAGTCCTTGGAATGACCCACAAGGTTGTAGATGATCTGGTCCTGAAGTCACAGTTTCCTCATTCCCATTCTTCTCACCCTCACCCGTACCAGGCCAGCTACACCGGCCTCCTTGCTGTTTTCTCAAACACACCAGGCACCCTCCCTGGGCAGTTACCCGGGCTGCTAGCTTTTACACAGAAGGCTTTTCCCCCAGGCAACTTCATGGCTCACTTCTTCACCTCTTTCAAGACTTGATTCAAACGTCACCCTCTCATCAGGGTCTTCCCTGCGTGGTATTTAAAACTCAAACAGTCTCCGACTCTGTAAGTTTCCATCTTTCTTCCCTGCTTTATTTTCTACACAGCACTTATCACTAATAAACCACATTTTATTTTTTATCTATGTCTCTCCTGACTGGAGCTCAAAAAGACAAAGATTGTTTTTGGGTTTTTTGGTTTTGTGTTTTGTTTTTTGTTTTGAGACAGAGTCTCACTCTGTCGCCCAGGCTGAGTTCGGTGGCGCAACCTCGGCTCACTGCAACCTCCACCTCCCGGGTCCAAGCGATTCTCCTGCCTCAGCCTCCCAAGTAGCTGGGATCACAGGGGTCCACTACCATGCCTGACTACTTTTTGTATTTTTAGTGGAGATGGGGTTTCACCATGTTGGCTAGGCTGGTCTCGAATTCCTGACCTCAGGTAATCCACCCTCCTGGTGCTCCCAAAGTGCTGAGATTACAGGCATGAGCCACAGAGCCCAGCCCACTTCTGGTTTTTAAATGGAAATTGATGACCTCAAATGCAGAAGTACAGACAAACCCTCTCTCGGGTCTCCATCTATGTGGAGGCAAAAAAGACCAAAGTCAGAAGTGCTCGGGGCTGCGTGGCCTCCCTCCTCCACCAGGTCCAGCATTTCCCACACTTTGTGGGTCTGATGCTTGATTTTAGCAGCCAGGGTGTATAAGAAAGGAGCGCAGCTGGAGCCATCCTCCCCTCACCACTCGCAGTGGTCCGATGTCTCAGAGCATCCAGAAAAGAATGCAAACACCAATTAATCGGGAGGCTGAGGCAGGAGAATCGCTGGAACCCAAGAGGCGGATGTTGCAGTGTGCTGAGAATGCACCACTGCACTCCAGCCTGGGTGAAAGAGCGAGACTCCATATCAAAACAAACAAACAAACACTCAAACAGGCTTTTATGAGGGCTGTAACCCAATGGACAAGGCGCACTCTCTTAGCCTGGGAATGTCCCTGCTCTGAACCAGTTGCCTTGCCAACAAGCCACATGTTTCCACCCTGCAGAATCCAATTTCTGAGCAATGTGACAGTGACAGGTCCAGAGACATGCTACACACTCCCAAGGTGCCTTTGAACACCTGCTGAATCGTTAAGAACAATGTGTATCTCTGCATGTACTTAGCAACGTGGAACACGCACCAGGAAAATGCACATCACGCTCAGTTTATGCAGCAGCCCCCACCACCCCAGGCCACCCCCAAACATCTTGCAAGCTACAGAGCACACAAGGCTGAGCCACCTTCTTTATCACCATCATTCTCAGAATCACTGCAGACTCACTCCTTAAGTCCCAGATTAAGCATTAATATTAACACCTTAATATTAAGTTATTTAATCCTCACAACAACCCTATGATTTAAATGACTATTATCCCATTTCAGATGGAGGAAGCGAGACCTAGAAAGGGTAGGTAGCGCTGGGTACTGTGGCTCACACCTGTAATCCCACCACTTTGGGAGGCTGAGGCAGGAGGATTGTTTGAGGCCAGAAGTTCGGGGCCAGCCTGGGCAACACAGGGAGACCCCCTCCTCCCTATCTCTACAAAAAGAAAAATCTAAAAATTAGCCGAGTATGGTGGTGTGTACCTGTAGTCCCAGCTACTTGGGAGACTGAGGTGGGAAGATCCTTGAGCCCAGGAGTTGGAGGCTGCAGTGAGCTATGATGGCACCACTGCACTCCAGCCTGGGTGACAGAGCAAGATCATGTCTCTCCAAAAAAAAAAAAAAAAGAAAGAAAGAAAGGGTAAGTAATTATCCAAATTCACACAGCTAGAGAAAAATGACACCAGGATTTAAACCTAGACTGTCTGCCTCCAGAGTTTACCCTCTCAAACATTCCCCTATACTATGACTCTGTAATACTCCTTAAATGTGCAGGTTAAAGATTGTTGTAATTATCTTTGCTGCATAACTACCCACCCAAAAACTTCACAAAGAAAAATACCAAGTTCATTCTGCTCATGGACACAGTGGGTGAGGAATTTGGGCAGGACACCATGGGGACAGCTTGTCTCTGCTCTACCGCGTCTATCCAAGGCATCAGCTACAAAGGCTCAAAGGCTGAGAATGACTCAATGGCTGGGACTGATATCATCTAAAGCTATTGCACTCACGTCACTCTCTACACACGGTCTCTCCATGTGACCTGGGCTGCTCAGCCTGGTGGCTGCTTTCGAGAAGCAAGTGTCCCACAAGGCAGGAAGTAGAAGCTGTTGGTTTCTGAAGACGGATACTGGAATCCAGAGCAGCATCACGTCTGCCGTTTTCTATTGACCAAGCAGTCCCAGAGTCCAGATTCCATGGGAGGGGCAGAGACCCTACCTCTCAAAGAATTTTGTGGCCATTTTTTTAAACCACCAATAAGATCGTTTAGCCTAACTCCTTTATTTATTTATTTATTTATTTATTTATTTATTTATTTATTTTTATTTTTTGAGACAGTCTTGCTCTGTCACCCAGACTGGAATGCAGTGGCACGATCTCGGTTCACTGCAACCTCTGCCTCCCGGGTTCAAGCCATTCTCCTGCGTCAGCCTCCTGAGTAGCTGGAATTATAGGTGTGCACTACCACATCTGGCTAATTTTTGTTATTTTTAGTAGAGACGAGGTTTCACCATGTTGGCCATGCTGGTCTTAAACTCCTGGGCTCAAGTGATCCTCCCACCTCGGCTTTCCAAAGTGCTGGGATTACAGGCATGAGCCACCGCGCCCGGCCAGTCCAATCCCTTTAAATTCTATCTGAACAACTGAAGCTCAGAGAAGTTAAGCAATGTGTCCAAGATCGCATAATTCGTAAAGTGCTAGTGCCAGCATGGAACAGGTGCCTTCAGGTCCGGTCTCTTAACGCTATGCCACTCCGTCTCAATGTGGCTGCACGTTGAAATCACCTGGGGAACTTTAAAGAGTGCTGATGCCCGGGTGCCCCTGCAGAGATTCTGATTTGTTATGACGTGGCCTGGGCATGGGGATCTTTAAAAGCCCCCCAGGGGCTTTAACAGTCTGCAGTGTGAGAACCATGCTCTATGCAGTACCCCCAGTTGGTTCCATACAGGTGAAATCTACCACTGTTTCAGTGTCTCCACATTTGCAGTGGCCTTAGCCTACGATGGAAACAACTACACCAAGAACAGATTTCTGACACCTTCACCTGGTTCACTAACTTCATCCTGAACCTTTGTCCAACACGCCTAACAAATTTTTGTGTTTTTTGTAGAGACAGGGTTTTGCCACGTTGCCCAGGCTGGTCTTGAACTCCTGACCTCAAGCAATCTGCCCACCTCAGCCTCCCAAAGTGCTGGGATTACAGGCATGAGTCCCTGCAACTTACCACCTTCTCTTTCTTGATAATACTTTGTGGGGTTTTTTTGTGGAGGGAGGGATCTTAACCTTTATTTTATTTTATTTTATTTTATTTTATTTTATTTTATTTTATTTTATTTTATTTATTTATTTTTTGAGATGGAGTCTCGCTCTGTCACCCAGGCTGGAGTGCAGTGGCGCCACCTTGGCTCAGTGCAAGCTCCGCCTCCCAGGTTCACGCCATTCTCCTGCCTCAGCCTCCCTAGTAGCTGGAACTACAGGCTCCTGCCACCACACCCGGCTATTTTTTGTATTTTTAGTAGAGACAGGGTTAGCCAGAATGGTCTTGATCTCCTGAGCTCGTGATCCACCCACCTCGGCCTCCCAAAGTGCTGAGATTACAGGCATGAGCCACCGCGCCCGGCTGGTCTTAACCTTTATTTTAAGTTCAGGGGTACAAGTATGGGTTTGTGACATAGGTAAACTTGTGTCATGAGGGATTGTTGTACAGATCATTTCATCACCCAGGTATTAAGCCTAGTACTCATTAGTTATTTTTCCTAATCCTCTCCCTCCTCCCACCCTCCACTCTCTGAAAGGTCCCAGTGTGTGCCATTTCCCTCTATTTGTCCACGTGTTCTCATCATTTAGCTACCACTTATAAATGAGAATATGCGATATTTGGTTTTCTGTTCCTGTGTTAGTTCACTAAGGATAATGGCCTCCAGCTCCAGCCACGTCCATGCAAAGGACATGATCTTGTTCTTTTTTATGGCTGCATAGTATTCCATGGTGTATATGTACCACATTTTCTTTATCCAGTCTGTCGCTGTTGGGTATTTAGGTTGAACCATGTCTTTGCTATTGTAAATAGTGCTATGGTGAACGTATGTGTGCAAGTGTCTTCATAATAGAATGATTTGATCCCCTCATCTTCTGCCTCCCACCACCTTCCAGTGGCCCCTCAGAAGCAGCAATTTAACACTCAACGCTTCAACTATGAGTCATGCTCATCTCTTCACCGCCATCTGCCAAGCTCCAGAAATTTATTTCTGCCTTTGGAGCTCCTCACAGGTGGAGACCCAAAGGCCAGGTTATCCTGTTCACCCTGCCTGAGCCTCCTGGATAACCACTAACCCCAGTTATAACATTCCTCCTCCAGCTCCAAATATGTCTTCCTTCCTCTTCCTGGTCCATACAGCACTGGGCTAAAATTGTGTCTAAGTCATGCTTTTAAAAGTTTGATTCTGGCCAAGCATGATGGCTCATTCCTGTAATCCCAGCACTTTGGGAGGCCAAGGCAGGAGGATCCCTTGAGGCCAAGAGTTGGAGATCAGCCTAAGCAACATAGCAAGACCCCGTCTCTGAAAGAAAAAAAAAATTAGCCAGACATAGTGTCACACACCTATAGTCCCAACTACTCAGGAGGCTGAGGTGGGAGGATCACTTGAGTCTAGGAGTTGGAAGCTGCAGTGAACTATGATTGCACCACTTCAGTCCAGCCTGGGCAACAGAGAAAGACTCTGTCTCAATGTAAAACAAACAAACAAACAAACAAAAACGTTGATAGGTTGATTTTGTGAAAGCATCGGTTGACTTAGTGGGGGGAAAAATCCATCAATGTGATTATTTCACTGAAATAATTGATCAGTTGCATCCTATGTCTTCTATCATAACAAACTCGCCAAAAATATTAGCCTAAACAAGTATTTTTAGCATTTCTCCTTAGCTTCAAATTCTCATAAAGGGCAGATTTTTTAAATGCAGATGTAAAGAAAGAAACTTTCTGATATTGCTCTTCTACTAGATTTACTGATTTATATTAGGTTAGGAGAAGATCTTTACAGTTTTATCATGGGTACATATCTCCTGAGGATAATTTTATAAAATATATTTATGCTTCACTTTACACAAAATGAAATCTTCCTAAACTTCATAGGCAATTATTTCAAATATGCCAAAGAAAAGATATTGAAAGGAACTCTTTATCTGGGTTCATTATATTTTTCTCTTTACTTTCGTGTATCTTTGAGCATTTTCATAAGATTAAGAAGGAAGCAAAGAAGAGAGGGAGGCTGGGCAACCTCAGGGAATTCTATGATAGTCTAAAACCTCATTATATAAGGAAATGCAAATTAATACCCCCCACCAAAAAAAAAAACATGCAATTTTTGTGTGTGTGTGTGTTTATAAAGTCTAATTTCTGTAGACTAGGGCTCTAAAAATCTAAAATAATTATTCTCTTTTATTTTTTTGAGGCAGAGTCTTGCCGTGTTGCCCAGTCTGGAGTGCAGTAGTGGTGCAATCATAGCTCACTGCACCCTCAGACCCCTGGGTTCAAGCAATCCTCCCGCCTCAGCCGCCCAAAATATTGGGATTACAGGCATGAGCCACTGCACCTGGCCTAAAATAATCATTCTTTTTTTTTTTTTTTTTTTTTTTGAGACAGAGTTTCACTCTTGTTGCCCAGGCTGGAGTGCAATGGCGCGATCTCGGCTCACTGCAAACTCCGCCTCCCAGGTTCAAGCGATTCTCCTGCCTCCGCCTCCCGAGTAGCTGGGATTACAGGCTTGACCGTAACACCCAGCTAATTTTGTATTTTTTGTAGAGAGGGGGGGTTTCTCCATCTTGGTCAGGCTGGTCTTGAACTCCCAACCTCAGGTGATCCCGCCCACCTCGGCCTCCCAAAGTGCTGGGATTACAGGTGTGAGCTACTGCACCTGGCCAATAATCATTCTTATAAAGCAGTTTGCTCTATTGGTCTTTATTTTCTTCTCCCTCTGCCTATATGGGTCTCACTAATGGGCAAGTGAGAGGCTCATATCTACCTTGGTTTACAAAACCTTGTCTAATTTATATATACACTTAGGTGTCTACTTTAAGACTTAGTCACTCTTTGGGTGGACACAGCTACATCCCATGCAGCCTGTGAGCGCTTCTTCCACCTGCACTTTAAGCTGCCTTTGTTCTCCTCTCTCAAGTCCTACTTGCATGCTACAGGCCATGATACAGAGTTAATGCTTCTTCAGTGCCCCGTTACTGAAATAAATTCTGAAAGGCACTGCTTTGTAGATCAAAGTGCTTGCGAGGCACTTCCCTCCACAGATTCCATGGGATTCGATGGATTCGATAGATGTGTTAGGCCATTCTTGCATTGCTAGAAAGAAATGCATGAGGCTGGGTAATTTATCAAGAGGTTTAATTGGCTCACGGATCTGCAGGCTGTAAAGGAAGCATGGTGCTGGCATCTGCACTCCTTCTGGGGAGACCTCAGGGAGCTTTAACTCATGGCAGAAAGCAAAGGGGAGTAGTCACGTCACATAGCAGAAGCAAGAGAGATGGGGAGGTGCCACACACTTTTCCATGACCAGATCTCATGAGAACTCACTCATCATGGTAAGGACAGCACCAAGCTATGAGGAATCCACCCCTGTAACCCAAACACCTCCCACCAGGCTTTATTTTTAACATTGGAGATTACATTTCAACATGAGATTTAGAAGAGACACATATTCAAACTGTATCAATGGACTGGATCACCATTAAAGTCTGCTTACAATCATAGTATTAAAAGAAAGCTCAATCTCGTCAAGACCAATTGCCCATAAAATGATGTGCCTCTTTAAATAAAACCTTGATTCTTTATAGTATCCAGAGAAACCACACATGCACGGATATGGTTTTTCTCTGTGTCTCCACCCAGATCTCATGTTGAATTACGATCTTCAGGGCTGGAGGAGGGGCCTGGTGGGAGGTGACTGGATCATGGGGGCAGATTTCCTCCTTGCTGTTCTCACGATAGTGAGTGCATTCTCACAAAATCTGTTGTTGTTTAGAAGTGTGTGGCACTTCCCTCTTTGTGCTCTCTCTCTCTCTGTCTCCTGTCACCATGTGAAGATGTGCTTGCTTCCCCTTCACCTTCCGCCATGATTGTAAGTTTTCTGAGGCCTCCCCAGCCATGCTTCCTGTACAGCCTGTGGAACTGTAACTCAATTAAACCTTTCTTCATGAACTACCCAGTCTCAGGTAGTTCTTTATACCAGTGTGAGAATGAACTAATACATGGTCCTTCTATATTGATCTTGAAGAGCTATAACAAGTTGAATAATTAAGCATTTAGACTCCAGAGCCAGGAAGACTTGGATTGGAATCCTAACTTCACCACTTTCTAGCTGTGTGACCTTGGACCAATCACTCCAGCTGTCTGTTTTCTCATGCGTTAAATGGGGGTAATAATCGTACCTATCTCACGTGATTATCATAAGTGTCAGATAAGATGACATTTACAAAGCATGGTGCCCAGCACAGAATCAGTGTCCTAGAAATGTGAAGTTCTATTGTGGAGCTTGTCGATGGTGATGTTGTTATTATTATCAATATTTCTCAAAATCAGCTTGTAAATATATTTCACTTCATATATCTGCCATACTCCTGGGAGGCAGGACTTTTATTATTCATAATTAAGGAAACCAGTTCAGAAATGTCACTTGACTGGCCCCAAATCATACAGCCTTGGGGTGGAAGAAGCTGAACTGGGAGATCAAGTATTTAAACCCAGGATTGTGTGTAGTTCACTTCTCCCTTTTCCTGCAGCAACCTTTCTACCAAGTGATTTTCCAGCCTATAATTAAGCTCTTTATTTTTATTTCTTATTTTTTTTTTTAGAGACAGGGTCTCATTCTTTCACCCAGGCTGGAGTGCAGTGGCACCATCATAGTTCACTGCAGTCTCTAGCTCTTGGGCTGAAGTGATCCTCCGGCCTCACCCTCCTGAGCAGCTGGGACTACAGGCATGTGCCACCATGCCCTCCTAATTTTTTTTTCATGTAGTGATGGGGTCTCCCTATGTTGTCCTGGCTGGTGTCAAACTCCTGGTTTCAAGTGATCCTCCCCCTTCTGCCTCCCAAAATGCTGGGATGGCAGGCAATTAATTACTTTCAATGACAGGGAACTTGCCACCCACTGATTCAGCCCTAACAACCCACTTTCCAACATCTCCATCAGTAGCATGTTTACCCTTCTCTTGAGCTGGAATCTGTCTCTGTGTAAGATCCCTCCGTTGGTCTGACTCTGCCCCACAGGGCCACCAAGAACAAATCTGCTCTCTCTTTCACATCACAGCCCTTGAATTTTTAAAGACCCAGTCATGTAACCCACCCCTCACCCCCTGCCTCGCGAAGTCCTCTCCTCTCCGGGCCCAACACCCCCAGATTCTTTCACCATTCCTCTTCCAGAACATATTATGAATCCCCTTCCCACGTAGGCCCCCTGCTCTGCCTCAGGGCTTGACAAGAGGCATATACTATTGATGACCAGAGAAGCTTTCATGCTGCCCCCAGAGGCTTGTAATACATTTATGCTTTCTCAGGATGACACATACTCCCGGAGTACTAAGAATTGCTGTCAATCTCTCTGGCATTGTGAAGGACTCTGGCATTTCACCATATAATCATTTTTTTAATCTCCCAAGGGGCTGCCTGCTTGAGAAAACTGTCATATTCTTCAGCCAAGGGGAACCAGAGTGTTCTGAAGCAGATAAACATAGCTCTGCCATGTGGCTCTTTCCAGACACTTTTCTGATGCATCGGCTTGTGGTAAAGAAGCTAAAATAACCTGCAGTCAGAGATATTGGCCTCATACCAGCTCCCCAGGCCTCACCAGCCTTAGAGAAGAAGGCAGTATTTTTGTCAGGATAGATAGGTTAGGCTGTGTTGCAAAAGAGCCCTAAAGGCCGAGCATGGTGGCCCACGCCTGTAATCCCAGCGCTTTGAGGCTGAGGCAAGAGGATCGCTTGAGCCCAAGAGTTCGAGACTAGCCTGGACAACATAGCAAGACCCCATCTCTATGAGGCATTTAAAAATTAGCTAGGCATGGTGGCATGTGCCTGTAGTCCCAGCTACTTGGGAGGCTGAGGTGGAAGGATTGCTTGAGCCCAGGAGTTCTAGGCTGCAGCGAGCTATGATCACACCATTGCACTCCAGATTGGGTAACAGAGAGAAAGCCTGACTCTCAACAACAACAACAAAAAAGGAAACGAAAAAAAAGGGACTGAAAAACTCAGCGACTTATCAGTAAAAATTCATTTCTCATTTATGCAAAGTTCACTGTAGATCTAGTAAGTCCCCAGGGCGGTTTGCTTTCAAGTGGTGACTCATGGGTCCAAGGACTTGCATCTTACTGCTACACATCCAGAAGACGTGGCTTCCAGGTCACAGTGGCAAGGGAAGAGCCAGCTCTTCAATGCTTCAAACTAGAACCAACATAAATCACTTTTGCTTATAAGCCCTGGCCAGAAATACTCACATGGCCCCACCTAACTGCAGGGGGCTGGGAAAATGTGGGTGAACACAGGGATATTCAAGGAGCAGTCAATGGGCTGGGTGCAGTGGCTTACACTTGTAATCCCCGGGAGGTAGGAGGATTACTTGAGGCCAGGAGTTTGAGACCAGCCTGGGCAACATAGGGAGACCCCAGCTCTACCAAAAAATATATGTATTTTTTAATTAGCCAAGCATGCTGGCTCATTTCTGTAGTCCCAGCTACTGGGGAGGCTGAGGCAGGAGGATCACTTGAGCCTAGGAGTTAGAGGCTGCAGTGATTCATGATTGTCCCACTGCACTCCAGCCTGGACGACAGAACAAGACCTGTCTCCAGAAAAAAAGGAAGGAACAGTAAGTAAATATTCTGCCACAGAAGAGAACAATCTCAACAGCCTTTAACCCCAACACACTTGCTGTGATAGTGAGCTCCCAGCATCACTCCTGAGGACTCATAGCCCTTCAGCAGCCACAGTGTTTGATGGCCACCAATGTCACCCTCTGAGCCACTGAATGGTGATCTTAATTGGCAGCTACAGAAAACTCCCTCCCATCTCTCTCTGCTGCCATTAACCTCATTGAGACTCTTGTCATTTCTTTTCTGAATCTTCTTCTTTTTCTTTTTTTGAGGTGGAGTCTCAATCTGTCACCCAGGCTGGAGTGCAGTGGCACAATCTCAGCTCACTGCAACCTCCGCCTCCTGGGTTCAAGTGATTCTCCTGCCTCAGCCTCCATTGTAGCTGGCATTACAGGCCCCCACCCGGCTAATTTTTGTATTTTTAGTAGAGATGGGGTTTCGCCATGTTGGCCATGCTGGTCTCGAACTCCTGACCTCAAGTGATCCGCCCGCCTCAGCCCAAAGTGGGGGATTATAGGCATGAGCCACCACACCCCGCCTCTTTTCTAAATCTATTGTCACAGCGTTCTTAACTGGTCTCCATTCCTCTTTTGGTCATACCACTGTCCATCACCATTTTAAAAATCTAACCTGATTATATCCTTTGTCAGCTTCATATCTGACATAGCCACAGTTCGACAGGATAGACTCTATTTCCTTAGAGCAGTGTAAAGAAAACTTCTTTTTTAGAGACAGCATCTCACTCTGTCACCCAGGCTGGAGTGCAGTGGTGCGATCATACCACACTGCATCCTCTACCTCCTGGGCTCGGGTGATCCTCCTGCCTCAGCCTCCTGGGTAGCTGGGACTACAGACACCTACCACCATGGCTGACTAATTTTTGTATTTTTTGTAGAGACAGGGTTTTGCCATGTTGCCCAGGCTGGTCTCAAAGTCCTGGCCTCAAGCGATCCTCCCACCTTGGCCTCCCTATACACTGGGATTGCAGGTGTGAGCCACCGCATCTGGCCAAAATAACTTTTATAATCCGGTCCCAAAGACCCTTCCAGCCTCATCACCCAATGTCCTACTCCTATGTTCCCTGTATTCAAGCCATCCCAAATTCACATCCTCCTCAAAGAGCCATAACACTTCCCAGAGAGCTCCCTCCAAACTGCGGCGACTGTAGAAATTCTATCGACTCTCATACACCCAGCTCAAGTATCCTGTTCTCTATGGCAACTTCCCCCATTCTCCCCAACACAGCTGGTTGTTCCCCGCTCTGGGTTCCAGACACCTGCCTCAATTGTACCTCTTGGTTGAAGTGTGCTTCTCTTTCACTCAGTGGATTTCTCCTTGATAGTGGCTGTGCCTTGATCATCTCTGTATCTCCAGTGGATAGAATTATTCCTGGCCTCGTAGGTATCAGTAAATGTTGAATAAATCCATGCTACAAATTTCTCCATCTCATCTTATGCTGCTGAGAAAGAAGCCATTCCTTCACACACTGCGAGGTCTTTATTCCAAAATAGTGAGAGAGAAACAGGAGCTGGAGAGAATAATAACACAGCTCCCAGGCTGGGCTGGGGGGGTTGAAAGGAGAACATTAAACTCCCAGGAATTTTCCCAGCATCCCGAAGACCAGAAGCTCCAGGGGTACCACTTTGACTTTCTAGATCATTCTAAAGTGGCCTCTCTGCCTCATTCAGAAAATCCTATGAGGACAGACTGAAAATAAATAGCTGTTTGATTAGCCGAGTATTGAGCTGTTTTAATGCCTTTTCTCTCCTGAGCAGAGAGATTGTATGCCCTGAAATAAAAAGGAAGTGTATATGAAAATCCTGGTTATTCAGAGGGGAGAATAACAGGGGGAAAAAAAGACTTTAAAACTCTCCAGAAAGCCTTCAGCACTGTAACTAAATGCTAATGTTTAAAGATATCCCAATATTTCAGGAAGCCATTGGTAGTGCCACACTAAAGCTCATTCTAGTTTTAAAGAGAAATATTTGACTTGGAGGAACAGACCTCATGCTGGCTCCAAGATAAACTTTCCTAGCTCTCTCAGGCCAATTTTAATGCTAAGAGCAGCTCCATTTGAGTAAAAGTTCATTGTTGAGAGCCAAGCTGTGAATTATGCTACAGGCTGAGCTGAGCAGTTGGTCTTTTGCTGATGAAGGCAGAAGCTTGAATATGATACAGAAATGGAGGGGGAGCCGGGGACATCCGAGGGGGATTATCACAGAAGGTCAGACTAATTAAATCGAGAGAAGTCACCAGAGAGCCGGAGCTCCCACACATCCCATCTTCATATGCTCTGACACATGCAGGGGTTGATAAGAAAAAGAGGGTTGAATTGCCACTTTCATCTGCCTGGAAGGACAACAGTCAACCAAATACAACTTTTTAGTGTTGGTTTAAACCCAGGTGGGGAGGAAAGAATTGAAATTGCTGCCAATTCGTAATTATGCAGTTGAATCAGAGACAGGGAGCATGAGGAGAGGCAGAATCCAGTGTTCTCTCTGGTTAGACATTGAATGCATGGTTGTTGTGTACCTACTATGTGCTGGGCACGAGAAATGAAACAAACAAGAAACACTCCCTGCCCTCAATTAATAAATCTTTATGTATTATTTATTGTTGTTATTATTTTGGAGATAGGGTCTCACTCTGTCGCCAAGGCTGGAGTACAATGGTGCCATCACAGCTCACTACAGCCTCAACTTCCTGCCTCAGCCTCCCAAAGTGCTGGGATTACAGGCATGAGCCACCACCATTCATATAATATTATTATACAATATTAGCATAGCACAATGGCTTATGCCTGTTATCCCAGCACTTTGGGAGGCCAAGATGGGGGGATTGCTTGATCCCAGGAGTTTGAGACTAGCCTGGGCAACAGAGTGAGACCCCATTTCTACAAAAAAAAAAAAAATTAGCCAGTGTGTTGGTGCACACCTGTAGTCCCAGCTACTGGGGAGGCTGAGGTGGGAGGATCTCTTAAGCCCAGGAGTTAGAGGCTGCAGTGAGCTGTGATAACACCACTGCATTCCAGTCTGGACAGCAGAGAGAGACACTGTTTCCAAAAAAAAATAAAATAAAAGAAGAAACCCCAGTTCCTTTGCTTCTGTGTCCATCAAATATCAGGGATCTCATAAACAGAAAGATATCCATTAGCTCGCTTTGGGGGCAGGTGGCTGTAGTCAATTCACAAAACACGACCTTGCAGGTTAAAAGCCTCCTGAAACCTTGGGTCTGTGCTATGCTGGTGCTTTGAGTTTCAAACCTGGATGAATGTTTGACATCTCCCCAGGCACAGAGAGAAGGGGAAAGAATGGCATCCCAGGGCACATGAACATGTCGACAGTTCACAGGTCCGCAGTCCTTGGTGAATTATAGAATCCTGAAGTGTATGAAATGCTATGAAATAGCCCTTTTGGATTGCTTAGTCCAGGACTCACAGAGAGATTTCAATTCACATGTCTACACCAGCTGAGAGGAAGTGGCTGCCTGGGGTGCTGGGGAGAAATGGGGCTGGGACTGGGCATGAAGGGGAAAAAAATGCTGGGAGCGTGTTTCTTATGTCTACAACAGATCCTGGAAGAAAAAAGGTGGCACTTATTGGGGACCCAGGCAAACTCCCTTGTTACAATTAGGGAAACCAAGGCAGCTAAGTGACTCCTCCAGTACACCCAGGTCATCAGGCCAGATCCTGCGTCCCACCCAAGTGTTGTCTACGGTTCACCAACCATGTTGTCTTCATGAACCCCACTCTCTTCTTGGTTCTTGTTTTCTTTTTTGTTTTTTTTTTGAGACTGAGTCTCACTCTGTCACCCAGGCTGGAGTGCAGTGGCGCGATCTCAGCTCACTACAACCTCAGCCTCCCAGGTTCAAGCGATTCTCCTGCCTCAGCCTCCTGAGTAGCTGGGATTACAGGCATGCACCACCACGTCTGGCTAATTTTTCTATTTTTAGTAAGGATGGGGTTTCACCATGTTGGGCAAGGTGGTCTCAAACTCCTGACCTCAGGTGATCCGCCCACCTCGGCCTCCCAGAGTGCTGGGATTAGAGGCGTGAGCCACCGCGCCCAGGCTTGGTTCTTGTTTTCTCGTCGGTTCACCCACCTGGACCCTGTGTGACTCCCACCAGCAATTGTCCCTTCCTGGTCCTTTCTTCCCAGGCTTTTGTATCTCCTCCTAGAACAGCCTGAACATTCAGAATCTACGAAGTTCCACCTGCTTCCCCAGGGCGCTCACAGGGAGTTCTGTTTCTGGGACCTCCACCTACCCCGCTGGAGCCACTCTCTGGTTGGCAGGTTTTGGAGGGAATGCACTCATCTCCTTAAAGTGGGCCTCTGTATCTTTACCTAGACTGGTACATTCTAGTTTTACTACATTCTCTTCACCTTTTTCTTTTTTGAGACAGAGTCTTGCTGTGTCACCTGGGCTGGAGTGTAGTGGCATGATCTCGGCTCACTGCAACCTCAGCCTCCCAGGCTCAAGCGATTCTGTGCCTCAGCTTCCTGAGTAGCTAGGATTACAGGCATGCACCACCATGCTGGGCTAATTTTTTTTGGGATTTTTAGTAGAGATGGGGTCTCACCATGTTGGCCAGGCTGGTCTCCAACTCCTGGCCTCAAGTGATCTGCCCACCTCGGCCTCCCAAAGTGCTGGGAATTACAGGCGTGAGCCACCTCTCCCGGCCTCTCTTCACTTTTTATGACATTTACCACACTTAACTAGTATTTGAGTTGTAGCTATTCCCATGCTGTAGTCCCTCCTTATCCTCAAGGATACATTCCAAGATCTCCAGTGGATGCATGAAACCTCAGATAGTTCCAAACTCCATATAAAAAGTACCATGTTTTCTCCTACACACACACCTATGATAAAGTTTAATTTATAAATTGGGCACAGTAAGAGATTAACAATAATAACTAATAATAAAATAGGACAATTATAACAATACTCAAAATGGCATGCAATTTAAAACTTATGGATTGAGCCAGACGTGGTGATGCACACCTGTAGTCCCAGCTACTTGGGAGGCTGATGTGGAAGGATCAGTTGAGCCTAGGAGTTCAAGACCAGCCTAGGGAACATAGTGAGACTCTGTCTCTACAAAAAAATCTAAAAATTAGCCATGGTGGCTCATGCCTGTAATCCCAGCACTTGGGAGGCCAACGTGGGAGGATTGCTTGAGCCCGGGAGCTTGAGACCGACCTGGGCAAAGTAGCAAGACCCCATCTCTTAAATTAAAAAACAAAAAACAGGAATTGTTTATTTCTGGAATTTTCCATGTAATATTTTCAAACCAAAGTTGACTGCAGATCATTGAAACCACAGAAAGTGAAACGATGGATAAGGGGGAATGATTGTATTTGTCAACAATAAGATCCTTTAAAGAAGTAGCTGGATTTTTATACAGTGCCTAACACGGATCATAAAATAAATGTTTGTGATGTGAGAAAATGAGAGGACCTAATTTAGTCTTATGTTACTCTGCTGTACTTTAGGGCTTAACACACAAAGTACAATTTTTTTTTTTTTTTTTTTTTTTTGAGACAGGGTCTTGCTCTGTCACCCAGGCTGTAGTGCAGTGGTGCTATCTCAGCTCACTGCAACCTCTGCCTCCCGGATTCAAGCAATTCTCCCGTCTCAACCTCCCGAGTAGCTGGGAGTACAGGTGTGCGCCACCACACCCGGCTAATTTTTGTATTTTTAGTAGAGACAGGGTTTCTCCATGTTGGCCAGGGTGGTCTCAAACTCCTGGCCTCAAGTGATCCACCCACCTCAGCCTCCCAAAGTGCTGGGATTACAGGCGTGAGCCACCACACCCGGCCTCAAAGTACGATTTTTAAATCTAATGAATAAATGCATTTTGCGACCACTCTGCTATAGAACACAAACCCTCCCCCACATTTTTGAAGTTTCTAAATCGTTTTTCCAGGTTGTCTGCATGTCTGCCCCATAAGCCTTCCCTCTGTTTGCTTAGTGCAGTGGTTTGCACATTTTATTTTAGCAGCAGAAGTCTTAGGCCCAGTGAAATCTTTTGCCAAACCCAAAGGCAGAGCAGAGAAGAGCCAAGATGCTCTAGGAAAGTGAGGGTGCCTGCTTGCACCCCCCTTGCTCTTTTTGGCAGCCTCTGACCCACCTTCGCTGTGCCCGCAGACTCCTAAAGGGCATGGGTCTCATATCAGCCTCCTTCTTGGCCTTTCTCTCCATTATCTTTTGCTCCAGCCCAACCCACACTCAGCTGCCAGCTTAATATTAACACAGCTCTAATCCTAACACCCCTTTCAACCTGTCACTCTCTGGTGCCATCAAGTCCAAATCCTTCCTGCAGGCTCGAAGACACGGATGCATCTCATCACACATCCAACTGACACCCCGTTTCTTCCCTGTAGCCACGTCACTTTGACTTCAAAGGGATATCCTGTGCGCAGCACACTCCAGGCTCACACTTTCACACACAGACATCCTGAGCCTGGGGTGCTCACCTGAAGCTCCTCCTAACCCCTCCTTATGGTTCCTCTTCATCCACCCCACTCTCGGCTCCTTCTTTTCTGGATCCATTGCCTGCCATCACCTTTTATGCATTCCTGAATCCAGAGTCACTGAAATCCTCCCTCTCCCTCACTTTGCACTTCCAAGCAATCACCAGTCCTGGGGTTTGCCCTTGTAAATGTGTGTGTGTGTGTGTGTGTGTGTGTGTAACTTTTTTTTTTTGAGATGGAGTCTCACTGTTTCCCAGGCTGGATGCAATAGTGCAATCTCGGCTCACTGCAACCTCCACCTCCCAGGTTCAAGCGATTCTCTTGCCCCAACCTCCCGAGTAGCTGGAATTACAGGCATCTGCCACCATGTCCAACTAACTTTTGTATTTTCAGTACAGATGGGGTTTCACCAGGTTGGCCAGGCTGGTCTCGAACTCCTGACCTCTGGTGATGCACCCACCTTGGCCTCTCAAAGTGCTGGGATTACAGGTGTGAGCCACAGCGCCCCGCTTTGTAAATATTTCTTGAACCCGTGCCCCTCTCCCTCCTCACCATGGAAGCCTTCAGTTGGACTCCTTACCTCTTTCAAGGATTCCTGGAAAAGGCTCCTAATGGGTCTCCCTGCCTGGACAATTCACTTCATCCAGAGCCTCAAGGCCAACCATCCAAAATGCAACCCCCACTCCCAGGGCCCCCCTTGCTGGAAACCTTCCCACAGTTCCCACCCGCTTTCTGTTGAAGGCCACGCTCCTCAGCTGAGCATAAAAGCCTGTTTGTGCTCTGGTCCCCTCTTACCCTTTTTTTTAAATTTCTATTTTTATTTTAGGTTCAGGGGTACATGTGTAGGCTTGGTACAAGAGTACATTGTGTGCAGCTGAGGATTAGGCTTCTATTGATCTCATTGCCCAGGTAGTGAGCACAGTACTCAATAGGACTTTTTCAGCCCCTGCCTGCTTCCTCTCTCCCCACTCAAGTAGTCCCCAATGTCTGTTGTTCCCATCTTTATGCCCATGTGTACCCAAGGTTTAAGCTCCCACTTATAAGTGAGAATATGCAGTATTTAGTTTTCTGTGTCTGTGTTAATTTGCTTGGGATAATGGCCTCCAGCTGCATGCATGTTGCTGCGAAGGACATGATTTTGTTCTTTTTGATGGCTGTATAGTATTCTGTGGTGCATATGTACCACATTTTCTTTATCCCATCTACTATTGATGGGCACTTGGGTTGATTCCATCTCTTTGCTATTGTGAATAGCACTGTGACGAACGTGTGGGTGCAGGTGTCTTTCTGGTAGAACGATTTATTTTCCTTTGGGAAGATACCAAGTAATGGGATTGCTGAATTGAATGGTAGTTCTATTTTTGGTTCTCTGAGAAATCTCCACAGTGGCTGAACTAATCTACCTTCCCACCAACAATGCACAAGTGTTCACCTACCTTTCAACATCATCTTTTACCACTCCCCTGGGCTCAGCCAGCCCACATCACCAGCACTTTTCCCTGGGGTCATTTCTCTTTCACCTCGCAGCAGGCTGACACTCCACTGATATGCACCAGGACACAAACACACGGCATCCATTGGTAAACAGCCACTAGCCCAAGAGCTTCATACTATCCCAGCCCCTCCAGCAATTATAAGTTATAGGGTATGGTCCAGCAAGTGGCCAGCTTGCTAAATACCCTGGCTCTCACCCCTGCCCAGGAGCTCTGCCCTCACCCTCTGTCTGTACCATCCCTCTCCCCAGCTTCTGATGTCCCCATGTCCATATCCTCCATGCCAGGGAGCGACAGGGACTCTTCCAGCTTTACTCAGTTATTCCCTTCCTGGTATCCCCATATAACCTCCTTGGTGTGTAATCCCAGCACTTTGGGAGGCTGAGGTGGGCAAATCACCTGAGTTCAGGAGTTTGAGACCAGCCTGGCCGACATGACAAAACGCTGTCTCTATTAAAAATACAAAAATTAGCTGGGAGTAGTGGTGCACACCTGTAATCCCAGATACTTGGGAAGCTGAGTCAGGAGAATTGCTTGAACCCGGAGGCGGAGGTTGCAGTGAGCCAAGATTGCACCACTGCACTCCAGCCGGGCCAACATAGCAAGACTCCATCAAAAAAAGCAAAACAAGACAAAACAAAAAAACAACACCTCCTTTATACAACTTGCCTTGGTGTGTTGTGATTTCTTACTCTTTTCTCTGTCTTCCACTTAACCAAGAGCTACTTGGGAGCTGGAGCCATAGTCCATTCACATAATAGATGCTCAGTAAGTGCTTGGCGAACTAGACCTTGTTAGCAACTAAGCAAAGTCCTCCTCCCCCTTAAAGCTCTCCTAACTGCTCTTGTACCCACAGTCCTAGCCTTTCCCATATCTAGTACCTCCACAGGTTTACTTTGTGTAGAGCCAGGCTTATAATAGGCGCTCAAGCTGGGCACAGTGGCTCATGCCTGCATTCCCAGCACTTTGGGAGGCTGAAGTGAGAGGATTGCTTGAGGCCGGGAGTTCGAGACCAGCCTGGGCAACAGAGTAAGAACCCCCATCTCTACAAAAAGTAAAAAAAATTAGCTGAGTGTGCTGGCACATGCCTGTAGTCCCAGCTACTCAGGAGACTGAGGCAGGAGGATCACTTGAGCCCAGGAGGGTTGAGGCTGCAGTGAACTATGATTGTGCCACTGTACTCCAGCATGGGCGAGAGTGCAGCATCAGGACTCGAAAAACGAAAAAAATTAGGTGCTCAAAAAATACTATTTCTAAGGCTCATGTGTATGTATCCCCTCCCCCATGAAATGAGGACATAACAGGCCCTCTTAGCTAAAATAAAGGGATCCAGCTGAGGCCAAGTAAATCAGGAAATCGCTGCCAAAAACAGCTAAGCTCACTCATCCATGCTGCCGGCGAGCCAAGAACCACGCGCGCCAGCCCTGCTTTGGAAAGGAGGAGTGCTTCGCGCGTCCCCCCCAACCCCCCACTCCCCTAGAAGCTCTTCTTCCTGCCCTGAGATCCCAAATAAGGCAGCCCAAAGCCCAGGCTAGAGAAAGATAAAGCAGGGATCAAACAAGGCTCTGGGTCCAACTGCAAGGTGCTGCGTGTTTTTAAAGGAGAGAGGAAACAGAATCAAAAGGATGTCTTGTCTGTTTCAGGGACAAGCACAAGCGAAATCACCCAGGCGGTCCGACGTTTCACAGATTTCCCCTAACAGGCCTCAGAACACCGGGAGAGGGTTGGGGGGGCTCTATCCGCCTCTCATTTGGGACCAGGAACAGCTACGACTCTTCTGTCATCAGGCCTTCCTGGGTTTGCTGGGGAGGGAAGGAGGAAGAAAGGAAGGAAGGAAAAGGAGACAAGGGAAGCAGAGAGGAAGGAAGAAAAGAAGGAAGGGAGGGAGGGAGGGATGACATTGCAGCTACTACAGGCCGGCATTCTGCCAAGAGCTTTGCACGTGCCCGCTCCCTGAACCATAAAAGCAGCCCTCTGAGCTTGGTGTCTTTCCTGTTCTAAGGCAGAGGGGACTGCTGCTTGGGGACGTCCTTTGATTTGCCCAGGGGCAGAGAACTATCAAGCGGCAGAGCCGAAAAGACAAGCCAGGGTGTCTGATCGCGATTCTAATAGCTCTCTGGGAGCAGTGGCCCCCTCTCACCTTTCCTTGAGACTTCCCCAAATCTCCAGCAGGACCAAGCTCTGCGTGACATCACGTCACTCTCCCGCTTTCTGCTTGGCGAAGCAGGTCCACGCCTGTGTGGCTTCTCGGCATCAAAGGATTTTTACTCTCAACACCCGCATGCATGCATGTACTTCACACAAGGGCAGAGAGAGCTAAAGATTAGTGGTAAATGGAGATTAGCACTGTCTGCATGAGCCCAAGGCAACTGGGACACTAGAATAGCCCCTTGTTTGAGTATCTGTTCAACATGCCACCTGTGACCACCAGGCCTTCTTTCCTATGTAGTGTTGTCCCTGCCCACCTCCCATCACCCTTGCTCTATCTAACACACTTTTATTTTCTCCTTAGCCCTTGCTACAGTTCAGTATTTATTTATTTATTTTTTCCCAGACAGGATCTCACTCTGTCACGCAGGCTGGAGTGCAGTGGTGCTGTCTTGGCTCACTGCAGCCTCCAACTCCTGGACTCAAACAATCTTCCTGCCTCAGCCCCCTGAGTTGCTAGAATTGCAGGCAAGCACCACCATGACTGGCTTTTTTTGTTTGTTTTTGAGACGGAGTCTCATTCTGTCTTTCAGGCTGGAGTGCAGTGGTGTGATCTCAGCTCATGGCAACCTCTGCCTCCTGGGTTCAAGCGATTCTCCTGCCTCAGCCTCCCGAGTAGCTAGGACTACAGGCGTGTACCACCATGCCCAGCTAATTTTTGTATTTTTTTTAGTAGGGAGTTTCACCATGTTGTCCAGGCTGGTGTTGAACTCCTGACCTCAGATGATCCACCCGCCTTGGCCTCCCAAAGTGCTGGGATTACAGGCGTGAGTTTTTTGTTTGTTTTTAGTTTTTTGTAGAGACAGGGTCTTGCTCTCTTGCCAAGGCTTGTCTCAAACTCCTGGCCTCAAGTGATCCTCCCAACTCTGCCTCCCAAAGTGCTGGAATTACAGGAGTGAGCTGCTGTGCCCAGCCCGGAATTACTCTTACTCAAGTATTTCCTTGTTTAGTGTCTATCTTTCTCACTCGAATGTAAAGCCCAGCTATGACCAAAGTAAGGCATGCCATCCAGGAGTTTGCTGAGTCATACTAGAACCCCATATGAGCTTATTCCACAGGCCAAAGGGTTCTCCTCCGAACCCCTCTACCTAGCACGCCTCCCCACCACTCAATTTACCAGGTGTGGGATGCATGTAATAGATTTTCCTGATGTGATTACTCTCCAACTAGATGTAGAACCTGAACTCTGCCAGTGTCTATTTCTGAGAGGTTCCTCCAGGAGCTGGAAGCAATGGCCTCAAATCCAAAGAGCCGCTGCAAATAGGGCCGGGGATCTCTCTGAAAGCTGCATGTCAAGGATGCCCGTGCCCTGGTGCCATGGTTTGCCAGTTACTACTTGAGATCGTCACTAGGGCAGTTACTACTGGCACTACTTGAGACCATCATTACGAGACTGAATGAAGGGGGAAGAACGCAGAAATGAAAACTTAAAACAAAAGTAACTATTTTAAAGGAAGGGTAACATGGGGAAGAAGAAGAGGACTCCCTGCTTCCAGTGAGCAAAGGCAGCCTCCTATTTATTGGGTAGAAAGAGCAGGGAGCAGGAGGTAATGATTGGTCAGCTGCGTAATTGATCACAGGTTCACATTATTGCTAACAGGCTTCAGATGTGCCTAATTATAAGAAACACTTGCGCCTGGGGCGTGACTGCCCTCAGCATTCCTTCTGGGTGGCAGACGCAGTTTGTCAGTTTGCCAACAACCTGCTTTCATGAGAACAGTTTGCTGTTTACTCACGTAGCCTCCAGTGGTATACTGAGTTGATCATGACCTTCACTCTTTTGACCTGAAGGTCAACACCCTGGTTGCCCACACTTTCCATCAGTTGGAAGGAGGCACTGCCCCCCATTTTCCAACAATCTGGTTGTTGCCAATCATAGGTTTTTGGCTTTATTTGTTTTGTTTCCTTTTTTTCTTTTTTTTTTTTTTCAGATGGGGTCTTGCTATGTTGCCCAAGCTGGTCTTGACCTCCTAACCTCAAGTGATCCTCCCGCCTCAGCCTTCCAAGTAACTGGGATTATAGGCACATGCTGTGGCACCTGGCTAGGCTTAAGTTTAGAGAGGTGTTTGAAAGTGCAGTTCCCAGGGTGTTTGTCAAAAATGCAGATTCCAGGGCTCTGGACTTCTAATTCTGATATTTTGTGGCCTTGAAATAGTTCCTTCTTTACTGGACTCCTACAGAAAAAAACCAGAGAGATTGATCAGTCCCGCTTTCTTGAAACGAAGAGCCACCTAAAAGCAGGTCAACCCTCATTGTTTATGGACAAGTTATCAAGTTTTGGTGACTTAGAGTTTGCTCATACAAATAACTTCTGATCCAATACCATTTGAAAAACCCCTGCATTGGTAGTTTTTGAGGAACTGGACAGCTGTGTCACTCACCCCCACAAAAAGGACATTGTCACACAGCAATAGCTCCCACTCACCCACAGTCACCCGAGCAACTTACTATTTTTAAGCATGCTCAGTATTTCCTTCTCAACTGGAGCTCCAAAATCTACATATGGTTGTGACTAAACAGTTACACTCAGTGGAGAAATCAGATCAGGCCAATAGGTGTTGCCCCTGTCATTTATTTTGAGGGCTGTGTAGGTTGAATGCCTTAAAATCCCATTCAGAAAGACCTCACCCAGACTCTATTTCCTTCAAAAAGCCAAAAACTCTGGTTTGGAGGGAAAGAATCTCCACAACAAGGTCTCTTCAGCCCCACACACAACCATATGCCTGCCTTCTGCTTCTCTGTTTCACACACTTCTCTCTCTTCCAGTGGAGAAACTGGGCTTAAAACTTGATATAATTTAGATACTTGTCCCTGCCAATCGCATGTTGAAATGTGATCCCCAGTGTTGGAGGTGGGATCTGGTCAACACCAACAATCATGGCGGCAGATGCCTCATGAGTGGCTTGGTGCTATCCCATTGGTGATGAGTGAGTTCTTTATGAGTTCACACAAGATCTGGTTGTTTAAAAGAGGCTGACAGCCGGGCGTGGTGACTCACACCTGTAATCCCAGCACTTTGGGAGGCCGAGGCAGGCAGATCACCTGAGGTCAGGAGTTACAGACCAGCCTGGCCAACATGGGGAAACCCCGTCTCTACTAAAAATACAAAAATTAGGTGGGGTTGGGGGCACACATCTGTAGTCCCAGCTACTCGGGAGGCTGAGACAGGAGAATCGCTTGAACCTGGGAGGTGGAGGTTGCAGCGAGTTGAGATGGTGCCAGTGCACTCCAGCCTGGGCAAGACAGTGAGAATCTGTCTCAAAAAAAAAAAAAAAGGAAATAAAAATAAAAGTAAAAATAAAACAGAGGCTGACACCTCCTCCTCCCTCTCTTGCTCCCCGTCTCACCATATGACACACCTGCTCCCCCTTCACCTTCCACCATGATTGGAAGCTTCCTGAGGCCTCCCCAGAAGCAGATGCTGGTGCCATGCTTCTTGCACAGCCTGCAGAACCATGATCAAATAAACCTCTTTTCTTTACCCAGTCTCAGGTAGTCCTTTATAGGAGTTGCAATTTTGCATTATAGCAACACGAAACAGACTAATAAACAACCTCAGTGGAAAATCATCCTGGCACTGTTGTGCTCAATGTACCATGAAATTCACAATAGATGCTGAAGAAACCACAAGCCACAATCATCCCCACCAAAATCTCAAACGTATGAGAAAGCAAAAGACTAACCCTTTGAGACATCCTGAAACTGATCACTGGTGGTGAAATTTCGTGGCCCAGGCCAACAGTACGGAAATTGCCCCACGGATAAGCATTCTGTGGATTCTCAGCAACTTGTATTCAGAAGAGAGCCTCCTACCATGGAAGTACCTCTTTTTCCTGAATGGCTTCCATGCTCCACCCCCTCCATGAGCCAGAGCCTCAAAATGTGGTCCACTCACATAGTTAAGAGCTTTTACCAATAATATAACCCCTGGCCCTCCGCCCTCACTCCCTCACTCCCACAATTTAATTCATCACATCTGGTTATTGATGGCAAGTCTGCTTCCAAGTTAACTTTGCATGTACTACTTCTTTCCCACTTCAAAACAGAAAACAACAGGAGAACCACTAGTTAGAAGAAACAATACATGGAAGTGTTTCTTAAGAGTTCGTCAACCAGACCAGTACTTTGAAAAGTACTTTTCCCTTTGCACTCCAGCCTCTGAAATTATCCTTACAAAGTCATGTAGGAGACAGTGAAGAAGTTGTGCTGTTTCCAAGAGCAGGGTGTGACAGGCATCCAAAATGTGTCCTCTAATTAAGAACCATTTCCAGGCCAGGCATGGTGGCTGACGTCTATAATCCCAGCACTTTGGGAGGCTGAGACAGGAGGATCGCTTGAGCCCAGGAGTTTGAGGCTACAGTAAGTTCTGATTGTGCCACTGCACTCCAGCCTGGGCAACAGAGTGAGACCCTGTCTCTTGGGGAAAAAAAAAGGGTTAGTCAATCAAAGACACTTATTTTCCATTTAAAATACTGTAGTCCCCCCTTACCTATGAGGGATACATTTCTAGACCCTCAGTGGATTCCTGAAACGGCAGATGGTACTGAACCACAGACAGTACTTCTTTTTCTCTATAGCAATGGGCACAGTGTATACAGCATAAATATCTTGGACAAAGGGATGATTCACATCCCAGGTGAGAGAAAGTAGAATAGCGTGAGATTTCATCCCACTACTCAGAACAGCACACAATTTAAATTTACAAATTGTTTATTTCTAGAGTTTTCCACTTAACGTTTTTGGACCATAGTTGACCACAGGTAATGAAAACCTCAGAAAGTGAAAACGTAGATAAGGGGGGAGTATTATATGCAAAATTAAACAAATTATACCAAGATAGCTCTTTATTTTTTTCATTTCCTTATGGGTTTGAGGTGTTATCAGAATGGTGCTGCACTTCAAACCTGCATTTCTCTCCCCAAACACATGAGCTATTTGACAGCGACAGCAGCACCGTGTACCTGGAATTTCTACTCCTCTGATTCTCTCTCCTCCTTCGCCTTTCCAGCCAAGAACCCTGGCCTTCCATGCCTGCTCGCCACTAAACAACGCTTTCTTGAATGTAACTTGACAACCCAATTCAGTTCAATACATAGGCATTACATTTTCCCTTCAGCAAATTTATACCTCTTGGTCTGCAATTAAGAAGGAAATATGGACTATGGACTCCATGTGTGTTACAGCAGGAAGAAAAATGTTTATAGCTGACTTCAAATGAGAACTCCTAGCAAGCTAGGATCCAAATGCAGATCACAAGTAAAGAGTCTGCCCTTCTCAAAATGGTTTCTGCTGTGGCCACATGTGCCTTCTCTCTTCCATTCATGTCAGGACCTTCCCAGCCATCCACCTTCTTATTTTTCTTATAGGCAGGGTCTTGCTTTGTCATCCAGGCTGGAGTGCAGTGGCAGAAGCATAGCTCACTGCAACCTCAACATCCTGAGCTCAAACGATCCTACTGCCTCAGCCTCTTGAGTAGCTGGGACTATGGGCATGTGCCACCAAGCCCGGTGAATTTTTTAAATTATTATTATTTTTGTAGAGATGAAGTCTCGTTATGTGGCCCAGGCTGGTGTCCAACTCCTGGGCACACGTGATCCTCCCACCTTGACCTCCCAAAGCACTGGGATTACAAGCATGAGCCACCACACCCAGTTGCCATCCACCTTCCACAAGAAGGAGAAAGTCAAGGGCCAGAAATTAGCAACTGGCCTGATATGGTTTCAACTGTGGGAGCTAGCCCCAAGGCATTACCTGTTTAAATGTGTCCCTAGGATCCATGCACCTAGCCAAAGGCTCATTGGCATCAATAGCTCTTCTGAAGCCTGGGTGCAGTGGCTCATGCCTGTAATCCCAGCACTTTGGGAGGCCAAGGCAGGCGGAATCACTTGAGGCCAGGAGTTCAAGACCAGCCTGGGCAACATTATGAGACTTCCATCTCTATTAAAAAAAATTAAATTAGGCAGGTGTGGTGGTACATGCCTGTAGTCCCAGCTACTCAGGAGGCTAAAGCAGGAGGATCGCTTGAGCCCAGGAGTTTGTGGCTGCAGTGAGCTATGATTGCACCACTCACTGCACTTCAGCCTAGGCAACAGAGACCCTGTCTAAAGAGGAAAAAAAAAAAAGTAATAGCTCTTCTGTTTGAGGTTTTGCAAACTCTACTGCCAAAGGCCATTACTGTTGGCAGATGTGAACAAGGACAGTGCTGGCTGGTGCTTCTCTAAGCTGAGCTAACCACACTGCTGGTTCCTCGTGCCTATGAGCAGTGCCTGAATGAGCCCTCCATTGGCCAGCAATCCTCTGAGCCTCCTTCCAGTCCTCCCTGCCCTCACTCTCTTGTCTGGGTTCTGTTTCAAGTGTTTCTGGTTTCTGTGGCATGTTGCCTGTGAATGTTAAATATTCAGCAATCTCTGGGCTTCTTAGTGCTTTTGTGCAAACAGCTTGGCTTGGAGAAAAGAACAGGTTTATCTAAACAAGTGGGAGCAGCACAGCAAATGAGCAGAGTCAACAGTTCAAATAAAGTTAAAAAGGGCCAGGCGCAGTTGCTCATGCCTGAAATCCCAGCACTTTGGGAGGCCGAGATGGGTGCATTGCTTGAGGTCAGGAGTTCGAGACCAGCCTGGCCAACAAGGTGAAACCCCATCTCTACCAAAAACACAAAAATTAGACCAGAGCGGTGGTGCATGCCTATAGTCCCAGCTACTCAGGAGCCTGAGGCAAGAGAATCACTTGAACCTGGGAAGCAGAGGTTGCAGTGAGCCGAGATCATGCCACTGCACTCTAGCCTGGGCGACAGAGCAAGATTCCGTCTCAAAAAAAAAAAAAAAGAAAGAAAATGAAGTTAAAAAGAAAGAAAATGAAGTTAAAAAGGAAGAAGCCTGTCTATTCAACAAGACACACACAACACAAACACAACACAGCAAAGGTGGGGGACGAGAATGCACCTCTATAGAAGACAGGGTGGTGCAGGCAGGGCTAAGGGTGTGAGTCCTCAGGAAGTGAATCCTGCAGGGCCTTGTGCAAATATCACCCTCTCTGTGTTCTCTAAAATGGAGAGATTTGGACTCACCTGATAGTGCTTTCGTGAAGATTAAATGCAATGAGGCACATGCTTGGGTCCATACATAGGCGCTCCAATTGGGTCAAAACGTACTGCTAAAAGGAGACCTGAGCATTATCCAAAGAAAGCCTTCATCTGTACATATTTAAAATCCAGAGGCTGGGCGTGGTGGCTCACGCCTGCAATCCGAGCAACTTTGGGAGGCCGAGGCCAGAAGATTGCTTAAGGCCAGGCGTTCAAAACCAGCCTGGCAACATGGTGAGAACCTGTCTCTACAAAAAAATATATACATTCTTTTTAATTAGTTGGGCATAGTGGTGCACACCTTAGTCCCAGGTGGGGGATCACTTGAGTCCAGGAGGCTGAGGTTGCAGTGAGCTATGATCACATGACTGCACTCCAGCCTCAGTGACAGAGTGAGACCCTGTCTCAAAAAATAATAAAATAAAATAAAATAATAAATTTTTAAAAATCTGGGAGTTCAAAAACTTGCATGCATGTATGTTTTCTATATATATACACACACACAGTCTGTGTTCTTTGCAATAAACAATGATTATCAAAATAATGATTATGTAGCAATACTGGCTACTACATGCAAAGAGCTGTACCAGTCACTTCAATCTACACTCCTTTCATTTTCAAAACAGGCTTTGAGGGAACGACTAGGGTTCAGTTTCTCAAAGAGAGAAGTTACTTGCCTTCAACTACACCATAGTGAGTGATAGATCCCAGGAACCAACTTCAGGGCTGCCTGACACTCACATGCAGGTTCTTAGCACTGCACTGTACAGCCTCTGTCTTAGGCAGAAAAGCTGCTGCTCTGTGCAAGTTGGAAATGTCCGTCCAGCACAGACCTCCTGTTTCCCAGATGCTGAGTATATGAAAAAACTGCTAAAGTAAGCTTCAGTTCAGAGAGAGGCAGATTCCTCCTCGTGTGAGCTGCCAAACTGTGCTGACAACGAACATGTTCCAACAGAACTCTCCAAATCTCTCACCTACCCAGTGAATTCCCCTCCTCCAGGCGGCAGCCCCAACAAACCGCTCAGGGGTCCCCATTCCAGGGGTGTGACCTCTCTCCACTGCGCAGAGACAGCAAATGGACCGCAGGAACCCAGGACACTCTCAAAGCACATCCAAATGAGCCAGGCCTAATTAGCTTATTTTTACCTACGCTGCTCCTCCCAGCAGTGTTCAATCCCTGCAGCCAAAAGGCTAAGGACCCGGCTGCCAGTGCCTCAGCATCGGCTTCTCGGAGCCTGTTCATAATTAATTTTATAAAGGGCCTTGCTCCCCAGCCTTATTCCATGTGCCTGATTCAGGTGAGGTCATGACAGTAATCACTGCCAAAGTTCTGTCCCATGGAAGAAGCGCTCACTGATGTGCATGTGTGTGCACATGTGCCTGCATGTACGTGTGTGTGTGAGAGAGAGAGGAGAGAGAGTGATAAAGAGACACTCTCAGCCGAGCATGGTGGCTCACGCCTGTAATCTCAGCACTTTGGGAGGCCGAGCCAGGTGGATCACTTGAGGTCAGGAGTTCAAGACCAGCCTGGGCAACATACTAAAAATACTCTACTAAAAATACAAAAAATTAGCTGGACACTGTGGCATGTGCCTATAATCCCAGCTACTCAGGAGACTGAGGCAGGAGGATCACTTGAGCCCAGGAAGTGGAGGTTGCAGTGAGCCCAGATTGTGCTGCTGCACTTCAGCCTGGGTGATGGGAGTGAAACCCTCTCTCAAAAAAGAGAGAGAGAGAGAAAGAGGGAGAGAGACTCTTCAACACATAAAGAAGCTAATAAAAGAGGCTCTCATGCATTTTAAACCCTGGCCTGACCGGAAATGGTACTTTTTTTTTTTTAATCATTCAGTAATTTATTCAACTAATTGAGTGGTTTTTGTGTGAGTGCCAGACACCACCCTGGGCATTGGGGTTTTAAAAATGACTCAGACTCATGATCTCTATTCTCAAGGAACTCATCATCAAATGGAGAATCTACACATGTGAATGACAATACAGGTGATTAATGCCATGTGTATTAGTCTGTTCTCATGCTGCTAATAAAGACATGCCCAAGACTGGGTAATTTATAAAGGCAAGAGGTTTAATGCACTCACAGTTCCACACAGCTGGGGAGGCCTCACAATCATGGCAGAAGATAAAGGAAGAGCAAAGCCACATCTTACATGGTGGCAGACAAGAGAGAATGAGAGCCAAGGGAAAGGGGAATCCCCTTCAAAAACCACCAGATCTCATGAGACATGTTTACTACCATGAGAACAGTATAGGGGAAACTGCCCCATAATTCAATAATCTCCCACCAGGTTCCTCCTACAACACATGGGAATTATGGGAGCTACAATTCAAGATGAGATTTGGGTGGGGACACAGCCAAACCATATCACCATGACAGGCATTAGTATAAGTAGTTACGTGAGCACAAGGGAACATCTCACTCAGTCTTAGAAGGTACAGGAAGACTTCCTGGAAGCCATCAAAAGTCCAGAACCTAGCATAGAACCTAGCACAGGGGATTAAATCAAGTGTCTTCTATGTTGACTTCTTGAAGACCAAATAAGAATTAGCTAGGCCAAAATGGGGGGACCATATCTGTATCCACTAGGAATCCTTTTGCCTACACCAAATACCTTAAACAATTAGGGGGTTTATTTTTCTTACATAATAAGAAATCTAGAGATAGGCAGTAGTTAATATTGACTCAGCATCTCAGGGATGTCAGGAATAACATGTTGCTTGTGTGCTTGATATTTCCCTCATGGTCACAAAATAATTCCCTTAGCCCCAGACATTGCATTTGCCTCCAAAGCTCAAAAACAGAATGAAGCATCACATCAATGTCAGCTTCTCTTTTTAAAGAAAAATTTTCTCTCAAAAGTGTCCCAATATGTTCCTGCTCACTTATGCTTGGCCAGACCTTCCTACATGGCTACCCCTAGCTGTGAGAGAATGCAAGAAAGTAAGAATTTTGCTTTTAGGTTCCATGGTGAAGCCAAGCATGGAAGAAGGAAGCTGGAATGTTGGGTGGGTCAACCAGCAGAGTTGGCCATAGTATTCCAAAGGCTATTTTTCTTTTTTTCTTTTTCCTTTTTTTTTTTAAATTGTTTTTGTTGTTGTTGTTTTAAAACAGGGTCGTGCTGTGTTGCCCAGGCTGGAGTGCAGTGACACAATCACTGCAGCCTCAATCTGAGTCTATTTTTCTTCAGCACTTCCTGATTTCATTTACTATCCATTCAATTACAAGCAATTCTTGTTATCTTTATGTTAGAGTCCATGTGAGGCACAAAGTCTCTGCCTTGAGATGCAAACTAATCAGGACAAGGGCTAAGGACAGTGACGGAGATGGGCAGGGATGGGTGGGAGAGCTTTCCTGGAAAAATCTTCTCTCACCCTCTTCAGGAGCCTTTTTCCACCCATCCTCCTCCTCCAATTATTCAGGTTCTCTCTATATCTTTTAATTTAAAAAAAACTTCAGGCCAGGCACGGTGGCTCACGCCTGTAATCTCTGCACTTTGGGAGGCTGAGGCGGGCGGATCACAAGGTCAGGAGATCGAGACCATCCTGGCTAACACAGTGAAACCCCGTCTCTACTAAAAATACAAAAAAAAAAAAAATTAGCCAGGCGTGGTGGCGGGCGCCTGTAGTCCCAGCTACTCAGGAGACTGAGGCAGGAGAACGGCCTGAACCGGGGAGGCGGAGATTGCAGTGAGCCGAGATCACACCACTGCACTCCAGCCTGGGCGACAGAGTGAGACTCTGTCTCAAAAAAACAAAAAACAAAAACTTCATTGCAGTAAAATACATATAACGTAAAATGTACTATTTTAACCCTTTTTAAGCGTATAGTTCAGTACTGTTAAGTACATTCATATTGTTGTGCAACCAATCTCCAGAACTCTGTTTCATCTTTGAAAACGGGACATTGATACTCATTACAACAACTCCTCACGTCTCCCCACCCGCAAGCCCTGGCAACATCGTTCTACTTTCTGTCTCTATGAATTTGACTACTCTAAGCATCTCATCTAAGAGAAATCATCCTGTATTTGTCCTTTTGTGACTGTTTATTTCACTTAGCATAATGCCCTCAAGATTCACCCATGTTGTAGCATGTGTCGCAGTGTCCTTCCTTTTGAAGGCTGAGTCATATTCCATTGTATGAATATGCCACATTTTGTTTATCCATTCATTCACTGATGGAATCGATGGGCATCAAGTCCTATCTATTTTTTTTTCTTTGAGATAGGGTCTCACTATGTTGCCCAGACTGGTCTCAAACTCCTGGGCTCCAGTGATCCTCCCACCCCAGCCCCCCAAGCAGCTAGAATTACAGGCATGAGCCACCACACTCAGCTTCCTATGTGTTTTTGTAAGCCTGAACAAAAATGCTTTCTCCCAGGATGACCAGACCAATCTAGCACCCAGTAACTCTTCTCAGTGTAATCACTGTCTCTGTGAGAAATAAACAAGCATCTATTGGTTTAAGCCACTGACATTCTGTGTTTTCTGTTAGTAAAAGTCTAATCTTTGTTGATATACCTCATTTGTCAAACAGATATATCTCCAAGACTGATAATTAGATGATACGTACATTAGTTTGTTTCATGATATGGTTTGGCTGTGTCCCCACCCAAATCTCACCTTGAATTGTAATAATCCCCACATGTCAAAGATGGGGCCAGGTGGAGATAATTGAATCATGGGGGCTGTTTCCCCCATTGTGTTCTCATGGTAGTGACTAAGTCTCACGAGATCTGATGGTTTTATAAATGGGAGTACTGCACAAGCCCTCTTGCCTGCTGCCATGTAAGACATGACTTTGTTCCTCATTTGCATTCAGCCATGATTGTGAGGCCTCCCCAACCATGTGGAACTGTGAGTCCATTAAACCTTTCTTCTTTATAAATTACCCAGTGTCAGATATGTCTTTATTAGCAACGTGAGAACAGGCTAATACATTTGGGCTGCCATAATAAAATACTACAGACTAAGTAGCTTAAATAACAGAAATGTGGTTTCTTACAGTTCTGGAGGCCGGAAGTTCGAGATCAAGATGTTGGCACTGTTGGTCCATTCTGAGACCTGTCACCTTGGTTTGCAGACGGCCGCCTTCTCACTGTGTCCACAGGTGGCCTTTCCTCTGTGGGCGAGTGCCCCCAGTGTCTCCGTGTCCAAATCTTCTCTTCTTATAAAAACACCAGTCAGATTGGATTAGGACTCACCCTATGGCCCCATTTTTAACTTAATCACCTCTTTAGAGATTCGATCCCCAGATACAGTCACATTGTGAGGTACTGGGGGTTAGGACCTCAGCATATAGATTTGGGGAGAGGACATAATTTTGTCCATAACAGTATGAACTCTGTGGTCATACCAGTTGCTAACTTACTCACACCACTGCATGCCAGCCTGGGTGACAGAGTGAGACTCTGTCTCTAAAAAAGAAAAAGAAGAAAAGAGAAAAAAAGCCTAAACCACTAACCGTTACTATTTCTAAAGCTGAAGCAAAACAGGTGAGTTATAAATAACTCTTAATTTCTCATTTTTTTTTTTAAATCCTGGGTGTAGATAAAGACCAAGCTAGAACCAAAAGCTTCAGAGAAATAAGTTGGCTTCAGGTAGGAGCGTGGCCTTTGAGTCAAAATGCCAACCTGGCTGTGTCCCTCACCCTGCCCCCAACCTCTTCACCGTCTGTCAGAACAGCTGCCAGCCAGTGGTCTCTACAGGTTTCCAGCAAATATTCATTCTTTGCACAGAGGAGGCAAATATCTGAGACTGGAAACAAATTTCTTGAAGTTACTTAGGTCCTTTACCTAAGTTAAGTTGAGCTGTTTTATTTATTTGATAGAGTCTCACTCTGTCTCCCAGGCTGGAGTGCAGTGGCGCAATCTGGGCTCACTGCAACCTCTGCCTCCTGGGCTCAAGCAATCCTCATGCCTCAGCCCCCCGAGTAGCTGAGATTACAGGGACATGCCACCACGCCCAGCTAATTTTTGTATTTTTAGTAGAGATGAGGTTTTGTCATATTGCCCAGGCTGGTCTTGAACTCCTGCCCTCAAGTGATCTGCCTACCTTGGCCTCCCAAAGTGCTGGGATTACAGGCATGGCCACCTCACCTGGCCCAAGTTGAGCTGTTTTAAACAGTGCTTGGAGAAAATGTTTTTTCCAAAAATTACTACCAAGTTCTTTCTAAATACTTTATAGTGCATGGTTTCTAAATGACCTATAATAATTAAAATTTAATAAGAGCAAACATTTATTATTTACTAGGTTCTAGGCACTATGTTAAGTACTTTATAGGTATCTCAATTAGTTATCACAATTGTATGATAGAAGCAGGGGTGTCTTTGTCCATTTTGCATTGCTGTAAAGGAATACCTGAGGCTGGGTAATTTATAAAGAAAAGAGGTTTATTTGGCTCACGGTTCTGCAGGCTGTACAGAAGCATGGTGCCAGCATCTGCTTCTAGTGAGGACCTCAGGAAGCTTCCAGTCATGGTGGAAGGCAAAGGGGAGCCAGTGTGTCACATGATGAGACGAGAGAGGGAGCAAGAGAGAGGCGGGAGGAGGTGCCAGACACTTATGGTTTTTTCGTTCAGACTGGATCTCACTCGTCACCCAGGCTGGAGCAAGGTGGTGTGAACATGGTTACTCTAGCTTTGACCTCCTGGGCTGAAGTGATCCTCCTGCCTCAGCCTCCTAAGTATCTGGGACTATAGGCCTGCATGACCCTCCCTGGCTAATTTTAAAAATTTTTTTGTGTGGAGACAGGATCTTGCCATGTTGCTCAGGCTGGTCTTGGATTTCTGGGCTCAAGCAATCCTCCAGCCTCAGCCTCCCAATGTGTTGGTATTACAGGCGTGAGCCACCATGCCTAGCCTCTTAGATTCTTTTAAACAATCAGATCTCTAGGGAACTAGTGGACTGAGAACTCATTTATTACCTTAAGGAGGGCACCAAACCATTCATGAAGGATTGCCCCCCATGATCCAAACACCCAAACACCTTCTGCCAGGACCCACCTCCAACATTGGGGATTAATTTTTTGGGGGGTTTTTTGGGTTTTTTTTTTTTGTTTTTTTTTTAAGGCAGAGTCTTGCTCTGTCATCCAGGCTGAAGTGCAGTGACGCAATCTCGGCTCACTGCAGCCTCAAATTCCTGAGCTCAAGCAATCCTCACGCCTCAGCCTCCTGAGTAGCTTGGACTCATAGTGCATGTCACCATGCCCAGATAATTTTTTAAATTTTTTATAGAGATGAGGTCTCACTTTGTTGCCCAGGTTGGTTTCGAACTCCTGGGCTCAAGTGATCCTTCTGCCTTGGCTTCCCAAAGTACTGGGATTACAGGCATGAGCCACCACCACGCCTGGCTGTTGTTTTTTTTTCAAGTGACAAATTTTCATCACCTCTCCAAGGCCACCTGCATGCCCGTGTGTGTTTCACAGTGCACAGCATTTAACTGCATTCATCGGCTGTGCTAATCCCACTCGCTCGTTTGCCCAAGTCATGCCAAAACCATCAGGTCAGCTCAGTGCTTCCCTCTCACTTGGCCTGTGATTTTGATGTCATCCCCACCTCCACCTCTCAGAACTGTGTGTTCAAAGAAAGACCTTGGATTCCAACTTCTATCTGCCCAGACTCATCTTTGCTAGAACTGTGACTTCCAGACCTCTCCCTCTCTCCCTCTGTGCTCCTGATTCAAATTTTAAAATTCCCCCAGGAGGTGACTCAAATCAGTAGGAGGAGACGTGTTCCAGAAATGATCCGGGAGGGTTTTGTCAGTAGGTCTGACCAACAAAACTGCTCTGCACCGGCAAACGCACGAACGTGGCCTTGCTGTAACAAGAACAGAGAGGCTTCGGCCTGAGCAGCACCAGGTCTGCCCTGCGCAGCAGTGGGGCATAAGTACGATGGCTGATAAAAGAACAGGGAGCCTGGAATGATCTGATAAGAAGCAGGCCCCGCTGCAGAATCTTAAACAGAGCAAGGGCGTGATCAGAATGGTGATGGGGACTCCATTCTATGGGCTGGGTGACTGGAGAAGGTAAGAGGCAGCAGAGAGGACAGTCAGGACAGACACTACAGCAATCAGCGTGACGGGGACAGACGGATCCTGACTTATGACTGTGGGAACAGACACAGCTGGGAGTCTTCAAAGAGCAGTTGTAGGGAAGGACAATGACTTGGTGGTTGTCTGAATATGGGGTGTAGAAGGCATAGGAATAACAAGTGCCAAGTTTCTCCCCCGAGGAATAAAGAGAGTGCTGGAGCTGGAATCAGGGCACTCAGAAATCGATTGAGAGGCCAGGGCAGTGGCTCATGTCTATAATCCCAGCGCCTTGGAAGGCCAAAGCGGGAGGATCGCTTGAGGCCAGGACATCAAGACCAGCCTGGGCAACATAGTGAGACCTTGTCTCTACAAAAACACTTTTAAATTACCAGGAATGGTGGCTCATACCTGTAAATTTATTTTATTTTATTTTATTTTATTTTATTTTATTTTATTTTATTTTATTTTATTTATTTTATTTTATTTTATTTTATTTTTTGAGACGGAGTCTCTCTGTCATGTCGCCCAGGCTGGAGTGCAGAGGCACAATCTCAGCTCAATACAACCTCCACCTCCTAGGTTCAAGCGATTCTCATGCCTCAGCCTCCCAAGTAGCTGAGACTACAGGCACACAACACCACGCCCAGCTAATTTTTGTACTTTTAGTAGAGACAGGGTTTTACTAGGCTGCTCTTGAACTCCTGGCCTCAAGTGATCTGCCTGCCTCGGCCTCCCAAAGTGCTGAGATTACAGGCATTGTCCCAGCGCCCATCCATACCTCTAATGTTTTAATTTATGAGGTGGCTCATACCTGACTACCTGTATTCCCAGCTACTCTGAGGCTGAGGCAAGAGGACCGCTTGAGCCCAGGAGTTCGAGGCTACAATAAGCTATGATTGCACCACTGCACTGCAGCCTGGGAGAGAAAGTGAGACACTATCTCAAAAAAAAAAAAAAAAAAAAAACCTGAAACCAAAGAGTCAAAGCCTGACATTCCAGAAAAGGAGCAGAGATGCTCTCTGAACACAGGATAATGAGAAAATAATCTGCTGTTTAAGTTGGAGCAGCAGATGCAGCTCAAGCCCCAGACATCACAACAGCCCACAAGGTGGTGGAACAAAAATGTGTAAGCACAGCCACCTGTATTCTCACCTACTCTACTCGGGAGGCTGAGGCAGAAGGATCACTTGAGCCCAGGAGTTCAACGCTGCAGTGAGCCACGTTCATGCCATGGCACCCCAGCCTGGATAAGAGAGCAACATCCTGTCTCAAAAAAAAAAAAAAGTCAGATGACACTGTTCCAGCCAAGAGGGTCCTAAAATCCCAGCCTGTCTCTCCAAACCCCAGCAGCACTACCACCTCCTTCATTCAGGCCCCTTGCCCGTTGCCCTGGCTTTGGTAACAGCCTCCCTACCTTAACTCCCTGCTTCTGGTGTCCAGCCCCTCTGTATTCCCCATCTGGTCTCCACATGACAGGCCCTAGTCTTTTCTTTTTTTCTTTTTCTTTTTTTTTCTTTTTTCTTTTTTTTTTTTTTTTGAGATAGAGTCTAGCTCTGTCACCCAGGCTGGAGTGCTGGAGTGCAGTGGCACGATCTCGGCTCACTGCAACCTCCGCCTCCCGGGTTCCAGTGATTCTCCTGCCTCAACCTCCCAAGTAGCTGGGATTACAGGTGCCCGCCACCACACCCAGCTAATTTTTGTGTTTTTAGTAGAGACGGGGTTTCACCATGTTGGCCAGGCTGGTCTCAAACTCTTGACCTCAGGTGATCGGCCCACCTTAGCCTCCAAAACTGCTGGGATTACAGGTGTGAGCCCCCGCACCCGGCCCCTAGTCTTTCCTCAGTGTAAATACGATCGGAGGCCACTACTGGCTTCCGCTTGCATTCTGGGGCTGATGCGCCAGGCCCTCCAGACCCAGTCTCCAACCCTCTCTGGCTTCACCTCTCAGCAGCCTCCCTGACTCCCCTGACTCCTAAAGCACCCACCTCTGGCTCCCAGGCTCTTATCACCAGTGGATTGATCTGTCCACAAACCTTCTGCCCACTTGGCACCCCCAGCTGGCCTTCTGACTCGTCTTCAGGGCTCAGTTCAAAGGTCATCTGCTTTCCCCAGCACTACATTGAGGGTATCTCTTCTGCGCCCACAAGCATCCTAGGCTTCCTGACATTGGGGTGCTTGTCACCTGGCACGAGGCTCTCTCGCTGCAATTGCCAAGCCCCACGCCCTGGGCCCCACAGCGTGAACTACATCTTTTTCTTGGTGAGAGACCTCGTTCCTGGCATTTAGCTTGGCCTGGCTCGCTCTGATCACGCAGCCAATGTTTGAATGAATAGATGATGTCATCAGAGCCTTGGCGTGTTGCTACTTGTGAGTATGCCGTCTCAGAGGAGAAAAGGTCAGCGGTTGAAGAACGCAAACTCTGGAAGGACTTGGATGCATATGCCAGCCATGCACTCCTCACTGTGTGGCCTTAGGCCGTCGCTAATGTGAGTGCTATAAAAATTCTCTGTGTATTCACTCATTTAATCCTCACAATCACTCTGTGAGGGACACACGGGACATACTGCTAGGGTTGTGTTTTTTTTGTTGTTGTTTTTTGGAGACAGTCTCTCCCTGTCACCCAGGCTGGAGTGCAGTGATGTAAATCTCGGCTCACAACAACCTCCACCTCCCAGGTTCAAGCAATTCTCCTGCCTCAGAGTCAGTGGCTCACTCAGTCATAGCTTACTACAGCTTTGAAACTCCTGGGCTCCAGCGATCCTCCTGCCTCAGACTCCGCAGTAGCTGGGACAATGGGCATGCACCATCACACCTGGATAATATTTTCATTTTTTGTAGAGATGGAGATCTTGCTGTGTTGCCCAGGCTGGTCTGGAACTCCTGGCCTCAAGCAATCCTCCTGTCTCAACCTCCCAAAGTGCTAGGATTTACAGAAGAGTAAGCTGAGGCACAGAGATGTTAAATAACTTGGTAAACGAGAAAGTCAGGATTGGAAGCCTCACCCTTAACCACTAGGTTGTACTGCCTAGCTTAGCACAAGGCAAGACACATCATAAGTACACAAGAAATGTGAGCCTCCCCCAGAAAACAGCTTTGGAGATCTCCAAAATGCAAATCAGTTCCCCGCATCTAGGAGAGCACGCAGCCTGGTCCATCCATGCTTTAATCCAGAACAGAATCTTCAACCACTGGTGTCATTTTGGCCCCAGCACCAGCATCACTGGGGGAAGTTTCCTTCACACAAGGGAACACTGTGTGGATTGTCATTGAAATGACCACAAACTAAGAAGACTGCACAAGGCAACCCTCACATCTCAAGAGCTCAATTTCTTTATCTGTAAAATAAAGTGGAAATAGGCCAGGTGCAGTGGTTCACACCTGTAATCCCAGCACTTTGGGAGGCCGAAGGGGTGGGGGGGGTGGAATGGGGGGCAGATCACTTGAGGTCAGGAGTTTGAGACTAGCCTGGCCAACATGGTGAAACCCCGTCTCTACTAAAAATACAAAAATTAGTCAGTCGTGGTGGCGCGGGCCTATAGTCCCAGCTACTCGGGAGGATGAGGCAGGGAGAATTGCTTCAACTGGGTAGGTGCAAGTTGCAGTGAGCCCAGATCACGCCACTGCACTGTAGCCTGGGTGACTGAGACTCTGTCTCAAAATAAATAAATAAATAAATAAACAAATGAAAATAAAGTGGAAATAACGGCATTGCCTACCTCACAGTGTTGTTCTTAAGTTTAAATGAGATAAGATGGGAAGCTGAGGCAGGAGCACTGCTTGAGGCCAAAAGTTCAAGACCAGCCTGAGCAATATAAGGAGACTCCCATCTCTACAAAAAATAAAAAATCATCCGAGTGTGGTGGCACACGCCTGTGGTCCCAGCCACTTAGGAGGCTGAGGTGAGATGATCACTTGAGCCCAGGAGGTAGAAGCTGCAGTGAGCTATGATCGCACCTCTGCACTCCAACCTAAGCAACAGAGAAAGATTCTGTCTCAAAACAAAACAAAACAAAACAAAACAAACAAACGAAAAACAAACAAACAAAAACTCCCGGCCGGGCACAGTGGCTCACAACTGTAATCCCAGCACTTTGGGAGGCTGAGGTGGGTGGATCACGAGGTCAGGACATCAAGACCGTCCTGACCAACATGGTGAAACCCTGTCTCTACTAAAAGTACAAAAATTAGCCAGGCGTGGTCGTGGGTGCCTATAATCCCAGCTACTCAGGAGGCTGAGAGAAGAGAATCACTTGCACCCGGGAGGCGGAGGTTGCAGTGAGCCGAGATCGCTCCACTGCATTCCAGCATGGGTGACAGAGCGAGACTCTATCTCAAAACAAACAAACAAACAACAACAACAAAAAAAAACTCCCAAATAACACAACACATGTGCACACACACACACCTCATGACATTATTTATAAATGGAAAAGAATTTCTCGATGAAGGCCAATTTATACTCATTTCATATCAGTTTTTGCTTGTTTGTAATGCAGCACCATTAGTTTCTAGTTCTGCAGAATTGTAATCACTAGAAAAACTACTTTGGGACAGAGGAGGATGGAGCTGGCAGCAGGCTTCACAAGGCAGCCGGCTTCACAAGGCAGGCCTGAACTTTTGCGTTTCCTAGCTTTTGTGTGCTTAAGTTCACAAACCAAAGTCCTCATCAAGCCTTTTACATTTGAATAGATTACAAAGTGTTTGTAGGTCTGAGTCCTTGCAAGACAGTAGTTAATTGGCCTCACAAACAACAGCAGGAGAGTCTCATTATCCTGATTTAACAAAGGAAGACACTTCATCCAGAGAAGTTAAGGGACTGGATCCAGGCCCTAGTGCTGAGCCTAATCATCATTGTCATCAGCGTCGTTATCATCGTCACTAATTTTTAACATGCTAGGAGGACACTCCAACAATCTGTCCTCGTCCGCCAGGAGCTCATAGATTAATACACCTTTGATGTAACCATTTTTCAAAGAGCTAAGTAGGTAATAAACATAAATATTTATTGAAAGTAATACTGGAACCTCAGGCCTCATTCCTCATTAGAAGGAGACCAAGGGACTAAATATAAAATTGTGGGGCGGTCACCTTTCTGCTGGGTATCTGTTTCCCCATCAGTAGTGAAGAATTAGTACCACCTGGCTGGGTGCGGTGGCTCATACCTGTAATCCCAGCACTTTGTGAGGCTGAGGCAGACAGATCACCTGAGGTCAGGATTTTGAGACCAGACTTGCCAACATAGTGAAAACCCATCTCTACTAAAAATACAAAAATTAGCCAGGTGTGGCAGCACACATCTGTAATCCCAGCTACTTGGGAGGCTGAGGCATGAGAATCACTTGATCCTGGGATGTAGAGGTTGCAGTGAGTTGGGATCACACCACTGCACTCCAGCCTGGGCGACACAGCAAGACTCTATCTCAAAAAGAAAAGTACCACCTGGCTGGGTGTGGTGGCTCACACCTGTAACCCCGCTTTGGGAGGCTAAGGCAGGAGGATTGCTTGAGGTCAGCAGTTCGAGACAGCCTGGGCAGCATAGCCAGATGCCATCACTACAGAAAATTAGCTGGTCATGGTGATGCATGCCGGTAGTCCCAGCTACTTAGGAGGTTGAGATAGGAGGATCACTTGAACCCAGGAGGTCCAGGCTGCAGTGAGCTATAATTGCAGCACTGCATTCTAGGCTGGGCGACAGAGCAAGACCCTGTCTCAAAAGAAGAAGGAGAAGAAGAATTAGTACCACCTGACCATATCTTCTTCCCTAGGGATCAGTTGAGATATTTGTTACACACCTAGATTCCTAGGCCTCCACATTGCAGATCTGGGCCTAGGATTAGAGACTATGAAGATTGTTATTTTAACTAAGGACGCAATAGAGGTCAGGACAGAAAGCTTTGGGGCTAAATGTGTCCAAGGCAGTCACTGTTCAATGTGGCCCTCACAGCTGCTGACCCAGAAACATGGCTTATTTTTAGAAGTCTGGACAAACCCAGAGCCTGACAGATCACTTTTCTCTATAGTACATAGAACTGAATTGAACTAAGAACCTTGAATGGATAGTAACATGGTCATCTAATTAGGACCTTTTCCCATAGGGCACCGCCTGCTCAAGAGTAATTCAGAAGGGCATAAATATGAGAAATGGCCCAGATCAGATGGCTTGGGCTTCAAGTGACCTTGGGCAAGTTACTTATCTTTTTTTTTTCTTCCTTTGAGGCAGGGTCTCACTCTCTCGCCCAGGCTGGAGTGCAGTGGCAAGATCTCGGCTCACAGCAACCTCCACCTCCTGAGCTCAAACAATTCTCCCACCTCAGCCTCCGGAGTAGCTGGGACCACAGGAGCACACCACCATTCCTGGCCAACTTTTGCATTTTTTTTGTAGAGAAGGGGTTTCGCCATGTTGCCCCGGCTTTTGTTTTTGTTTTTGTTTTTAGACAGAGTCTCGCTCTGTCACCCAGGCTAGAGTGCAGTGGCACCATCTTGGCTCACTGTAACCTCTGCCTCCCATGTTCAAGCTATTCTGCCTCAGCCTCCAGAGTAGCTGGGATTACAGTCACCCACCACCACGCCTGGCTAATTTTTGTACTTTTAGTGGAGACAGGGTTTGACCATGTTGGCCAGGCTGGTCTCGAACTCCTGGCCTCAAGTGATCCACCAGCCTTCCAAAGTGCTGGGATCACAGGCATGAGTCACCATGCCAAGCCCCAGACTGGTCTTGAACTCCTGCGAGTTCTCTTCCTCAAGCCTCAATTTCCTCATCTGTAAAGTACAAGTAATATACAACATGAATAAACCTTAAAAACATTACATGAAGTGAAAGAGGCCAGACACAGAAGGCCACATATTATATAATCCCATTTATATAAAATCTCCAGAGTAGGCAAATCCATTGAGATAGAAAGCAGATTAGTGCCTGCTAGGGGCTGAGGGAGGGAGGAATGGGGAGTGACTTTTTAATAAGCAGGAGTTTCCCTTTGGAGCAATGAAAATGTTCTGGAACTAGATAATGGTGATGGCTGCAAAACCTTGTGGATATACTAAATGCCACTGAATTGCACATGTCAGAATGGTTAAATGATGTTATCTTATGTGCAGTTTATCACAATTTTTTTAATGTAATCAAGGCCGAACTCAGTGGCTCAGGCCTATAATCCCAACACTTTGGGAGGCCGAGGCAGGAGGATCACTTGACCCTGGGGGTTTGAGATCTGCTTGGGCAACATAATGAGACACTGTCTTTACAAAAAATCTTTAAAAATTAGCCAAGTGTAGTGCCGTTTTGCCTGTAGTCCCAGCTACTCTGGAGGCTGAGGTGGGAGGATCACTTGAGCCTGGAAGGTTGAGGCTGCAGTGAGCCAAGATTGCACCACTGCACTCCAGCCTGGGCGACAGAGTGAGATTCTGTCTCATAATAAATAATTAAAAATAAAAATACAGATTCCAGGGCCCTGCCCCCAGGGATTGTAAGTGAAGCTCAGCAGTCTGTATATTAAAAAGCTTTCTCTGCGATTCGAAGGAAGAGCCAAATCTCAGACCAACAACCAAGTCCTTCACAAACTTGCCCACTCGTAAGAGATGCATGGGGCACCAGTTAAACATACACATTCCCAGGACTTTCTTCTGGGATGATGACCTGGAATCAGAATGTGTAATAAAGCATATCAGATAATTCGTGGGATCCAGCAAATTTGGGAAGCACGGCTTCAGTCTTTTTCTTTTTTTTTTTTTTTTGAGACAGTCTTGCTCAGTCACTCAGGCTGGAGTAAAGTAGCATGATCCCAGCTCACTGCAACCTCTGCCTCTCAGGCTCAAACACTCCTCCTGCCTCAGCCTCCTGAGTAGCTGGGGTTAGAAGCATGCACCACCTCGCTTAGCTAATGTTCTAAAATTTTTTTTTTTTTTTTGAGACAGAGTCTCGCTCTGTCACCCAGGCTGGAGTGCAGTGACGCAATCTTGGCTCACTGCAAGCTCGGCCTTCCAGGTTCACACCATTCTCCCGCCTCAGCCTCCCGAGTAGCTGGGACTACAAGCGCCCACCACCACACCCGGCTAATTTTTTGTATTTTTAGTAGAGACAGGGTTTCACCATTCACAGGATGGTCTCGATCTCCTGACCTTGTGATCTGCCTGCCTCGGCCTCCCAAAGTGCTGGAATTACAGGCTTGAGCCACCGCGCCTGGCCTAAAATTTTTTATAGAGACAGGGTCTCACTATATTGCCCAGACTTCGCTCAAATTCCTGGGCTCAAGGGACCCTCCCACTCAGTCTCCAAAAGTGCTGGGATTACAGGCGTGAGCCACCATGCCCAGCCAACAGTCTTAGAAACATCATACACAACCCAAATCTCATCTCTCAAGCCTTAATCTCTTCACACTGGAATAGGCCCGCAAGATATTTTGGTTCCCCCATAATAAAATGGAACCAATTGCCTATAATGTCAAAATCTTTCCTAGGCTGGGCCTGGTGGCTCATGCCTGTAATCCCAGCACTTTGGGAGGCTGAGGACGGAGGATCACTTGAGGCCAGGAGTTCAAGACCAGCCTGGCCAACATGGTGAAACCCTGTCTCTACTACAAATACAAAAATTAGCCGGGCATGGTGGCAGGCGCCTGTAATTCCAGCTATTCCAGAGACTGAGGCAGGAGAATCGCTTGAACCTGGGAGGCTGAGATTGCAGTGAGCTGAGATCACGCCACTGTACTCCAGCATGGGTGACACAGTGAGATTCTGCCTCAAAAAAAATAAAAAATAAAAATTAAAAAAAAATAAGCCATCCTGCAGGAAGCACTCCATTCTCACATTCTCACAGGATTCTTCTCCCTTTAGCAAAAATTTGGTAAGGAAGAAGACACGCCCTCCATGTATTTGTGCTCAACTCGAAACAAACTCTGCTTTCAAATAAATTGTGTTTCTGTGCAAAGACCTTCAGTGCCAAGTTAACCAAAAGACATTTCTCTTGTAAAGCCATGAACCTGCATTATACCTCTAATGGCTTATAAATAAATAATGGACATAAAAATAGCAATAATGAACTTGGAAAATACTAGCTAATTTACACCATAATAGAAATACCCAGGGATCTTTAACAATTGAAGGACCGATGCCAGCTTCTGTAGTAAGTACACCCAACCATATTATTCCACATGTGAGTGTAATTTCTAAATTGCAGTGTGTAATTCAGAACGGTGTATGCTCTCTGAAACGCAAAGAAGTATTTATATGAGTGCTATTCCTCAACTGCATCATTCCCTGATGAGAAAAAGCAAAGGAATTATTGGAAAATGTATTCATCAAGGCCCAGAAGCAGAATGTTTCAGAAAAAGGCTATCGTTAATTTTTTTTTTTTTTTTGAGATGGAGTCTCGCTCTGTTGCCCAGGCTGGAGTGAAATGGCACAATCTCAGCTCACTGCAACCTCCGCCTCCCAGTTTCAAGCGATTCTCCTGCATAAGCCTCCTGAGTAGCTGGGATTACAGGTGCCCACCACCATGCCCAGCTAATTTTTGTAATTTTAGTAGAGACGGGGTTTCACCATGTTGGCCAGTCTGGTCTCGAACTCCTGACCTCAAGTGATCTGCCCACCCTAGCCTCCCAAAGTGCTGGGATTACAGGCATGAGCCACCATGCCCGACCCAAAAAAGGCTGTCATTAATCTTTATGCAGTTGTGGAGATAAACCAGTGCCCCACGCCACATGAAGTGTACAGAGGTGTGAGCACTCATGTCCCAGCAAAGCGTGCCTTAAGGCCAGCCATTGATTGACGTGAGGAATGATGGGGACAGCTGCTGTGGATGAAAGGATCACACACACTAGTCACCTTTCCAAAACCCAAATCTGAACCCATGTAGTAGTTGGCAGTTGACTAGAGAGAAAAAAAAAATCTTGGCTGGGCGTGGTGGCTCACACCTGTAATCCCAGCACTTTAGGAGGCTGAGGCAGGCGGATCACAAGGTCAGGAGTTCGAGACCAGCCTGGCCAATATAGTGAAACCCCATCCCTATTAAAAATGCAAAAATTATCCGGGCATGGCAGTGGGTGCCTGTAATCCCAGCTACTCGGGAGGCTGAGGCAGGAGAATCACTTGAACTCGGGAGGTGGAAGTTGCAGTGAGCCGAGATTGTGTCACTGCACTCCAGCCTAGCAGAGAGAGACTCCATCTCAAAAAAAAAAAAAAGAAAAAAAGAAAAAAAAAATCTCAACTCTTAATTCCACATATGGGATCTTCTAAAAAACAGCCCCTCCCTACCTCAGGCGCTGCATTTTTAGCTTTCCTCCCTCACCTTGTTCAGTTTCCTCACTTTGCATCTTACACACCAATGATTTTGGAATATTTTGAGTTTTCTCAGCATAGCCTGATACAGTGGTTTCCAGTGGGGGTCATTTTGCTCCCCTTCCCGATTACTCCACCCTCCAGTGGACATTGAGAGACTCCGAAGACATTTTTTTCTTCTCCCTCCTCCCATCCTCCACCTTCAAGTAGTTCCCAGTGTCTGTTGTTCCCTTCGTGTCCACGTGTTCGCATCATTTAGCTTCCACTTATAAGTGAGAACGTGCGGTATTTGTGTTCCTGTGTTAGTTTGCGAAGGATAATGGCCTCCAGCTCCATCCATGTTCCTGCAAAGGACATGATCTCATTCTTTTTATGGCTGTATAGTGTTCCGGTATACGTGGACCTAACACTTTTTCTTTATCTAATCTGCCACTGATGGGCATTTAGGTGGATTCCATGTCTTTGTTTGTTATTGCAAATAGTGCTGCAATGATGTCAAAAGTCACCCTGAAGGAAGCACTCCATTCATACATATGCATGCATGTGTCTTTATGGTAAAATGATGTATATTCCCCTGAAGATATTTTTGATTGCTACTAGTGGAGGTGCTGCAAGCATCTAGCAGGTGTAGGGGTCAAAGATGCTGCTAAACATTCTATAGTTCACAGGACAGTCTCCCATAAAAAAGAAGAATCCAGCCCCAAATGTCAATAAGGCCACTTTTGAGAAACTCTTCCTTGGTAAATTGCATTAATGGCCCCAAATTTTTACCCATCCCTATTCCATACCATGAGTCATTTAATTTTGCAGTGTTATTTTATCATGGGAAGGGCTTCTTCCCCACTCTTGACTCCAGGCTTAGCTATGTGACTTACTTTGGCCAAGAGAATGTGGCAAAATGACAGTACTTTTTGTTTGTTTGTTTTTGAGACAGCATCTTGCTCTGTTGCCCAGGCTGGAGTGTGGTGGCACGATCTCAGCTCACTGCAACTCCACCTCCTGGGTTCAAGTGGTTCTCATGCCTCAGCCTCCCGAGTAGCTGGGATTACAGGCACACACCACCACACCTGGCTAATTTTTAGTATTTTTAGTAGAGATGGGGTTTCACCATGTTGCCCAGGCTGGCCTCGAACTCCTGAGCTCAGGCAATCCACCCGCCTCAGCCTCCCAAAGTGCTAGAATTACGGGCGTGAGCCACCCTGCAGCGGGCCAACAGTGCATGTTTCTACCTGGCTTTTACCTCCGCCAATGCCACAACAGACTTGTTAGTGATCTGGTAGCAGGAAAAGGATGAGAGACATATGGAACAAAGCCAGTCCCCAGCTAAGCCCAGACTAAATCCACCAACCCACAGGCAAACTCATGAGAAATAATTATCATTTTAAGCCCTTGAGTTTTGGGAGGATTTGTTATCAGTAATAGCTAACTATTACAGACACAATGCTGCTTCATGCTTTTGGACGTGCTGTTTCCTCTGCTTAAACATGTCCCCTACTCTCACCCCCACATGACTTGGAAAATTGTTCTTAATCTCTCAAAGCCCAACTCAGAGATCATCCTTCCTGGAAAACTTCTTGGATTCCCTGCAAAAAAGTAATCCATTCCTCTTTTCCTACAGACTTTAACTGTTGAACTGCCATATTTGTATTAACTTGTCTTTATCTCTTACTAGATAGGGAACTTACGAGAGCAGAGACTTTGTCTCAAATCTCACCCCAGGGCAGCACAATCAGAGTGGACACTCAGGAAATATTTGCAGAATACAAAGGGCTGGGCTGGAAGTTGGGGGAAGGTGATTATCAGAGACATTCGTCAGCTTTGGCTCTAGCCCTGGAATGGTGCCTGGAACGTGGCCCAATCCCCATGACAAAAGAAGAGACTATGGGCTCCAGCCTGTAGTCTGGATTTCCCTGCCAATCAAAGTGGTCATGGAGAGGAACAGCCTCTGCCATTACTGTTTAGCACAATGAAACTGTTTAGAGGAGAGCCTTACCTTCAGGAAATTCCAACGAGCCTGTTTTATTGTTACCCTCCAACAGTAATGACTCCCGTAGGATTAAACAGAGTGTAAAGTAATTGCTAAAACATCCCCTGCCGTGGACAGAGAAACCTGCACAAGACGTAATGCTCCCACTTCACTTGGGAGGGAGGGGGCTTGCTCATGGAAACAAAATGTGTCATTAGAGCTTTACAGAGTAGGAAGAGGCAGCAGTGGGAGGAAAAATGCAATGCAATACAGAAGAAAGAGTCCAGACTTTGGAAATGGATCCGCTCCAGTTGAAATCCCAACCACACCCCAGGTCGCTTCATGCCTCTGAATCCTGGTTTGCTCATCTGTAATACCGAAATATAAAACATGGCCAGACACAGTGGCTCACACCTGTAATCCCAGGCCAGGAGTTCAAGACCAGCCTGGCCCAAATGGTGAAACCCCGTCTCTACTAAAAATGTAAAAAAAAAATAGCCAGGTGTGGCGGTGCATGCCTGTAATCCCAGCTCCTTGGGAAGCTGAGACAGGAGAATCACTTGAACCCAGGAGGCGGAGGTTGCAGTGAGACAAGATCATGCCACTGCACTCCAGCCTGGGTGACAGAGCCAGGCTTTGTCTAAAAAAAAAAATATATATATATATATATATATGTGTATATATATATATGTGTGTGTGTGTGTGTGTGTGTATATATATATATGTGTGTATATATATATGTATATATATGTGTATATATATGTGTATATATATGTATATTATATATGTGTATATATATGTGTATATATATGTATATATATGTATATATATGTATATATATGTATATATGTATATATATGTATATATATGTATATATGTATATATATGTATATATATGTATATATGTATATATATGTATATATGTGTATATATATGTATATATATGTATATATGTGTATATATATGTATATATGTGTATATATATGTATATATGTGTATATATGTATATATGTATATATATGTATATATATGTATATATATGTATATATGTGTATATATGTGTATATATGTGTATATATATGTATATATGTGTATATATATGTATATATATGTATATATATGTATATGTATGTATATATGTATATATATGTATATATATGTATATATATGTATATATATGTGTATATATGTGTATATATGTGTATATATGTGTATATATGTATATATATGTATATATATGTATATATATGTATATATATGTGTATATATATGTATATATATGTATATATATGTGTATATATATGTATATATATATATGGAGAAGAAATGTAAAACATCTCTCTTCTAAAGATTGTTGCGATGATAAAACAGATAATTCATGTGAAAATGGCTGGTGCAGAGAAGCAGCTTTGGTAATTGGTTTCCTTTTCTCCTGCAGAAGTTTGGAGGAAAAACATACCTGAACAAATATGTCAAAATTAGAGGGCCAGGCGCAGTGGCTCACACCTGTAATCCCAGCACTTTGGAAGACCAAGGCCAGAGGATCGCTTAAGGCCAGGAGTTTGTGACCAGACTGGGTAACATAGCAAGACCTCATCTCTAGAAAAAAATTTAAAACTTAGCCAGGCATGGTGGTGCATGCCTATAGTCCCAACTATCTGGGAGGTTGAGGTAGGAGGATTGCTTTGGGCCAGGAGTTCAAGACTACAGTGAGCTATGACTTTGCCACTACATTCCAGCCTGGGTGACAGAAAGAGACTTTGTCTGGAAAAAAAAAAAAAAAAAATTGGCCAGGCCCGGTGGCTCACACCTGTAATCCTAGCACTTTGGGAGTCCAAGGCAGGTGGATCACCTGAGGTCAGGAATTCGAGACCAGCCTGGCCAACATGGTGAAACCCCGTCTCTACTAAAAAAAAAAACAAAACAAAAATTAGCCGGGCATCATTGTGGGCACCTATAATCCCAGCTACTCAGGAGGCTGAGGCAGGAGAATCGCTTGAACACAGGGGGCAGAAGTTGCAGTGAGCCAAGATTGTGCCACTTCACTCCAGCCTGGGCGAAAGAGTGAAATTCTGTCAAAAAAAAAAAAAAAAAAAAAAAAAAAGCACTTTGGGAGGCCGAGGTGGGCAAATCATTTGAGGTCAGGAGTTCAAGACCAGCCTGGCCAACATGATGAAACCTCATCTTTACCAAAAACATAAAAAATTAGCCAGATGTGGTGGCACATACTTGTAATCCCAGCTACTCGGGAGGCTGAGGCAGGAGAATTGCATGAACCCAGGGGGTAGAGGTTGCAGTGAGCCGAGATCGCACCACTGCACTCCAGCCTGGGTGAAACAGAGAAACTCTGTCTCAAAAAAAAAAAAAAAAAAAAAAAAAATTAAGACACCCAGGCCAAGAAAACATAAGCTCCAAAGAAATAGTCTTACCAAGAAACTGAGTAGGAAACAACACAGTGAGACTTGGAGGACAACTGAAACCTCTTTATCACCAGGGTAGACCCATGTGGCTGGATTCTGGCTGGCAGGCAGGAACCCACAACCATCTCTCTCTTGAAGGTTTGGCTTCATGAACCGGTGACCTGTGCAATCACACGGGGTCCTGTCAATTTTAAACAAGGGGTAACAGGTTTTTATTTTGTACCTGGCCTTGCAATTACGAAGCAAGCCCTGCTAGCTTGTTCTTCATTCCCTATGGATAAGGAGCATGATAGCTTTTCTCCAAGAACTCCTGTCTCCTAAGAAAGATGCATATATCTCACAGGGCCCAGACCACTGGGAAATTCAAGCCTGAAGTTTCCTGGAGCCGTCATTACCACACAAAATCTCTAGGACGGGTCCCTCATGTGTATAGGTAGGGGAGGACAATAAGGCTATTAGACAGAATACCTTCAACTGCAAATAAAGAATATGGGGCCAGCTGGGCATGGTGTCTCACACCTATAATCCCAGCACTTTGGGAGGCTGAAGTGGGTGGATCACTTGAGGTCAAGAGTTTGAGACCAGCCTGGCCAACATGGTGAAACCTCGTCTTACTAAAAAATACAAAACCTAGCTGGGCGTGGTGGTGGGCGCCTGTAATCCCAAATACTCAGGAGGCTGAGGAAGGAGAATCACTTGAACCTGGGAAGCAGAGGTTGCAATGAGCCGAGATCATGCCACTGCACTCCAGCCTGAGCAACAGAGTGAGACTCTGTCTCAAAAATAATAATAATAATATTGAGCCAAGAGTGCCTCAGACCAGGGGTCCCCAACCCCTGAGCCATGGACTGGTTGTTCCCTTCTTTGTGTCCATGTGGTCCTTGCAAAAACCAGGCTGCACAGCAGGAGGCGAGCAGTGGGCAGGTGAGCAAAGCTTCATCTGTATTCACAGCTGCTCCCCATCACTCGGATAACCACCTGAGCTCCACCTCCTGTCAGATCAGTGGCAGCATTAGAGTCTCACAGGTGTGTAAACCCTACTGTGAACTGTGCATGCGAGGGATCTAGTTTGTACACTCCTTATGAGAATCTAATGCCTGATGATCTGTCACTGTCTCTTATCACCTCCAGATGGGACTGTCTAGTTGCAGGAAAACAAGCTCAGGGCTCTCACTGATTTACATTATGGTGAGTTGTATAATTATGTCATTATCTATTACAATGTAATAATAGAAATAAAGTGTACAATTAATGTAATGCACTTGAATCATCCTGAAATCATTCCCCCCACCCCTGGTCCATGAAAACATTATCTTCCACAAAACTGGTCCCTGGTGCCAGAAAGGTTGGGGACCGCTGCCTTAGAAAATAGAGACATTTAGTTGTTTCAGCCAACTAGAAACCTGCAGAAAAGTCCTTCCTGGGTGATTCTGCATCTCTGCCACACTCCTTGCCTTGACTTAGTGATCACAATAAGGTTGCAGCTCCTCTAAACACCAGATCTGCCTACACCACCATCCAGAGAGGGAAGGGAAGAAGGGGACTCTCTTCCCACATCTATTTTTTTGAAATTTTTTGTAGAGCTGGAGTCTTGCTATGTTGCCCAGGCTGGCCTCAAACTCCTGGCCTCAAGTGATCCTCCCACCTTGGCCCCCTAAAGTGCTGGGATTACAGACATGAGCCTCTGTACCTGGCCAACATCTCTCTGCTTTTATGAGAGGAGGACATCTTTTCCAGAAGTTCCCCCAACAAATTGCTCTTTGGGTTTCATTTATCCAGAACTGGAACGTATGGCCACGGCTAGCTACCAAGGAGGCTACTGGGCAATAACAAATCTGCCATTGAGGACTGAGATGACTGTGGCCACTTTATGTGATCTGAGCAACGGTGGGCTGTGTAAGCAAGGAAGAAGGAAGAATGGCCAAGCGAATGGCCTTAAACTTAGTTGCCCTCCCAGCCCCATAGCTAATCCTGCCTTCATATGGCTTACTTCATTCACTACTCATTGCTGTCCAAAGCCTTTCTGGAACAGACATTGTGTGTGGTGTAAGGGCACTTCATCATTCCAAGAAAACAGCTCAACATGGAGGTCTCAGGCCCCCAGTTTTAGAAACCAGGCCGGGCGCGGTGGCTCACGCCTATAATCCCAGCACTTTGAGAGGCCAAGGCAGGCAGATCTCCTGAGGTCAGGAGTTTGAGACCAGCCTGACCAACTTGGAGAAACCCTGTCTCTACTAAAAAATTACAAAATTAGCCAGGCATGGTGGCACATGCCTGTAATCCCAGCTACTTGGCAAGCTGAGGCAGGAGAATCGTTTGAACCTGGGAGGTGGAGGTTGTGATGAACCAAGATCATACCATTGCACTCCAGCCTGGGCAACAAGAGCAAAACTCCGTCTAAAAAAAAAAAAGAAAGAAAGAAAGAAAGAAAGAAAGAAAGAAAGAAAGAAAGAAAGAAAGAAAGAAAGAAAGAAACTTCAGGGAGGTGGAATTGGTAAAAATGCAGAATCCTGTACTCTCTCTACACAGATAGAGATTTAGTAAGTCAAGAAAGAGGGACAAAAATCAGCATTTTTAACACACACTTCAGGCAATTCTTATGCACAGTAAAGTGAGAACCACTGCTTAACTCTTGCTAATACTCATGCAATTATAAAATACGTAAGATTATTCTTCTTTATTTATTAGTTATTAGAGACAATGTTTCACTCTGTTGCCCAGGCCGCAGTGCAATGGCACAATCTTAGCTCACTGCAGGCTGGAACTCCTGGACTCAAGTGATGCTCCCACCTCAGCCTCCTGAGTAGCTGGGAGGGTAATTTTGTTACTTGTTTTTGTTGTTGTTGTTGTTTCTGGTTTTTTGTTTGTTTGTTTGTTTTTTGAGACAGATCTTGCTCTGTCCTCCAGGCTGGAGTGCAGTGGCACTATCTTGGCTCACTGCAAGCTCCGCCTCCCGGGTTCAAGCCATTCTCCTGCCTCAGCCTCCCAAGTAGCTGGGACTACAGGTGTCCGCTACCACGCCTGGCTAATTTTTTTTTGTATTTTTTGTAGAGACTGGGTTTCACCATGTTGACCAGGATGGTCTCGATCTCTTGATCTCGTGATCCACCCGCCTCGGCCTCCCAAAGTGCTGGGATTACAGGCATGAGCCACCACGCCCAGCCTGTTTCTGTTTTTTTTTTGAGACAGGTTCTTGCTATGTTGCTCAGGCTGGCCTCAAACTCCTGGCCTCCAGCCATACTCTCACTTCAGCCTCCCAAAATGCTGGGATTTCAGGCATCAGCCACCATGCCTGGCCAAGATTTTTCCCTACTGCTATAGAACTAGTCCCTAACACCACAAATGGCACATAGTAAGCACTGAAAGATTTGTTCAGCAAATGAATTTTTATAAAAAGAGTATTGGTGGCCGGGAGCAGTGGCTCATGCCTATAATCCCAGTACTTTGGGAGGCCGAGGTGGGAGGATTGCTTGAGTCCAGGAGTTTGAGACCAGCCTGAGCAACGAAGGGAGACTCCATCTCTACAAATAATTTAAAAATTAGCTGGGCATTATGGGGGTGCACCTGTGGTTCCAGCTACAAGGCAGGCTGAGGCAAGAGGATCACCTAAGCCTGGAAGGTCAAGGCTGCAGTGAGCCATGTGATCACACCATTGCACTCCAACCTGGGCAACAGACCAAGACCCGGTCTCAAAAAAAAAAAAAAAAAAATGTCCCTGGGAAAGGCACTACCAACTTTTGCCAGGGGATTGGTGTTCTCCTGGGAAAGGAAGGTCTTGTGGGAACTAAAGACCTGATGAGAAATAGAAAGAGTAAGGAACAGGCTGAGAGGCCCCAAACACAGATTTTCCTACTTTGCAATTTTGTCTCTAAAAATCACATCCAGAGGGATCAGGAAAGTGTAACCGAGAGTGTCACCACCTCGAAGATAGTTGTGTTTTCCTTGAGTTGACAGAACAAGGGTGGAAATGTAATATAGAATTGTGTTGAGTCATATTAAATTAGGGCAGAATTCAGATCCTGGCATGGAACTTAAGATAATAACAGTCTATTGATTCGTGAATTGCATTCAGCCTGAATCGGGTCTGTCAGCCTAAAGCTGGATTTTGGCAATGGCATTATTTTCAGTAACATGGCACTTGAATATCAATATCAATAACATTCACCTGTAGAGAAGAAAAAATTAAACACCAACTACCATGACCCATAAGAATGATGGACCTCCCAATATATGCCATTAGGCAGGAAGGTCCTACAGGTCTGTGGCCCGGGGAGCCTGGGCTTCATCCCCTTGGGGAGGCTATAGCGTTGCTGCAGTGACCTCTGGAATATTTCATGAAAAACTCTCAGACTGTCTTTTTCCTCTGCTCTCACATCACAACTACTATCACCAACATAGAAGACTTCTGTGACAGAGGGGATGAGGGTTTATCCCCACACACCAAGCAGCAGACATCTGGGTGTCCTCCAATTTAATTCTGACACTATTCACATGGAGATGGTGTCAGATCCCATACACTGAGGGCTCAGTCCCCAAGGCTGCCCTCCCAACCGCCCGCCCCCCGACCCCACCCCGCCCCCCCACCCCACCCCGCCCAGTATCAGACACCAGCAGCAATTCTGGGGATCCGGAACTTCTGACCAATTGCTTCAGGTTGGAAATCCTATGACCCCCTCTTTGGGTTCAATTAATTAATTGCAGCAGCTCACAGAGCTCATGGAAACACTAACTTACATTTTCTGGTTTATTACGAATGAGAATGCAGAGGAGACAGATGAAGAGGTGCAGAGGGTGAAGTATGGGAAAGAGGCACAGAGCTTTCATTGTCTTCCCTGGGTGCAATTTCCTCCAGGAACCTCCATGTGTTGAGCTATCTGGAAGCTCTCCAAACCCTGTCCTCTTGGGTTTTTCTGGAGGCTTCATTATGTAGGCATGATTGATAAAACCATTAGCCACTGGTGATCAACTTAACTTTCAGCCCCTCTCCTGGAGGTGGGGACTGGAGTTGAAAGTCTCAACCCTTTAATCCTGCCCTGGTCTTCCCAGTGACCAGCCCCACCCTGAAGCTATCAGACAAAAGACCCAGAAAAGGGCTGAACGCGGGGGCTCACGCCTATAATCCCAGCACTTTAGAAGGCTGAGGCAGGCAGATCACTCGAGGTCAGGAGTTTGAGACCAGCCTGGCCAACATGGTAAAATCTCCTCTCTACTAAAAATGCAAAAATTAGCCGGGCATGGTGGCCCACACCTGTAATCCCAGCTACTCGGGAGGCTGAGGCAGGAGAATTGCTTGAACCCGGAGGCAGAGGTTGCAGTGAGCTAAGATCATGCCACTGCACTCCAGCTTAGGCATCAGAGTGAGATCCTGTCTTAAAAAAATAAAAATAAAAAGGACCCAGAAAAAACAGCATTTTGGGGATCCCAAGGATTTTAGGAGTTGTATGCCGGCAAAGAAATGAAGACCAAATACATATTTCCTAATATCACAATGGCACACCCCCACATTTCACCATCTTCACAAACTGTATTCTCCCACCATCTGCCTTCACCATATGAGTAGTAGCAAGAAAAACCACAAGCTCGGGCCAGGTGCAGTGGCTTACACCTATAATCCCAGCACTTTGGGAAGTTGAGGCGGGTGGATCACCTGAGGTCAGGAATTTGAGACCAGCCTGGCCAACATGGCGAAACCCCGTCTCTACTAAAAATACAAAAATTAGCTGGGCGTGGTGGCGCACGCCTGTAGTCCCAGCTACTCGGGAGGCTGAGGTAGGAGAATCGCTTGAACCCAGGAGGCAGAGGTTGCAGTGAGCCGAGATCGTGCCACTGCACTCCAGTCTGGGCAATAGCGTGAGACTGTGTCTCAAAAAAAAAAAAAAAAAAAAAAAAAACAAAACAAAAAACAAAAAACAGAAAAGATAGCATTTTGGAGATCCAAAGGATTTTAGGAGTTGTATGCCAGGAAACAGAAATGAAGACCAAATATATATTTCCTAGTATCACAATGGCCCACCCCCACATTTCACCATCTTCACAAACTATTCTCCCACCATCTGCCTTCACCATTATGAGGAGTAGCAAGAAAACCACAAGCTGTGATTTGTAGAGGTTTAAGGAACTAATCCCTCAAACATCACTCTCCTCTAAATGTTAAGCCTGGAATTCAACCCTTGATGCTGTATTCCCTCATTGGTGGTGCACGCATTCTGTTCTAACCTCAGCTGTTGTACTGTAATTCAGTTCTGGCATTCACTACCTGAAATTGGTGTAGACCCCACAAGTTAAGGGCTTCACAAGAAGGCTGACCCTCACTTTAGACACCAGCTACAATTCAGGCCACCCACACTTCAGACTGGCTAAAAATTTGGGGATCCCTACCACCCCCTGAGGTTTGATAATTTGTTAAAATGACTCACAGAACTCAAGAAAACACTATACCTATAACTACAGTTTTTTGTTTTGTTTTGAGACAGGGTCTTGCTCTGTCACCCAGACTGGAGTGCAGTGGCATGATCATAGCTCACTGCAGCCTTGACCTCCCGGGCTTAAGCAATCCTCCTGCCTCAGCCTCTTAAGTAGCTGGGTCTACAGGCATGAGCTACCCTGTCCAGCTAATTGGTTTATTTTTCGTATAGATGGGAGTCCCACTTTGTTGCCCAGGCTGGTCTCAAACTGATAGGCTCAAGCAATCCTCCAGCCTTGGCTTCCCAAAGTGCTGGGATTACAGGTGTGAGCTACCACACTGGGCCACAACTACAGTTTTGTGAGGTTTTTTGGTTTCTTTCTAAGACAAGTCTCACTCTTTCTCCCAGGCTGAAGTGTAGTGGCGCTATCTCAGCTCACTGCAAACTCCACCTCCCGGGTTCAAGCAATTCTCCTGCCTCAGCCTCCCAAACAGCTGGGATTACAGGTACCTGCCACCACGCCTGGCTAATTTTTGTATTTTTAGTAGAGACAGGGTTTCACCATGTTGGCCAGGCTGGTCTCAAACTCTTGACCTTAAGTGATCCTCCTGCCTCAGTCTCCCAAAGTGCTGGGATTACAGGTGTGAGCCACTGCGCCTAGCCCACAATTACAGTTTTTTTTAATGAAGGATACAAATCTCGACCAGCCAAATGAAGAGATACTTAGGGCAAGATCTGGGAGGGTCTCAAATGCAGAGCTTCCATGCCCCTCCCCATCGAATCAGAGCGTGTCACATTGATGTATTCACCAGCCAAGAAACTCCACTGAGCCCCAGTGTCCAGCTTTTTTATTGGGGTTTCATTACATAAACATGACTAATTAAATAATCAGCTGCATCATTGGTCACATGATTGAACTCCATCTCCAGTCCTGTTGTTGCCCACTGGTAAACTGGCTCAAAGTCCTCTAATCACATGGTTGATCTCTCTGGCAACCAGCCTAGGGACCCACCATGAGTCACTGCAGTAGCATAAACTTCGGTGTGATCCAAGATGCTCCTGAACTGTAAAGATTCTCCTATCACTTGAGAAATTCCAAGTGTTTTTGAAGTTCCATGCCAGGAACCCAGGACAAGACTAAGCAAATTATTTATTGTACAATAAACATGTGCTGCCTTTGCCAGTGCAAATACAGCTAAGCATGCAAGCCACAGAGCCCCTGAGTCTGTCTTTCTCCCTTTCAAGAGGAGACACTGAAGGAAGTAGTGACATTTTGGTTTTTTTTTTTGAAACAAGTTCTTGCTCTATCACCCAGGCTGGAGTGCAGTGGCACAATCATAGCTCACTGCAGCCTCAAATTCCTGGGCTCAAGTGATCCTCCCACTTCAGCCTCCTGAGTAGCTGGGAGTACAGGTGTGTTCCATCACACCCAAGCAAATTTTTTTATCTTCAGTAGAGACAGGTTTCACCATGTTGCCCAGGGTGGTCTTGAACTGCTGGTCTCAAGTGATCCTCCTGCCTTGGCCTCCCAAAGTGCTAGGATTACAGGTGTGAGCCACTGCACCCAGCCATCCAGGATTATTTCTTTTCTCAATATCCTAATCCAAAATCTGGATCACTGAAATTTTGCCTGCCCCAAATGCCAAACTAACTTATTACTACCAGGTTGGAGCTTCCCATCCCCAGCTCCAACCACGTAATGATAAACACATCAGCACCAAATGTAAACTATTGTCTCAATGACATTATAAACCCAAGGACATTGTTAAACAGGATACTCATTTCGTATTCCCCACATCTAGCACCTATTAAACTGCCAAGAACTTACATGGTGCTCAATAAATACTTGTTCAGTTTAATTAACTGGTTAATTTAAATATTAACTATAATGTATCCAATTCAAAAAACCACAAACTTTTAATGAACACTCACTTTAAGCCAAGCTCTTAAGAAATAGCAATGAAAAAAGCATAATCCTTGGCCTCTAGAAGCTGTCAAAGGTAGGGGGAAGACAAAAAAACTAAAACTATTTCATCATAAAATTGAAATTCTATAATAGAAGTAAGAGAAAAGTTCTATGGAAACTTTAAGTAATGAGTGTTTTTGAGTATCAATGTGCGTGTTGTGGGATTGGGAGGTAATAATGTTAAGAATGGAGTTTGTAGAAGAGATGTTTGATCCACCATTAGTTGGTAGTTAGACACCAGCAGAGAAGAAGAAGTAAATTTAGGCAAAGTAAAACTGTGAAAACAAAAGGAAGTTAGGGAGAGGGTCACAAAGGGGACACAGGAAAATTTCAGGATTATGGAATTATTTTTTATGACACTGGGGAAATGTACACAGTTTGCTATGTATTTGTCAAAACCTATAGAACTTAATTTCACAAAGAGTAAACTTCAATGGATGCAGATTAAAAAAAAAAAAAAACAGAAGATGGGGGTATCCCAGAATGAAATGCAGACTGTGACAAAAGGGTCTAAATGTTTTACAAAGTTGTGAAGTGGTTTGGGGAAAAAAGAGCTGATCTAAATAACTTTGGAAAATGCAAGGCTAAAAACAAATGGAAATCTACATAAACACTATACTCCGGTTGGTGAAGTTGTTTCTCATAGGATTATAGGTTAAAATTTCTGAACCTATTTTACATGCATACTGGAGATAAACTAATAAGCAAATAGAGGGTGGATGGTGGGAGATGAGTTTATCACTATTGTCAAGGGAAATTACGGATAAGCAGGAGGGAAGGACTAGACTAAACCATGTGGTGCTGGATTAGAGTCAGAGATATCAGCATGAATTCATGTTTAACTGAATAGGGAAACAAATGGATAAATACAGAAGCTATGGTAGATAGGTTGTATAAACATGGTGATATGGTTTAGCCCTGTGTCCCCACCCAAATCTCATCTTGAATTATACTCCCATAATCCCCACGTGTTGTGGGAGTGACCCAGTGGGAGATAATTGAATTGTGGTGACAGTTTCTCCCATACTGTTCTAGTGGTAGTGAATAAGTCTCACGAGATCTGATGATTTGATAAGGGGAAACCCGTTTCACTTGATGCTCATTCTCTCTCTTCCCTGCTGCGATGTAAGACGTGCCTTTCACCTTCCACCACGATTGTGAGGGCTCCTCAGCCACATGGAATTGTGAGTCGAATTAAAAGTCTTTCTTTTGCAAATTACCCAGTCTCAGGTATGTCCTTATCAGCAGTGTGAAAACGAACTAATACACATGAGTTAGTACACACACATATTTTCTAGTTCTGTCAGCTTTTTGGGCCTAGAGGCAGTGATATCCCTGTAGAAATGAGCACATTAAGTGTTCAGATCTTGGTCTCTAATACCATTCTGCAATAAAAGGAAGCATAGCACCTTGCAGATATGACTGAAGCTAGGGCTGTGGCAGGGAAGATACAAGATGAAACTGAAACTTTTATGGTGCTAGAAAGTAAGAAAGTGGCTGGATGAGGCAGCTCAGGCCTGTAATCCCAACACTTTGGGAGGCTGAAGTGGGCAGATCACTTGAGCTCAGGAGTTCAAGACCTGCCTGGGCAACATGGTGAAATCTCGTCTCTACAAAAAAATACAAAAATTTGCCAGGGTTGGTGGCGTGCACCTGTTGTCCCAGCTACTTGGGGGTGCTGAGGCAGGAGGATCACTTCAGTCTGGGAGGTCAAGGCTGCAGTGAGCCATGTTCATGCCACTGCACTCCAGCCTGGGTGAAAAAGTGAGATCTCATCTCAAAAACAATTTTTTTTTAATTATCCAGAGGCATGCACCTGTAGTCCCAGGCACTTGGAAGGCTGAGGTGGGAGCATCGTTTGAGCCCAGGAGTTCAAGCCTGCAGTGAGCTATCATTGCACCACTGCACTCCAGCCTGGGTGACAGAGCAAGACCCCATCTCAAAATAAACAAAAAAAGAAAGTAAGAAAGGACTCAAAAAACAAAAGGATAGGGCATGTCAAACTCTGAAAGATTCTAAATGGCCAAAGCTGCAACAACTTAAACAACAAAATAAATAGCCTAGTATTGGATTATAACCCAAAGTATACAAGAAACAACCGTGAGTCCATACTGATTGTATTAGTCCATTTCCTCCCCTCCACACATGGGGATTACAAATCAAAATGAGATTTGGGTGGGGACACAGAGCCAAACCATACTACTGATTTAAGTAAACGACTGAATAAAATAATTGTGGGCCTTAGAGACAAATCTTCCTTACAGAAGAATGAAAGAAGTATACAAAGGGGAAAAATCGGCAGGGTGGGTTAGCTCATGCCTGTAATCCCAGCACTTTGGGACACCAAAGTGAAAGGATCACTTGAGCCCAGAAGTTGGAGACCAGCCCGGCAACAGAGTGAGACCCTGTCTCTACAAAGCCTTCTTAAAAATTAGCTGGACGTGATGGCACATGCCTGTAGTCCCAGCTACTTGGGAAGCTGAGGTGGGAGGATCATTTGAGCCTGAGAGGCTGAGGCTTCAGTGAGCAGTAATTACGCCACTACACTCTAGCCTGGGTGAGACAGCAAGTCATGTCTCAAAAAAAAAAAAAAAAAAAAAAAAGAAAAGAAAACGAGGGAGTGGGGAGAAAAATAAGGTAACATTACAGAGAAGAAATCTGGCAAGCAGCAAACACTTCTTTTACCTGATGATCGAGATCAAGGTTAGTATCAGTGATACGTCATGTTAATAGTACATACCTTTCGTGTGATGTGACGAAAATGGAATTTCATCTCTATAGTCTTCCTTCCAAAATCCCAAAGCTCAACCTAGCCATAAGAAAAACATCAGACAAGCCCACACTGAGAGAATTCTACAGAATACCCAGCAGTATTCCTCAAGACTGTCAAGGTTATCAAACACAAGAAAAGACTTGAAAACTGTCACAGATCAGAAGAAACAAAGGACAGATGACAATTCAGTGTAATGTGGTGTCTTGGATGGAATCCTGAAAAAGAAAGAAAACATCAGTGAAAAAAAAAACCTACTGAAATCTGAGAAAGCTGGAAGTTTAGTTAATGGTAATATACCAGTGTTGGTTTCTCAGCTGTAACAAATGTACCATGGTAATGTCAGACTATATATAACTATTCCATTATATAACTATAATGGAAACTAGATGGGGGGAGGTATATGGGAGCTCTCAGAACTAACCCTGAAATGTTTCTATACATCTAAAATTTTTCTAAAACAACAAGGATTTTGTTTGTTTTTAATACAGGACAAATTGAAAAAAGTAAGAAATCTGGCATGGTTAGCATATCAGTTGACTGGCACAATGAGAGGAGATGAGGCTTGATGGTGTTTGGGGTCAGATTCTAGGAGCTCTGTAAACTGTATCAGTTAGGAACATGAGGCCAGCGGTGCTTAACAAGTAAGGGTGTTTTTAGTTACACAATGGGAAGTCTGCAAGTAGGCTCTACTAAGCTGGCAAAGAAACTCTTGTTCTTACCATCATTACTATGTTTTTTTTTCTTTCTTTTTTTTTTTTTTTTTTTGAGACAGAGTCTTGCTCTGTTGCTCAGGCTGGAGTACAGTGGTGTGATCTCGGCTCACTGCAACCTCCACCTCCTGGGTTCAAGCGATTCTCCTGCCTCGGCCTCTCGAGTAGTTGGGATTAGAGGTGCACGCTACCACACCCAGCTAATTTTTGTATTTTTAGTAAAGAACGGGGTTTCGCCATGTTGGCCACGCTCGTCTCGAACTCTTGACCTCAGGTGATCCACCCACCTCAGCCTCCCAAATTTCTGGGATTACAAGCGTGAGCCACCATGTCTGGACACTATATGGTTTTTGTTTGTTTGTTTGTTTTTGTTTTTGTTTCAAACAGGGTCTCACTTCATCACCCAGGCTGGGGTGCAGTGGCATGCTCACAGCTCACTGCAGCCTCAACCTCTAGGCTCAAGAGATCCTCCTGCCTCGGCCTCCCTAGTAGCTGGGACTACAGGTGTACTCCACCACATCCGGCTAATTTTTTAATACTTTTTGTAGAGATGGGGGTTTCACTGTATTGCCCAGGCTGGTCTTAATCTTCTAGGTTCAAGTGATCCTCCTGCCATGGCCTCCAAAAGTGCTGGGATTACAGACGTGAGCCACTGTGGTTTTTGATTTTCATTTTCATAATTGTAAAATGGTCACACTATAGGAGCATTTTTGCAGGAAAAGGAAAAAGTGAATCAGAAAGGACCAAAGGAGCCTGATGGGTGAATCTGTCTCCTCTCTGACACTTTCCCATAAGCCCCACCCTGCACACTTCGACTTCTTCTCATTGGCCAGAAGGGATCACATGGCCATTTCTCTTTTTTATTTAGAGGCAGGGTCTTGCTCTTTTGCCCAGGCTGGAGTGCAGTGGTGTAATCATAGCTGACTGCAGCCTCAACCACCTGGGCTCAAGCAATCCTCCTGTCTCAGCCTCCCAAATAGCTGGGACTACAGGCATGTGCCACCATTCCTGGTGGCTAATTTTTGTATTTTTTTGTAGATACAGAGTTTTGCCATGATGCCCAGGCTGGTCTCGAACTCCTGGGCTCAAACAATCCTCCCACCTTGGCCTTCCAAATTGCTAAGATTCCAGGTGTGAGTCACCGCACCCAACCACATGAATACTCCTTACTGCAAGAAAGCCTAGGAACGCTAATTTTCCTTACTGGACACAATGACTCTCCAAACAAAATCAGTATCCTGTTTGTAAGGAGGAAGAGAGGGATATTGAGAAGTTGACTCTGTAGTAGTATAGTTACACAGGCAGAGATAAATTACTTTTATTTGATCCTATGGGCAGAACGGAGTTTCATACTTTTCTTTTTTTCACTGTGTCACCCAGGCTGGAGTGCAGCAGCCCAATCTCAGCTCACTGCAACTTCTGCCCCCCGGGTTCAAGCAGTTCTTGTTCCTAAGCCTCCTGAGTAGCTGGGATTACAGGTGCGTGTCACCACATCCGGCTCATTTTTGTATTTTTAATAGAGAGGGAGTTTCATCATGTTGGCCAGGCTGGTATCAAACTCCTGATCTCAGATGATCCACCTACCGTGGCCCCCCAAAGTGCTGGGATTACAGGCGTGAGCCACCACAGCCTGTGACTTTTAGACATTTTTAAGCAAAGAAATAACATGATCACACGTTTGTTTTAGAAAGATCACTCTGGCCACTCTATCCATAAGATAGCAAAGCTTTCTTGGATCAAAAATTCCTCTGAAAATCTGAAAATCTAATGATAGCTGTAGATTCTCTCCCCAGGGGGCTTGGCAAGGGGAATGTATATATGCACAGAATTTTCTTTTTCTTTTACTTTTTCTTTTTCTTTTCTTTTTTTTGAGCCAGGGTCTCACTCTGTCACCCAGGCTGGAATGCAGTAGTGCGATTTTGGCTCACTGCAACCTCTGCCTCCCAGATTCAAGCAACTTTCCAGCCTCAGCCTCCCAAGTAGCTGGGATTACAGGTGCTCACCACCACGCTTGGCTAATTTTTGTGTTTTCAGTAGAGATGGGGTTTTGCCATGTTGGCCGGGCTGGTCTCAAACTCCCGACCTCAATGATCCATATATGCACAGAATTTTCTAACCAGTTATAGGATGGACTTCAAACTCTCCGAAGCTCATGGACATCAGGAAATAACTCCCGGCTTACAGGTTAAATCAGAGGGTGAAGAGAAAAGAGGAAGAGGGACCGATTAGGCAGTTTTTGAAGTTGTCTGAAGAGAGGCATAGCAAAGGCTCAAACCACACAGATAGTGTGGAATAGGAATTAGTGGGGAATTGGATTAAAGAGGCAAGGCAGGCCGGGTGCAGTGGCTCATGCCTATAATCCCAGCACTTTGGGAGGCGAAGGCCGGTGGATCATTTGAGGTCTGCAGTTGAAGACCAGCCTGGCTAACATGGCGAAACCCTGCCTCTACTAAAACTACAAAAATTAGCTGGGCATAGTGGCGCATGCCTGTAATCCCACTACCCGGAAGGCTGAGGCAGTAGGATCACTTGAGCCCAGGAGAGAGAGGTTGCAGTGAGCCGAGATCGTGCCACTGCACTCCAGCCTGGGCAACAGAGTGAGACTCTGTCTCAAAAAAAAAAAAAAAAAAAAAAGACACAAGGCTAAGGCAGAAGGATAGCTCGAAGCCAGGAGTTTGAGACCATCCTGAGAAACATAGTGAGACTTCTTAGTCTATTAAAAAAGAAATGTTTTTTTTTGAGACAGGGTCTCACTCTGTTGCCCAGGCTGGAATGCAGTGGTGCAATCACAGTTCACTATAGCCTCAACCTCCTGGGCTCAAGTGATCCTCCCACCTCAACCTCCCAAGTAGCTAGGACTACAGGTATGCACCACCACACCTGGCTAAATTTTTATTTTTGTAGCGACAAAGTCTCACTGTGTTGCCCAGGCTGGTCTCAAACTCCTGGGCTCAAGTGATCCTCCCACCTCTGTCTCCCAAAGTGCTGGGATTACAAGCATGAGCCACTGTACCTGGCCTCACAAAAAAATTTTTTTTAATTAACCAGGCTCACCTGTGGTCCCAGCTACTCAGTAGGCTGAAACAGGGGAATCTCTTGAGCCCAGGAGTTGGAGGCTGCAGTGAGCTATGATCACACCACTGCACTCCAGCCAGAGCAATAGAACAAGACCCTGTCTTTCAAATTAAAGAAAGAGAGAGACAATCAACAGGACTCAGTGTTTAATTAGAAAGGTTATTTAGATTGGTTGGGAGAATTAAAGAAGTCAAAGATTACTGAGATGCAGTAGCTCAAGCCTGCAAACCCAGTACTTTGGGAGGCTGAGGAGGGAGGACTGCTTGAGCCCAGGAGTTCGAGACCCAGCTTGACAACATAGTGAGACCCACCCCCCATCTCCACAACAAACAAAAATACTAGCCTCTCATGGTAGTACACTCCCATGGTCCCAGCTACTCAGGAGGCTGAGATGGGAGGATCACTTGGGTCCAGAAGGTTGAAGCTGCCATGAGCCATGATCTGTACTCCAGTCTGGGCAACACAGACCCTGTCTCAAAAACAAACAAACAACAATGACAAAAAAACAGGCCGGGCGCAGTGGCTCATGTCTGTAATCCCAACACTTTGGGAGGCCGAGGCAGGTGAATCACTTGAAGCCAGGAGTTCAAAACCAGCCTGGCCAACATGGCGAAACCCTGTCTCTACCAAAAAAGACAAAAATTAGCCAGGCATGGTGGCACACGCCTATAATCCCAGCTACTGGGGAGGCTGAGGCATGAGAATCACTTGAACCTGGGAGGCAGAGGTTGCAGTAAGCTTACATCAAGCCACTGCACTCCAGCCTGGGTGATAGAGAGAGACTGTCTCAAAAAAAAAAAAAAAAAAAAGATTACTGAATATTTTAATCTTAAGTAACTGAAAGGATGGTTATGCTGGTAACCAAACAAGGACTATGGGAGAAGCTCTAAGGGGAAGGATCATGACTGTAGCTTGAACCTGCTGAGTGTAG